>NC_000008.11:140849545-141151623 GCF_000001405.40 Homo sapiens | reverse complement strand
AGGATCTGAGGGGAGAACCCGCCGCACTGAGTACATGCTTTTAAAAAAAAAAAAAATACAGACAGGGTCTCGCTGTGTTGCCCAGCCCAGGCTGGAGTGCAGTGGTGTGATCATAGCTCACTGCAGCCTCGAACTCCTGGGCTTAAGCAATCCTCCCACCTTGGCCTCCCAAGCAGATGGGACCACAGCAACGTGCCTCCACATCCAGCTCATTGTAAAATTTTTCTGTGGAGACAAGGTCTCCCTATGTTGCTCAGGCTGTTCTCAAACTCCTGGCCTCAAGCAATCCTTCCACTTCGCCTCCCAAAGTACTGGGATTACAGGCATGAGCCACCGCACCCGGCCCATGTACACACTTCTGATTCAGTACAATAAAGAGAAAATGCTCATAAACACACCACCCAACCAAACCAGACTGACTGCGGGCTCTTCCCTGGTCCCTCAGCTCCATCTGCCAAACAAAAGCCACCTGAGACTCTGCAAAGGGTGCCATTTGCAAATATCATGCACTGTAGGGAACATTGGCTTTAAAAAATAATAATAAACATTTCGAGTATACCAGTCGGTGCATTGTGGAATAAACTCGCATCTTCATCATCTCTGATCGTTGCTCTGATGCCCCACTAAGGCAGGGAGCACAAGACGCGCTCGCCGGGGCGGGGCCGCGTACCTGTAGCACCTTCTCAGGCCTGAAGCACAGCAAGGGCAGGTGAAGGTCCAGGTCCAGGATGGGGCTTTCGGGGTCTGCTCGGGCAGGTAACACAATCTGGAGCGACTTCATGTTAAATACCTACGACAACCAGTTCCCGTCATTAGTTCAGAGAGCTGCTCCGGGCAGAGGCTGACGTGCACTACTGTCACTATTTCGGTGCCCAGGGCATCAGAGTTAGAAAACATTTCTGAAGACACAGGCTGCCACGTTAAATTCTGCAGAATAACCAAACGGTCTAGAGATATACAGAACTGCCGATAAAGGCTCAAACATAAATTAAGTACTTAATGTCTTTTTCTAAGTAAGCCAAAATTCCTTAAGCTCTAATTAATCAGCAAACTACTCATTGTCTAGACAGAGATAAACTACAGGACAGATATTTGTCCCAATTAACACAAATTCTAAATCAAGCATGTTCAAATTATTCTTAGGTATTACATATTCTTTTTAGTTAGTGTATGCTATGAACTCTCTTTTAATAGCTTTGACAATTTAATAGTCAAAGCTCCTTCAAGACATGTGCATTTCAAATTTTAAGAAAGACGTTTTTCTAAATGTATTACTTTGAAGTCACACTTCAGTTCAAATTCTGTATTCACAGAATGGCTACTGAGACACGGCTGGACCTGGCGGAGGAAATCCAGAGGAGAAGGTTCAGTTCCTTCACTGAGGGAGGGCTTCTGAGCCTGCCAGGAAATGGGCTGCAAACAGCGAGTTCCTGCCACCCGGGTGCTGGCACGTGGGAGGCCCTCAGGAAATGCTGGGTGCCCAGCTCGGCACCCAAAGCTCCAGGAAACGAGCGTAATGGACGGATCTAAGTGTAAGCAAAGCACAGGGAAACAGAAAGGAGAGACATGATCAGAGCAGACAGCTGAGACTCCATCAAGGGAACACCTGGGAGGGTAAGAAATCAAGCGAAGCAGGGAGCCGGGGGGAGAAAACAGGTCACAAACAAGGTCTCCCGTGGCCCTGCTTTCTCCCAGTCTCCCAAGTCTGTATTCTAAGCATGCCTGCACACGAGAAACTGAAAACAAGAAAAGGTGGTAATTTCTTGGTGGTGGGGACACCAGCGTTGCTTCCTAACAAGACGCAGGTCCTTGAATAACATCGTTTTGTTATAATGTTGATGAGAAAAAGGAATCGCGTCCCAGCGGGGGACACCTTCACATTCTCCTCATGCCCGTGCCCGGCTAGGTTTTCTCCAGGTCCTCCTGAAGCCCAACCGGCACATATGGACAGGTCCCCGTGTGAGCAAGTGTGGGAGAGCGTGGGATTGGCCCTGCCATGGGACAGCATCCGGCCAGGGCTGGTTCCCGCCTTGGCCCTAAGCTGCCGGGATGGCCTCCGTCCACCCTCAACCCTGAACTGCAATAAGCAGGTAAATGATGTTCCTCCTTACTTTAATTAATTGTTCTTAAATGTGTGTACAGCTCCCATTTACTTCAATGTTTAATATCAGAAGTGCTTTGGGTCTTTATTTAGAAGTTTGGTGATTTTTTATGACCAGTAGTATGCCATAGGAACTTAACTCTTGTCTGCATCAATTAGTTTATGGTGAAATTGATTTTGTGACCCAGGGCTTAATGTTGCAGTTTCTGAGAACCTGCCAGCCACGCTGAGGACCTACTGTGCTTGGGTCTCTTTGCTTTCTTGTTACCAATTTGTGTACAGAAGCAAGCCATGTTAAAAATAAGGCAAATTCGGCCGGGTGTGGTGGCTCATGCCTATAATCCCAGCACTTTGGGAGGCTGAGGCGGGCGGATCACCTGAGGTCAGGAGTTCAAGACCAGCCTGATCAACATGGAGAAACCTTGTCTCTACTAAAAATACAAAATTAGCCAGGCATGGTGGTACATGCCTGTAATCCCAGCTACTCGGGAGGTTGAGGCAGGAAAATCGCCTAAACCCAGGAGGTAGAGGTTGCGGTGAGCCGAGACTGTGCCATTGCACTCCAGCCTGGGCAACAAGAGCGAAACTCCTCTCAAAAAAAAAAAAAGGCAGATTCATTTATGTGAATAAAGTTCTTTATGTAAAAGAAAAGAAATCAAAGTTAAATTATCCAAGTTGTGGCACAGTATTAATAATTGTCAACTTTACATGAAACATTTTCAATATTTCAAAAAACAAATGTGCCGACCAGCTATCCAATTAAAGATTAAAAAAAAAAATACAAATGCTAATCACTCCACCAGCCTTTGGTTGGTCTCGGGTGCATGCTAGAGATTTTCCAGCATATAATATTCATACTCTCTGAAGTGGGCTGTTATTTCACCCACTCCATAGATGAACAGACTGAGGAGAGAGATATTTAAGGTAAACAGTTTCCAAATCTCAGCTTGATTTGAGCCCCAGGAAAGAACAGGTGTCACATACAAAGCAACATAGAAAATGACTCAGATACGGTACAAGAGAAGAATGTGTGTGTGTGTGAGATTTTGCACACCCAATTAAGCCAAAGATTTGCAAAGCAAGTAAAATCAGTCCCGCTGGAGGGCAAGAAAAGGCAGGTGAGCGCAGAGTGGGGCTGTTTCTAGTCTTTGCCCTGCTCCGGCTGTTGGTCCATGCACCATCAGAGGAAGGGGGCTGAACGGGAACCAGGGAATCAAGGCACAGGGCATGGCTCTGTCCTCTACCCCCTGTGCCATGGGGCCCCCTCCCTCCTCCCTCCTTTCCACCAGCATAGATCAGAGATAACCCGGACCAGAAGTAATGAGGAACGCACACACACGCATTCAAAACACAAGACCCATCTCACTACTGCTCTCGAAAACAGCCTCTAAGCTTGCAGTGGGTTCTAGAAAATATGGCTGGGTTGGCTCCTGCATCAGATGAGAACCTTGGCCTACACTGACCTCTTGGATTTATTCAAAACAATAAACACTCATGTATGACATTCCCTAAAACAGATCACAAGCATTATACCAACTTAGAGCCAGTAGCTAATTAGACTTGGTATGGGAGAGCTGCACTGAGTCAAGCCCGATACAGACTGAGTCACTCATTCAGACACACGCACGGGACGCAGATCAGCAGGCACTGACTGGCTAACACAGCAATCCGAGGCATCCCTGCACACGCTCGCCCACCACACAGCTCACTGCTGGGCAGCTCTGTGCGGGCCCGGCTGTGAGCTCTGGATATGCGGTGCTGGGTGTGGCCTCTACCTTCGTGCAGCTCAGAGTCTGATGGGGGAGACGAACATTAAACAAAAACACATGCACAGAAGCCCTAATTACAAACTGTGCCGTGCCCTGCGGGATGAGAACTGGGTGCTATCGGAGAGACGGGGAGTGGGGGTCACTCAGAGAAGACGATCCGAAGACCTGACCGCTGAGAGTGACCAGAGATGAGCCACAGCTGGCCACAAGAAAATGGAGGAAACAGTGTTTGTGGAAACAGCGTGTGCAAGGGCCCTGTGGCGGCACCTTCAGGGAATGGACAGGAGTCCAGTGAGGCCAGACATCAGCACGCTGGGGGAGTGGCATAAAACAGAGCTGGACAGTGAGACAGGGTCCAGGCTGCAGGACTGAGGAAGGTAGACGGTGAGAAACTGTTGTGGGGCTTGGGGAAGAGAAGCAAAGCCCAATATCCACATGTTAATAATCTCTGCAGCCACTGTGCAGAGGACAAATGGAAGGGTGGAGAATGAACCAAAGCAGACAGGCCAGTGGTCCCCAAGTCACGCAGCGGGGAGCAGCTGGTGACCCAGAGTGAAGTGGCAGCAAGGAAATGGGCAAACTGGAAAGGAACACTGAAGGTAGTCCGGCGAGGCTGAGTGATGGACGGAATGGGTGAGGGAAGAGCAGGCCAGCGGCAACCCTCAGTCACCTTCCTCACGGGTGCGTCGAGATGAAGGAGCCGAGAGTCATCGGGCCAGGAGACCCGGAGCAGCGCTGGGAGTGCTACGCACGCATTCCTTATGTTCAAAGGCCGAGTGCAGCTCATTACTGCTGACCCTGAAACTGCTCTCAAGTCAGAGGTCTGGCTCTGTTCACGGATCTCACAGGCCCTCAGTAAATACTTGCTGCGTTTACAGAACAAGAACATAAACTTTGATGATTTCACTGCACATACTGTTGACAAGAAAATGCCAACTATCCACATAAAACACGCGGCCGATAAACATGCCCTACAAAGGCTTCTGGGAGCAGAGCTGACAGAGACGGGTGGCCTGCTGCGTATCTGGACTGGAATGCACCGGCAGGATTTTCCACCCAGCAGACTGCTGGGGTTGGGGTAATGTTAAAAACGCACATTTTAAGTTCACAATCATGTGTCTTTTGATACAAGAAACTTATTTTTTCCATTGTCAGTAAAGAAAAATGTAGAAGATCAAGATTAATACGTATAATCTTTCAGAGGACTAGCACAATGAAACTGAATCGACATTTACTAAACATTTTGAGACGTTTGACGGGTGTCTATTAAAGGAAAAAATAAAAAGCAGCATCCTAAGTACAGTTAAAATTAGTTTGGAACATGCTGAGTCAAACAGGTTTCTTCACATAGCTGAGCAACCTGACATGTTTCTCAACAAACAAAAGGGGAAGGTGGCCAGCCACATCTCCAGCTTCACTTAACCCCAAACCCTGTGTCTTGAAATCGCCAATAACATCTCTCAGAAAAAAAACCAGCCTGGGAAATGTTTGCCTGTTCATTAAGTAACACAGCACTACATCTAAGAGTAACAAAAAATATAAAACCAGTTACTTCTCATTAATCACACTGTACAAGAGAAAACACTAACAAATGAAATACAATATCCAGGGCGGGCGCGGTGGCTCACGCTGTAATCCCAGCACTTCGGGAGGCCGAGGCGGGGAGATCACGAGGTCAGGAGATCGAGACCACCCTGGCTAACAAGGTGAAACCCCATCTCTACTAAAAATACAAAAAATTAGCCAGCGTGGTGGCACGCGCCTGTAATCCCAGCTACTCTGGAGGCTGAGGCAAGAGAATGTCTTGAACCCAGGAGGCAGAGCTTGCAGTGAGCCAAGATCACGCCACTGTGCTCCAGCCTGGGTAACAGAGCAAGACTCCGCCTCAAAAAAAAAAAAATACATATATATATATATATATATATATATATATATATATATATATATATAATATTCAATATTAAAGACAAATAAACAAATAAATGAAAAATCTGTAATTTGAATAAATTCTTCTATAAAAGGATTCAGGTTTCCATGTATTATCTGCATAGGGAGCTATGAACTGACATGCTAACCACTGAAGTGCCACGACATATCACTAGCTCTGTTTATCACAGCCCACTCTGCAAAACTCAAGTCTAAATATTTAACTTTTCACCTTTAGGAAGAGTATATAAAATGTTCCCATAAGGACCTTGAGAAACATAATTTAAGCACAGTGTTAATGGAAAAACCAAACTCTATCAAATATTTTAAAGGGGTTTATTCTGAGTGACCGTGGCCTAGGGAACAGTCTAAAGAGTGGTCCCCAGAGGGCCGGGTTACAGTTTGGTTTTATGCATTTTACAGAGACAGGAGTGACAGGCAAAGACATACATCAGTCCATGGAAGGTTGAGGTTGGTTTGGCCCAAAAAGGTGAGGCATCTCAAAGAGGAAGGAGGGTATAAGTCATAGGTGGGTTTCAGGGATTCTTTACTTGGCAATTGGTTGAGAAAGATGAGCTACTGTCTAAAGATCTGAAGTCAGTGGGAAAGAAGGCCTGAGTCAAGATAAGGGGGTGTGCGGCTGAGGCCCTTGCTACATAAATGAAGCCTCACAGGTGGCAGCCCTCAGAGAGAAGAGATGGTGAATGTCTCTTTTCACACTTTAAAGGTGTCAGGCTCTCAGTTCATCTCTCCTAGATCTGGCAAAGGCCTAGGAAGGCAGGCCTGGCTGCATGAATAGATTCTCTACAGATGCAAATTTCCCCCACAAAAGACAGCTTTGCAGTGCCATTTCAAAATATGTCAAAGAAACATATTTGCAGTAAAATACTTTGATTTTCTTCAGGGTCTGCTATCTGTCATGGATGCTATACCAGAGTCAGGTTGGAAAGTAAGCTACATTATACCTGTTTAAGGAGCTCTTATGGTTTGTAGGGAGTGACTTAACCCTTGCTTTGTGTGACCTTAGGTTTTGTTCATAATTTGGAATCTTATGGCCACAGAGAGTCTGTTCTGTCGGTCTTAGGATCTCCATTTTAACCTAATGCTGGTCAGCTGTGCCTAAACTCCAAAAGGGAGCGGGCATAACAAGGCGTGTCTGACCTTCCTTCCTGTCATGGCCGGGAATTTCATTTTTAAGGTTTTTCTAGGGTCCCGTTGGCCAAGAGGGAACCTGTTCAGTCAGTAGGGAGGCTTAGGATTTTCGTTTTAGTTTACAACCCTATACACAAACACCCCATACACTCACGCAAGAGGGAGAGGGTATAACCAGGCGTGTCTGACCTCCCTTCCATTCTGGCCAGTCATTCTGTTTTTTGGGTTTCTCTGGGGTCCCCTTGGCCAAAAGGGGGTCCAGTCAGTCAGCTGTGGGGAGGCGGGGGGGTTAGGATGTTATTTTAGGTTTACAACAGCTAGAACTTCAGAAATAGTTGTGAGCATTTACATTATCTTCAACATCTTACTTTTACTATTTGCAAAGAAAAAACAATATAATTTCAGATATACTTTACCAAATGGAGCGGTCCAGGTGGCGGGCTGGGTATTAAAGACAGCTTCGCAGCGAAATCTTTTATATGACTGTCCACTTCAAAATCTTTACAGGGCTTCAGAAGAGCCAATAAACTGAAATTCGAAACACAAAACTCAAACCGCAAAATAAAGATGAGAACGCAGTTGTCATCGTTAGCGTTTCTAATCACACTGGAATCTCCCCAGCGTCTGCAGCAGCAGCTCCAGGACCTTTCACCAAAAGCAAAGTCACCAAGCTGCTGGGTGACAGCAGAGTGGCCCCAGGTCTGCGGTAGTGCCTGACAGGTGGCACAAAGGGAGGTATATTTTGGAAGGGGAAGTCCTGGTCATGCTCTGTTTCCTCATCTGGGTGCTAGTTACATGTGTGTGTTCAATTTGTGGGAAATCACTGGAATTTGTGCGTTTGTCTGTACGTGTGTTTTACCTCGGTAAGGAATAAAAGAACAAACACCTGGAAGGAGAGTGCTTGAGAAAGTCTGTCTCCAAAATGGACTCTGACTTTTAAAGTACTGTATACAATTTAAAACTATAAGAGGGGTGGGTGCGGTGGCTCACACTGGTATTCCCAGCACCTTGGGAGTCCAAGGTGGGAGAATCACTTGAGGCCAGGAGTTCAAGGCCAGCCTGCGCAAGATAGTGAGACCCCCGTCTCTACAAAAAATTTAAAAATTATCCTGGTGTGGTGGTGTGCGCCTGTAGTCCCAGCTACCTGGGAGACAGAGCTGGGAGGATCACTTGAGCCCGGGAGTTTGAGGATGCAGTGAGCTATGATAGCGGCACTGCACCGCAGCCTCAGTGGCAGTGAGACCTTGTCTCTCAAAAAAATTTGTAAATGAAAATTAAAATACCCAATGTAAATGACGAGTTAATGGGTGCAGCACACCAACATGGCACATGTATACATACGTAACAAACCTGCACGTTGTGCACATGTACCCTAGAACTTAAAGTATAATAAAAAAAAATTTAAAAAAAACTACCCATACTCTGATTCCCAAAACACAACTAAATATATTCTTGCCCATTTTTTGTCCACGTGGAGACATATTTTGCATATTATCACACTAACAGAACCGATTTTTTTAAAACTACAAATTCGTGTTGTCATACGGCAATTTGAATTTCTGTCGTTTGCCTCTTCTGGCTGTATTCTGTTTCTGTATTTCGCCCCTTCTAGTTCTGATCACACAGCAATGGGCAATGAGAAAGAAAGAAGCATGAAAATGAACACATTTTCAAGTTAAATATGTGTTTGCTTTAATGTCTAGCAGGAGGATATCTGTTGCCAATCACACTATGAAAGGTCAGTTGCTGAATAAACACACATAACATCGACCAGGAGGCGGAGAAAACACCTCCTTTCTTCCTGTCTTCCAAGGGCATGTGTCTGGCGACCACCCATTCATTTCAGCAAACAAAAGGTGGAAATAACCATCTACATTTTACAGAAGAGGAAACTAGAGATTAGTGAAAACGCTGTTTACCTTCAAGTAATGAAGATCATCAGTTAGTGAATAAAAGGGGACCATGTACAGGCTTGGCATTCTGTCACTTCCTGGGCGCTGGTGACAGACAGTCAACAAACATGCATGTGCTCAATTCACCTGCTCATTGGCTACGACCAAGTCACCTCTCTGTTCTCAACGATATTTTATGTCTATGGCAATAAAATGTAGGCTAGACCCAAACTATGTCCAAAAGCCAGTTATATTTTAAGAAGTAAACCACTAAAGTGCTGGGATTTGAATTACGAGTCATTGATTTGAACAGTAAGGTTCCTGCTCACTCTCCATGGGGCTCGTCCCTCTGGTCAAGGCAGAAGGTCTCAAATGACTGTGCTTTGCAAGAAGCAAGAACAGCACCAATTCAGCGATTTGCCGTGGCTCATTCTCCAGCATGATGACACAAAAGGGAACTGTTGTTAACTGCTTTCTCCTCGGCCTTTAATCAAACAAATATAAATTCTCAGACTGTAACTTTATGAGACTCAAAAGAAACGGCTCCGTGCACAAGTGCCCACTGGGACTGACCATGTCTGAACTTGGGCTACAGCCCCCAACATCACAAAAGCATCCTTTGATAATGAGAGCCCACTGGGTTCTATACGATGTCTTTCTGATTTTTCAAAAGTTCTTTACGTCCTCAGCCTTTCTACTCACCATCAGCAGGGAGACAGTTACAGATTCTACAAAACAAGATGACAGGGTCCTGCTCTGTAACCTAGGCTGGAGTGTGGTGGTGCAATCACAGCTCACTGCAGCCTTGAACTCCTAGGCTTAAGCCATCCTCCTGCGTTAGCCTTCCCAGTAGCTGGGACTACAGGCACACACCACCATGCCCAACTAGTTTTTAAATTGTTTTTTAGAGACAGGGTATTGCTATGTTCCCTAGGCTTGTCTCAAACCCCTCGGCTCAAGCAGTCCTCCCATCTTAGTCTCCCAATATGCTGGGATTACAGGTGTGAGCCACCACACCCAGCCAAGGTCATCTTTAAAATGTCAATAAAACTCATTGGAACAAACAGCAGCCTCCTAATATTCTCAGCTAGGAAAAGAGTTTTTCCTAATATATGCCTTTTTGTGAAAAACTAAACAAAATGAAAATCCTGAACATCAACCTTACTTCCGACAGTGTGGCTTCATCCCTTTCCTACCATGCCATTACCGTATGTTACCAGTCACAGAGAGGAGCGCCCGCTGCCACACCCCCTGCCCACTGCCCCCAGCCTTAAGCAACAGCCTAAGAGGCACAGAGAACTGCCCCTCCTACTGCCCCCAGCGCCCGGTCCCCCGGCTCACCAGGAGAGGAACAGAGAGCTGCCCCCCCACCACCTCCAGCCCCCTGGTCCCTTGGCTCACCTGGAGAGGCACAAAGAGCTGCCCCCTACCACCCCTGGCCCCCGGTGCCCCAGCTCACCAGGAAAGGCAGTCCTTGAGGGAGTTGTAATAGGGAAACCTGGAGACCACGCACACCGCGAAGGGCACGAAGCAGCCAGGACACTCCCGGTGCGTTTTGCCATTGTAGAAACAGTACTCATCCTACATGAAAAGCAACAGCGACATGGTCACCTCCCCACCTTGGCAATTCCAGTATCTGTTTCCAACTGGGTCACGTTTCAGCACACAGCAAGCTGAGAGTCCACCATCCCCACCCCTGCAACGCGTCCAAGCCAGCACCGGCCCTCCGGTCGAAGTCTACGGGGTCCCTATTTGGTGCTTGCACCATTTGAGGTGCTGAGGCTATAAAGAGAGCAAGATGCATTCCTGCCCCAGAGAAGCTGACAGCCTTGAGATAAAAAGGAACACACGATTAGAACACAGTAAGACCCAAGACACACAAAGGACTCTGCTTTACAAGGGGAGAAAATGCAGGGGCCACGCACAGGAAGCGGCACCCACACGTGCCCAGGAGGACGGAGCAGGAGAGGCCTCAGCCTGTGTGGGAGCCACGGCCGCAGGGTTCTAGAAGGCCCAGCACACTGTGGAACTTACAAGTGGCAAAGTATTTGGGGCTCACCAACTGGGGAAGTGTTGTTAGTTTGGGGTTTTTTGTAGGGATGGAAGGGCATGATGATAGCTTCAGTGTGAGAACTTGCTGAATTTAGGGTACTTATAAGATATCCAGGTAAAGGGAGACATCAGGAAACAGTCAGCTACATCATTTGTCTATCTAACAAAATTTAATAAACATCCACTTTTCTAGGGTCAGTCTACTCAAGTTCCAACCCTGCCTGCTCTGTCATCTCAGGCAGGTCTTTTAACCTCTCTCTGCCACCATTTCCTCATCTGTCATCTCCCAACCTCATTCGTTGTGGTTAGGATTAAATGAATGACTACACAAAGTGCTTACGTCATGCCTGGTGCTGAGCTGCTCACACGCGCGCGTGGCTGCTGCTGCTACTGTTACAGTAGCCCGGGAGGAGCTGGAGCTACCCAGACACAATATGGTTCCCACCCTCAAGTCACGTAGTGTCGGTGGAAAGGCAGAGGAGAGTGTATGAGAGGGGCTGGGGCTGTGTTATCAATAGAACGATAGTTGGGGGCTGGACATGTAGCTCACACCTGTCATCCCAACACTTTTGGAGGCTGAGGCAGGATTCCAGTAGTTCAAGATCAGCATGGGCAACATAGCAAGACCTCATCTCTACAAAAAATAAGAAAAATTAGCCGGGCATGGTGGTGCACACCTGTGGTCCCAGCTACTCAGGAGGCTGAGGTGGGAGAATCACTTGAGCTAGCCCTGGAGTTCAAGGCTGCAGTGAGCCGTGATCACACCGCTGCACTAAAGCCTGGGTGACACAGCGAGACTGTCTCAAAAAAAAAAAAGAAAGAAAAAAACGATAGATATAGCGTCATCCGGATACATAGTGAAGAAGGAGAGATGAGTGCTGTGGGACCTGGGGATACCCCGAAACTACACAGCTGCTGGGAAGGCAGGAGCAGGACCAGGCATGCCCACGCCAGGCCGGCACACTGGGAACAGTGGCATCTGCTGTACTCATGCAAACCAGAGGGACTGCTCCTTTTTTTAATATGTATTATATTTAATGATAACGAAAACAACATGCGCATTGCTCCTGGTAAGTGTTATTTCACAAGCAAACTCCCAAGGTGCTTTTCTGAAAGATCCAACATCGTGGATCCTTTCTCATCTGGAACACTGGCTACGTGGAGGGGCACCTTCCTCTCATCCCTCCATTAACATAACCCTGGAAGAAAGGCCTGGGGCTGCTGGCAGCCAGGTCACAGAGGCGGACGCTGGTCCCCTGCATGCACCGCCCGAGAGCTGACCTTGGTTCTGCTCTTGGCACACTGTGAAAATGACCTCTCCCAGAAACCTAAGATTATGCATTCAGAGCATCAAGTAGTACGCTTTGCTCCTGCATATTCATTAAGAACATCCGGGCCTGTCTGTGCTGCCCCATGAGCTTACAGGGACAGAATCCATGTGATTATACCTCACGCCTCCCAACACTCAATGTCACATGTGTAAGCACGCTTCTACCAACAAAAACACGTGTCCCGGGCTCCGAGGGAATCCAGGCCAGCCATTTCTCTCGACTGCATGGAACTCACAGACTTCCCTTCATGGCACCAGGGCACCTAAATTAAGGCTCCGGCTCGCTTTTTGCTTCGGGAAACCCTCTGGACGTGTGCAGCAGGTCACCCTGCACCTTTGGATACATCGTTTCCCCTACGAGTTCCCCAAAGGCCCACTGATTCACACACACGGCCCTACCCAGACAACACTCCCAATATGTGTGACAGATGTAATGTGTTGTAAAGTCTAAACGCCAGTCGCTCACACCAAAGACAAAAGGCGGAAACAACCCACAGGTCCATCGACGGATACACGGAGAAATAAAATGTGGTCCATCCAAACGATGGAATGTCACTCGCCATAAAAGGCCACGGGGCACTGGCACACGCGCCCATGCACATGAACATCAAAACATGCTGAGGGAAAGAAGTCAGACAAGCAGGCCACATGCTGTATGAGTCCACTTACACGAAGTGTCCAGAATACATACATCCAGAGACAGAAAGGGGATTAGCCGGCCGGGCGCAGCGCTCACACCTGTAATCCCAGCACTTTGGGAGGCTGAGGCGGGTGGATCACCTGAGGTCAGGAGTTCGAAACCAGCCCGGCCAACATGGTGAAACCCCGTCTCCACTAAAAACACAAAAATTAGCTGGGCATGGTGGTGGGCACCTGTAATCCCAGCTACTCGGGAGGCTGAGGCAGGAGAACCACTTGAACCCAGGAGAAGGAGGTTGCAGTGAGCTGAGATGGTGCCACTGCACTCCAGCCTGGATGACAGAGCAAGACTCCATCTCAATAAAAAAAAAAAGCAAGCAGATTAGCCATCGCCAGGCAGGAAGGGGAAGCAGGACTGAAGGCTTAATGGTATGGGGTTTTCAGGGATGATGAAAGCGTTTTGGACCTAGACATTGGTGGTGGTTGCACAATGCTGTGAATGTACTTAATGTTACGGAACTGCACACTTTAAAATGGTTAGAATGGTGAATGTTGTGTTATGTGTATTTCACCATAATAAAAAATCTAAACCCAATTTCAGAGGGGAGTAACGGGAACCACCTACATGCAGGGGCCGGTAGTACTGGGCCACCACGCCATAGGTCCTATTCCCGCAGACATCGGTCAGCACCAGGAAGTGGACGCAATCCTCCTTAGGTTCAGTGGCCACGCACACACCCCCTGCAGGCAGAAAGAGACAGAGAAGAATCCTGTTCTTGCCAAGTGGCCTGGGTTACCCACGAGCTGATTTCTTCACAGTGTTTAGGACACACCTCCACAGTTAGCAGTGGTGGTGCCTTCATGTCCAAGGCGGGTTCATTCTTCCGATCACGCCTCCGGCCGTCTATCCTCCCTGAGTCCCTCCCCACACAGCAATTTCTTTACAAGCTCTCAAGCACCTGCCAGCCAGTGGCAGTGCTTGCTGGGCACAGCCGCCCACCTGGCGCCTGTCCCAGGTTTATAATCCCTGTGACCAGGAAATAGCACCAAGTTCTGAGGTGGGTGCTTATGCTAGGTGCTTCGTCTGAGTTTCCTACCTCGGCCATTTTAACATTCCTGAAGACCACAGGAAAAATAACGCCCCAAAATGCAAGCTCACCTGTTAACTGGAACTGGCGAGCCTGGGGACTAAGTGCAGGCCTGTGCTTCTTGCCCCAGTGAAACGGAAAACGGGAGGTGGAAGGGAGAGGCTCAGGCACACTGGGGGTGGAACCGCTGCAGATGAACTGGATGTATTTTTAATCCATCTGCCAACCACTGCAAGACTTCATTTTAAGTCAAAGGGGAAAAGCCTTGAATGCACCAGGAACAAATGGTTTTACCTGGAAGTTCATGCAGACTCCCTTCCAGGACTCAATTCTCCAAAACACCGGGACCACACGCAATGATTTACATTTCCTTCAGCTTTAAAATCCCCAAGGTAGGTCGAGCACGGTGGCTCACGCCTGTAATCCCAGCACTTTGGGAGGCTAAGGCAGGTGGATCACTTGAGGCCAAGAGTTCAAGACCAGCCTGGCCAACATGGTGAAACCCCATTTCTACTAAAGACACAAAAGTTAGCCAGGCGTGGTGGTTGGCACCTGTAATCCCAGCTACTTGAGAGGCTGACGCAGAAGAATCACTTGAACCCAGGAGGCAGAGGATGAAGTGAAAGGAGATTGTGCCACTGAACTCCAGCCTGAGTGACAGAGTGACGCTCCGTCTCAAAAAAGTAAATAAATAAATAAATAAATATAAAAAATTAAAAAAATCCCCAAGATTAAGAAAACTAAATCCCACAAGAGGAGGCAGTGAGGGGTCCCTGGCTCTGCCGCTCACGTCACTTCCCTCTGCCTGTGGGTTTCTGGGAATAGACCACTCTGGGTGGCCGGCAGCAGGAGGCGCCCAGTGGTGCCCACCTCCTAGACATACCTGGGAAGCACAGCTGCGGCAGGGTGAGGAGGTCCACGCCGCCCGGGACGGCGACATCCTCAGGCTCTGGCGCTCTGGGGGGCCCCGGGAGGCCCTTCCACTGCTCTGGTCTGGGCTTCTCTCTCTTCTTTCTCAAGGAGCGCATCCGGGTTTTACCGAGAGTGCCGCAGTTGGCACCGGCCATTTGACTGTCCTCTTTACTGATAAAAGGAGGCACGAAAATGGACAGGACCTCTGGATCAAGAAGAGCAGAAAGATGTTTGACTCCCTTTTTATAAGCAACCTAAAAAAGGGAAAAATAAGAGTTACTGCCACAGCCTCAGCTCTTGTTCGAGGGTATCCTTTCTGTCTGAGCTTCACTGCTTGTTTTTCTCCTCCCCTCGGTGCCCATAAACACTGGCGCCTCAGGCTCCTAACAGTAAAGGGCTCCTGGGAAGCTTCTTTTAGGAACCTGCCAGGCCCTATGTTCAGGGAAGCCACGTAGACTCGCAGAGCCTGGCTCTTCAGCTGTGGACATGGACAGCAGGACCTCACCTCCTTCCTATAAAGCACTGCCGTCCAGGCTGCGGACTGGGATCCACAGACCTGAGTTCAAGTCCTGGCTGTGCCTCCACCTCCTGACAGCAAGCTTCTTTGTCCCTCCAAGCTTCCCTTTAAGCGGCGAGTACAGGGAATAACAGAGACAATGTGGGTCCGGTACTCAGCCCAGCGGGGCTGCCAGGAGCCTATGGATATACTGTTCAGCCCTCCCTGGGTGGGGGCAGGCTCTGTATATTGTCAAACCCCACACATACACATTTACCAGGGCCACGCCCTCCACACCCCCACGTGGGCCAGTGCTGCCTCCTTTCTACCACACTGATCTGGGAGGACGCATGGAGTGAGAAACAGCACTGGTGGGTACAGATGAGACATGTGCCCTTCCTCGGCTGACCAAACAGTCCCTCAAATCAATAAAAGGGGGGCATTTGGCCTGAATTCTTCTCAACTTTAACTTGGCATAATTTTTATTTTTGCCTTTTTTCTTCCCATTCTTTCCTAAAATAATACAAAGCACATGGGCCATCCCTTCAATCTCTCTTCCATGTTACTACTATGCCCAATACAGCTCCTAGTACAGAGCTAGGACAAAACAAATACTGCTGCCCGGCTGATTTCAGATCTTTCCAAGGTGGACACCCTGCAGTCTGCGAGCAAGAAGGAAGTGGTTCTGGTACTAAACTAGCCCGAAACAGCAAAGCTTGAAGCAAGGGGCCCTGGGTACCCAAGGCATGGAGAGACAGGAGGTGGCCAAAGGCAGGTAGTCAAGGGTCTTTAAGGGACCCTAGAAAGGACAGCATTGCCGGGTGCAGTGGCTCACGCCTGTGATCCCAGCACTTTGGGAGGCCAAAGCGGGAGGACTGCTTGAGCCCAGGAGTTCAAGGCCAGCCTGGGCAACAAAATGAGACCTCGTCTCTACAAAAAATAAAAAAATTAGCCAGGCATAGTGGCACATGCCTGTGGTCCCAGCTACACAGGAGGCTAAGGCAGGAAGATCGCCTGAGCCCAGGAGGTTGAGGCTGCAGTGAGCTGTGATCACACCACTGCGCTCCGGCCTGGGTGAAAGAGCAAGACCTGGTCTCAAAAAAAAAAAAAAAAAGAAAGAAAGAAAGAAAGAGCTGGGCGCGGTGGCTCATGCCTGTAATCCCAGCACTTTGGGAAGCCGAGGCGGGCAGATCACGAGGTCAGATCGAGACCATCCTGGCTAACACAGTGAAACCCCGTCTCTACTAAAAATACAAAAAAATTAGCCGGGCTTGGTGGCGCATGCCTGCAGTCCCAGCTACTCGGCCGGGCGGGGGGCTGAGGCAGGAGAATGGCATGAACCCAGGAGGCGGAGCTTGCAGTGAGCCGAGATCTCACCACTGCAGTCCAGCCTGCGCGACAGAGCAAGACTCCGTAAGGAAGAAAGGAGATAGCACTGCCATCCAGAGAAATGGGACCTTGGCTGACAGAAAACGCACAGCCAACACTCAACATTCCAATAAGACACAGCAGTGACAAAAGGGGAGTCTTACGCTGGAAGAAATTTCAACAACGGCAGCAGTTTCCATCAGTAAGCACACTCTGATCTCTATATGACGATTTGCACGCTACATCACTCAAATTCGGTCAACAATTGCTTTACATTTGGAGAAAAAAATGTATCAGTAGGAACCAGGACAAAACATGGGAAATCCGACTGGGAGCGGTGGCTTACGCTTGTAATCTCAGCACTTTGGGAGGCAGATCACGAGGTCAGGAGATCGACACCACAGTGAAACCCTGTCTCTACTAAAAATACAAAAAATTAGCCGGGCATGGTGGCGGGCGCCTGTAGTCCCAGCTACTCGGAGAGGCTGAGGCAGGAGAATGGCGTGAACCCGGGAGGCGGAGCTTGCAGTGAGCCGAGATCACACCACTGCACTCCAGCCTGGGCAACAGAGCGAGACTGTCTCAAAAAAAAAATAAAATAAAAATAAAAAATAAAAAATATGGGAAATCCATATTATTTTATAACTTAAAAGCTCTAGTGTAGCATGCACGAAAAGTCCATTTCCTCAATTACATGTCACTTTCTCTAAAACTTTCCCATCAGAATGGACAGTTCTGACCCAACTAATGGTGCACATTCAAGGCAGCATATGAGATGAGTGAGCAGCCCTCCTCCTGGATCCTGGAACTGTCTTGATCTCGCCTCCCTTCTGGTTTCCCTTGGTCTGATGGCTCCTCTCTGGCCCCTACAGACCCTTCTCAGTCCTGCTCACAGGTTGCGACTCCCAGGCCTGGGTCCTTCGCACCATCCTCCTGAAGGACCTCAGCACTCACAGCCCAAAGTCCTATTCCCAGCCCACACCTCTTTCCAGTCCCAGGCTTCCCCTGACTGCCTCCTGCCACCCCCACTGCACCTCTGGGGTCCCTTAAACTTACGGTCTCAAAAATTAAGCTTCTGCTAGTTTCCAAAAAGCCTGATCTCCCACCTGTGTTCTCCTCTGCAACAAACACAGTGCAGTTCGGGTCTTCAGAGCTGGTACTCCAGCCCCTCGGGCCCCAGCCCCACCATGCCCCACCTGCAGACCTACACCTCAGCCACTGGTCCTGGAGAGCCTCTCCATCAGCTCGATGCTGCCCCGCTGCACCATGTTTCCACACCAAGCACCTGCAAGACCCGTGGCTCCAGGCAGGTAGCAAGTAACCAGAAGCAAAGCCTTGGAGGTTTCTGTCAGGAGAAGGAGGAAGATGCTGCCTCCCACCCAGCCCAGGGCTCCCCACTAGCATCTGTGTCCACTCTCCCAACGAGGGACGTCCCTGTCTGACCGCAAACCAGATACTTTGTGGCCCCAACCCAGCCTTGAAGCATCACAGCCCCATCCCCACATTGAAGAAAGCAAAGAGTGTTTGTTTCGCCACATCATGATACTGTATCTTCCCACGTGTCATACGTGGGCATGAGTCAGGACAGTGCACCCCTGAGCAGCAGGCCAGCTCGCTCCCTAAGCCAGGATGCCCCCAAAGCCAAGCAAAACTAAACTCCCTGGGGTTCTCAGAACACACAGCACCTCTGCAATGACCCTGCTCTTCCATGGGCTCAGGCCCCAGCCCCTCGCTGCTCCACCTGCACGGGGGCAGACCCTCCACCCCCCACGCTCACTGCAGAAGGTCTCTGCCACCCCGCAGCCAGGACCACAGGCTCCTCCAGGCCTCCACCTCCCAGCTCATCACCCCCTGGAGCATCTCGGCCCTGCCCAGTGGTATTTTACCACCTTCCATTTGAGGGGATGCGGTGGAGCAGAGATTGTGTTGTATTCCTCTCTGTCCCCACATTTAGCAGAGAAGATGACTGAGGCGATATCGTTCCTCATTCACACTCCTGGCACCTGGTGATCTCTTAGAGGCATGCTCAGCCTGGACTGAACACTGGTGATCACACTAGACTCAACACCCCACCTGTCATTCCTCTAGTTATCTCTAGTCACTTATAATGATGTGCCCCAGATCCGATCAACTTGGCATTCAGTAGTTCACCATACACCTGTTTTTTCTCAGAATGAAATCTCTGTTGTCTTTTCTCAATGGACAAGCAATACAATCTCATTTTTAAAAATAACAATATAGAGGCCAGGCACAGTGGCTCACGCCTGTAATCCCAGCACTTTGGGAGGCTGAGGCAGGTAGATCACCTGAGGTCAGGAGTTCAAGACTAGCCTGATCAACATGGAGAAACCCCCTCTCTACTAAAAATACAAAATTAGCCAGGCATAGTCGTACATGCCTGTAATCCCAGCTACTCGGGAGGCTCAGACAGGAGAATCGCTTGAACCTGGGAGGCAGAGGTTGCAGTGAGCCGAGATGGCACCATTGTACTCCAGCCTGGGCAACAAGCGTGAAACTCCATCCCCCACAAAAAAAAATAATAAATATAGAAATAATAAAGGAGCTAATAGAAAGGGACGGCCCTCCCATAATTCCATGACACACTTTGCACAGGGTGGATACATCCTTCCCATTTTATGCCTTTTTGTGCATTTTATACATTTTAATGCATGTATAAACGTATAATTTTGTTTCATAAATGTAGTCATCCTACATAACAGGTTCCATTAGCTGTTTTAACTACTTCATGTGGCTGACCTCCCTGTTTACAACCGTACAGTATCACAATATCACAGCATGTGTCAACTCAGTCATGTATTGACCCAGCCTCCTCCTGAGAGATGTGTGGGTGGTTCTCAAGTCTTCACCACACTGAACAGAGCGGTGACACACACTTGCACGCACCCAGTTCTTTCCCTAGAATAAATTCCTAAAAATGGAAGTCTTGGCACAAGAGTGTTCCAAGGTTACTTGGTGATACAGGTTGTGGCTGCCCTGAACAACCAGACCCCGCCACCACCGAGACGCTAGTCACCTCTGCCAGTCTGCTGCAGGAGGTGAGGTCATTTCCCATTCTTCTGTCCCAGGTGCTGACTTATTAAACCCCTACCCAATAACCATCATTTTGGTTTTTAAAACTGCTAATTCAAAAGTAAAAACCAGAACACTCTAATTTACTTGAGTCACAGGTTAATTTCTAAGTTAGAGTACACAGTGGAATTCATCTTCACTATAGGATTGGCCATTATTAAGGGAATAAAACAGAAATTAATCAATTTTTTTATTGCTCTCCAACTGTTTAGTTAGAATTAAATGAAATTTTAAACCCAGTTTCTTAGCTCACTGGCCACACTACAAGCTCAGTGACCACATGTGGCCAGTGGCTATTGTACTGCACGGTGCAAAGAGAGGACACGAACTGCCATCACCCAGGAAGGCCAGCTGGCCAGTGCTGTTCTGAAACTGAAAGTCAGGACGATGTCCACCAAAAGCCATAAAAATGGAGCTTCACACGCAAGAATTATGCGGGTGACCTGTACTACGCAAGGTACTCAGAACACTTTCTACTCCTGTGTGATGGATTTATAATGGATCCTGTCACACCTATGTCTAGTCTCCATAGCAACCAATAATGGGGTTGGGGAGGGCTCTATAGTAAAGGGGTGGAGGGGAATGTAACTAACCACAGTAACTAACATTAGCCTGCATTCTCAAAGTCTCGGTCACCATTCCTAAAAAAACAAACACTACTCCCCCTTCTAGGAAATGAAACAAAAGGGCCCTCCACTATCCAACATGAAGCTGGATATTCCTCATACCTCCGGACCTCTGTTTTCCTGTGTCATCAAGAAGGAATGCCTGGGCCACAGAGAAATGGGGATTTGTAAAAGTCAAGGTAAAAATTATTTAAAAGCGGCCAGGTGCGGTGGCTCACACCTATAATCCCAACACTTTGGGAGGCCGAGGCGGGCAGATCGTGAGGTCAGGAGTTTGAGACCAGCCTGACCAACGTGGTGAAACCCTGTCTCTACTAAAAATACAAAAATTAGCTGGGCATGGTGGCACACGCCTGTAATCCCAGCTACTTAGGAGGCTGAGGCAGGAGAATTGCTTGAACTCAGGAGGCGGAGATTGCAGTGAGCCGAGATTGCACCATGGCACTCCATCCTGGGCAACAGAGCAAAACTCTGTCTCAAAAAAAAAAAAATATATTTAAAAGCCTTGGACATTCAAAATAGAACCGCCGAAAAAACATCTAAATAAATAAAATCATATGTTTGGTTAACTATAACATTAATATTGACCTTAAAAGTAGGATGGCTCCAAGAAATGGAATCCATCCCCTAACGCTCCTTATTTTCTTAGTCCTTCACTACTTTTCTCTCCACCCTTTGCCAAACCCCTAACAGAATCAAAAGACAGAGTAAAGAGGACAAAGTTAAGCATGCACAGTAGCAGACTGTCCATACTCTCACTTGACCTGGGAACATGAAAATGTTGCAGCGTGTTTAGTTCAGGAATGCACCACTGGCCAGGCGCAGTGGCTCACGCCTGTAATCCCAGCACTTTGAAAGGCTGAGGCGGGAGGATCACTTGAGCTCAGGAATTGGAGATGAGTCTGGGCAACACAGTGAGACCTCCTCTCTATTATTAACATAATAATAATAATAAAGAAATTGAAAAAAAGAAAGCACCACTGCAAATATTCCAGTTGATTCGCCCTGCCCTCAAAAGACATGTGTCACACCAAGCAACTAACACCCATGTTGTAACTGCCCCAGAGGAAAGACGTTCAACGGCTGAGGAGACCACAGCGGCAACTAGGTCACTTCCTATTCGAAGAAAAAGGAGGAGATGCCATCTGGCAAATTCGAGGTAGGGAGACAAATCAATCGATGACGTTGCGAGGAGACAGAGGTCAAACGGGATCTACTGACATGACAGGGCGTTGAAGGGAAGGAAAAGTTGAGGGAAACGAGGAAACTATTTCCATAGGAGAATGCTTTTTCACTGAAGTCGAAACTGGCTTGGTACTGACGCCCAGCAGGGGAAACTCCCCGGACACTCACAGACATTCATCTGGTTACTTGCAGGAACATCTGCCTTTCCTGGTGACACCCTCTGCCCTGCAGTCTTCATTTTCCCTGGATAGCCCAGCGTCATTTAAATACTCAGAAGCCTCTCTGCCTTTCTATGCTGTTGTCTGCAAAGAGATGAACGGACCTGTGCAGACGGCTGGCCAGTGACGCCGGGATCTCTAGGTAACATGACCCAGTCACGGTGTCACAGACAGGCGGACCAGGAGGAAACCAGAGACACAGATGGATTCCAGGGAAAGCCAGCGTTACAGAATTAAGAAAAGCTGGGGAAGAAAAAGGAAAACGAGAATTTCCAAAACTGCCGCTTTCCCAGCAGAAGGGAGATGAAGTTGTCACTTTGGCTGCGAGGGTGCAGAGATGGAGGAAGGGTTGGGGGTGGGGGTGGTACCGCAAGGGAGAAAAATAGCTATAGGCTTCATCGCAAAGGGGTTCATGCAGAATACGCGAGGCCGGCGGCTAACTCTAAGATTGCTCTCTCGTTATTCTGTGCCTGGTGCAAAACCCACTACTCAGGGGACAACACATCCCAGCATAAAGAATGAAATCATTTCAGCAGCGAGGGCTGGGCCCGCTAGACCGTGAGGCTCCGGCGGCTTCCGCCCGTTGTCTGGTGCACCCCACCTTCAGAAGCACCTGCCCAAGATGGGAGCGACTGAAGAGAGAGGCCCCAGAGACTCTCCGAGGGGCGGCACCCCCAGATTCCCGGCCGGCGGACCAAGTTCGCAGCTCTCAAAAGACATGTCTCACACCAAGGGCCCCGGGCGGGGAGAGGAGAGAAGAGGGGAGGGGAGCAGGGCGCTGCTCCAGGGCACCTGCCTGAGCTCGGGCGCGATCCCCGGCCACAGGCGCGCGGGGTCACCGCCGGGGGACCGGGACTCAGCCCTCGGAAAGTCCGCGCCAACCCACAGGGCACCCGGGCGCCCGCTCTCCGACTGCTGTCCCGGCTGCCGACTCGTGGCCCACGTCCGCCTCAGTTTCCCCGCCCCTCACCTGCTCGAGACTTCGGAGACTGTCCCGGGGGGCGCCCAGCAGCGCGCAGAGCTCCAGCAGCCCCGAGGGCAGCGACAAGTGCGGCGACGCGGCCTCCGCCATGGCTGCCCGCCGCCCGCCGCCAGTACCGCACTCGGGCGCCTCAGCCGCGCAGTCGCCCGCAGACCCCTGGGGACCAGCCGCGCCGCCTGGGGGCCGGGGGCGCTGCGAGCGCCGTCTGCGGGGCGGGGCTGGAGGCGGGGCCTGGAGGGGCGGGGCCCGAGCCGAGGCGGGGCCTGGAGAGCCCCAGAGGATACCGCGGGGAGACAGAGTTTGGGGGCGGGGCTTGACTGGGCGGGGAGGTTCTGGGCGGGGCCTGGAGTGGCGTGCCCGGCCCTAGGGACCGGGACTTGGGGGCGGGGCCGGTCCTAGGGCGGGTGCTGCTGGAGACCCGCGCGCGGTCGTCATTTCCTAACCCGCCTGCGGGCCCTGGCGCGTGCGCGGCGTCGGAGCAAGCGGCCCCTTCCTTCGGCCCCGCCCAGCCCCGCCGGCCGCCCGCTCCCTGGGGAACCGAGGGAGGAATGGGCGGGGTCCTCAGGTGCCCGGCGACGTCATCCAGCCCCCAAGGCTCCAGGACGCAAAGGGTCCCCTGATCTGGCAGTCCCTGGACCTACCCTGGAGAGCGTGGGGGGACAAAGGCCGGACGCGCCGCCCGCTGCCGCCTCCAGGAAGCCCTCCCTTGCCAGGACAGTGGAGTTGGCCGGGTGTGGACAGCAGGAAGGGCCGGCGGGAAGGGGGGGTGGAAAGAGCCACTCCTGGTTAATAACTCTGCGGGGTTAACCTAGGGCCGGCCATACTCAAGTACGGACTTGAGTAAAATTCAGCAGGAAAAGGAGCAGGGTGGGCGCCGCTAGAGGGAGGCTTCAGGACTGAGGGTCAGAGGCCCAAGGCCTGGCAGGGCCCTTCCCTGGTCAGCTCCAGGCTTGGCCTGATGCCCGGTGGGCCACGGGCCTCTTCCAGCCTCAGGCTGACCCCAGAGAAAGAGGACAGCCCACAAGCCCGGGAGGCCGGCTTGCTGCCTGGTCATTGCTGCAGAGCCTGGAGGGGGCCTGCGCTCAGTCCCCGCTGACCGTCCCCTCCCTTGACCCTGCCATAGCCATCTGTGTAACCCAGGGGAAATTATTCCAAAGGGACTTCCACTTCTGATAATCTATGATTCTATTTTCTAAAAAACAAAACTCTAAAATGCTTAATGTCAAACATCTGTCATCAGCTGAACAGGAAAAGGAACAGTAAGTACAAAGCAAGGCAACATCAGAAAAGGGAGCCCTGAGGAATTTCTCCCTCCTTCCCTGAGCCGGGTGAGGCCGTGACTGCAGCCTGACTCACAGGTTTTATTTCACTTATTAACCTAAAGATGGTGAGGATCTGCTGGTTCTCCCCCAGGCCTGGAGGCTGCCTACCATCGGTGGCTCTCATCGGTGAGCTGAGGCCACAGTTGTTATAGTCTCTGACTTCAAAAGAAAGACCGATTTCATGAACAATTGCCTGTCTCTCTCGACGGTGGCCTCGGTTTTTTGTTGTTGTTTTTCTGTTTGTTTTTGAGACAGAGTTTTGCTCTTGTAGCCCAGGCTGGAGTGCAGTGGCATGATCTCAGCTCACTGCAACCTCTGCCTCCCAGGTTCAAGCGATTCTCCTGCCTCAGCCTCCAGAGTAGCTGGGATTACAGGCGCCCACCACCACACCTGGCTACTTTTTGTATTTTTAGTAGAGATGGGGTTTCACCATGTTGGCCAAGCTGGTCTCAAACTCCTGACCTTAGGTGATCCACCCGCCTTGGCCTCCCAAAGTGCTGGGATTACAGGCATGAGCCACCACACCCAGCCTTGGTGGCCTCATTTTTAGCAGCCTCTGCAAAGCACACAGCCTGAATCCGTCACCTAGAGTCCCCAGCATGCAGGAGAGGCGCTCTCAACCCGGGCTGGAGCCATGAGCCACTCCCTGAGGGCACACAGGGCCTGAGTCTGGCTCCTGTGTGTTGCTGTGTGACAGGTGAGCTCAACAGCCCTAAGCCGTGACTTCCTGAGGGGCAGTGGTCAAGATCCAAGGGAGGTAAACACATGGCAGCTCTTGCCACCAGGACCCAGTAAGGCTCACGCGAGAGCAGGTCTCTGCTGTCCCTTTATCACCAAGAGGCCAAATGCTTTAAGGAAGAGAGCTCCAGCAGTGCACAGAGCTTGCAATCCACTCCTTTATGCCCCCTTTTCCTCCTCCTTAAAACCAGATAATTGGGCCAGATGACCTCTGAGGGGCTCCCAGTTCTGCACTTTTTAATACGCTCCCGTCTCTCATGCCACAGGTCCTTCCAAAGTGCCTACGGAAAGCTTTGTCCCATCCTTGAAAAATTGCTAATGGGTTTGGAGATACGAGGTGGAGATGACTAGCAATCAAACTCAAAGGTGGAAGTCACATCGAGGCAGATGAGCAGATGAGGGGACCTAGAGAAGAAGAGAGGTGCAAGGAGAGCCCAGCCAGCAGGAACATCTGCCCCAGTAGGCAGCACTGCCCCACATCAGAGTCGAGGAAAGCAAAGCTCGGATTGGATAAAAGAAACTTGCAAACACGGTCAGTGCTTACTGCATGTGGGCTCAGAGCACGTTACCCTCCTTCCCTGCATGTTCCTGTGAAACGGGTTTACTGCTCTAACTCTCAGGGACACTGTGAAGACCAAACGAGAAAATAGAAACAAACATAATTTATAAACCATAAAGTACTGACACCAAAAGAGGGGCGAGCACAGCATTGTGAATGTGCTGGTACTAAATGGTTTGTTTTAAGATGATTTTATGGTGTGTGAATTTCACTTGAATAAATTTTTTTAATGGAGTTCATGGGGACGCTGCAGGATGTCAATTAACTTTGGACATTTTAGCAGCGCTTTAGGTGTTAAAATTATTTTTTAAAAAATACAGGATGAAGGGAAAAGCTTCATGACATTGGATTTGGCAGTGATTCCTTGGATATGACCCCAAAAGCACAGATAACGAAAGAAAAAATAGTTAAATTGTCTTCATCAAAATTAAAACTTTTGTACATCAAAGAACTCTTTCAAAAGAGTGAAAAAGTCACAGAATAAGAGAAAATCATATACCTGATAAAGAATTAATATTCAGAGCCAGATGCAGTGGCTCATGCCTGTAATCCCAGCACTTTGGGAGGCCAAGGCAGGCAGATCACTTGAGATCAGGAGTTCGAGACAAGCCTGGCTAAAATGGTGAAACCCCAGCTCTACTAAAAATACAAAAATTAGCCAGGCGTGGTGGCGTGCACCTGGAATCCCAGCTATTCGGGAGGCTGAGGCAGGAGAATCGCTTGAACTCAGAAGGCAGAGGTTGCAGTGAGCCAAGATCACACCACTGCACTCCAGCCTGGGCGACAAAGTGAGACTCCATCTCAAAAAAACAAAACAAAACAAAACAAAACAAAGAGTTACTATTCAGAATATATTAAGAATTCCTACAACTCAACAACAAAAAAAAATCCAACCCAATTAAAAAATGGGCAACAGACCCAAATAGACATTTCTTAGAAGACACACAAATGGCCAATAAGCTCATGAAAACATGTTTAACATCACTAATCATTAGGGAAATGCAAATCAAAGCTAAAATGAGATACCACGTCACACTCATTAGGTGTTATTTTTTAAAAATAACACAACAACAAAAAATAAGAAATGTGGGCGAGGATGTGAAGAAATTGAAACCCTTGTGGACTGTTGTTGGGGATGTAAAATGGCGCAGCTGCTGGGGAAAACAGTATGGGAGTTCCTCACAAAACTAAACAGAATTGCCAAACGACCCAGCGATCCTGCCTCTGACATATACTGGAAAGAACTGAAATAAGGCGCTGGAACAGACACTTGTAACCCATGTTCACAGCTGAGCCAAAAGGTGGGAGTAACCCAAATGTCCATCAGTGGATGAATACTGGCAATAAAAGCTGTGTCTGGAGGCCACTCCGTTTCACACAGCTCTCCACACGGGTGAGGGCACAGCCTTCTCGTCTCTTTCCTATGCTGCATCTTCAGAGCTAGCTATGATATGATATGATGTGATATGTACATATCGAATATACATGTTTTACATGCAAATGCAACCAGTTTATTGAGGGCTTGATGGGGGATATGGGAGTTGCGGGGGAGAATGGTCTTGTATTTCCAATTTAAAAATAACAACAACAAAACGGGACAGAAGTGCAAGACTTTTAGTGTTCTCTAGAGCAATGTCACTCTGTCCCTAGACGAATGGTAGGAGCGGGACATGTTCATATGTCCTCGAGGTGTGACCGCACATGGGCACACAGTAGCCCAAAGCATATCCCAGCCGGGAGCAGTTCCTTTTATGGGGCCGCCTGGGCAGGATCCAAGGTGCTGGGTTTGAAACAAAAAGGAGTGACTCTGTCCCACACCAAGTAACACCAAACCTCACTGACCTCAGTTTTCTTATCTGTAAAAAGAGCAATGCGGGGGCTGGCTCAGTGGCTCATGCCTGTAATCCCAGCACTTTGAGAGGCCGAGACAGGTGGATCACCTGAGGTCAAGAGTTCGAGACCAGCCTGGCCAACATGGTGAAACCCCGTCTCTACAAAAGTACAAAATTTAGCCGGGCATGGTGGCACATGCCTGTAATCCCAGCTACTCAGGAGGCTGAGGCAGGAGAATTGCTTGAACCCAGGGGGCGGAAGTTGCAGTGAGCCAAGATCGCACCACTGCACTCCAGCCTGGGTGACACAGTGAAACTCCATCTCAAAAAAAAAAAAATTTTTTTTTAGATTTAAAAAAGCAATGCCTACCTTGCAAGGCTGCTGGGAAAATCAAATATGCCAATAGATGTGAACAAGCCCCGTGTAGAGAATGGAAAGCTGCCTGCCTATTATATTAGAGCTGTTTGGACAGACTAGGGAGCTCTCCTACCTGCATTAAAGGTCAAACTCTGGGACATCTACGAGACCCACCACAGTCTGGCCTCAAATAAGTGCTCCCGCCGCACCCCTCCCAAACAACTATGAATCACTCACTGTCCCCCTAAACGTGCCCTTCCCTGCGGGCTGCCCAGGACACACTTTTCCTACTCAGTCTGAAACCCACCTACTTGTCCTTCCAGGTCTTGTTCAAACAGCACCTTCAGGGAAGCCCTCCCTTCCCTCACCCCCAGCTCCCCCAGTGAAAACTGGGGGTCCCCTCTAAACCCCAGAACCCTCCACCCTGCATTCCAGGCGCTTCATTCTCAATGGCCTGGTGCAAATCCTGACCCAATAGTGGTAAGTATTTGACCCTGCACAATGCGTGGAGTGTCACAGAGACCATGGTCGCTGATAAAGGTGCAATCGGCGTTGCCCTCTGCTGTCATCATTCACAAGAATTCTCCTCAAGGGCCAGTCTCCCAGCCTGATGGTGAGTGAGGAGCAGGTGAGGTTGACACACATACCCCAGAGTGCACAGCCCTGAACGTCCACACATGGCAAACACACAATCCCGTGTGTGGTATTTGGATGCACTCTACCTTGTTACAACTGGAGTTCAAATATTTGGATTATGTATTCCTCGCAAAAACTTTGAAGTGGAGTTAGCTGGATCTCCATGCTATGATACATGCTAAGCTTCAGCCTTTCTGGGAAAGCATAATCACGTCTCCGTAAGCAAAGAAAAACATGAGCCTGAATGAGCAGCTTTCTCCAGGAGCGACATGATGGGGACACCATACTGCCATAGTGCAAGTCACATGCAAACACTTCCAAATCCAACCCCTGCTCTCACTAGCCCTGTGACCTCGGAAGTCCCTTAACCTCCTGAGCCGTGGTTTCCCCATTTCTTTTGAGATGTTTATTGAGCACCTGCTATATGCTTGGTCCTATGATAATGGCTAAGAACACAGAAGAATAAAATAAAACTACAGACCTTCCTGCCACAAAAAGCTCACAGTGCAGAAAATGAGTGTTCAGTGGAGAGAGGGAAGCAGAGATTGCCCTGGAAATGGAGAAGCAGGACCCCTGACCCAGCAGGGGATTCAGGTAAGAGGAGAACACAGAAAATCAACCATGAAAGGGGAAGAGGCATTTTCTGGGGGTACAAAGGCACAGAGGGCAAGACAGGCTCAGCAGCGGGAACAGCACTGCCAGAGGCGAGGCTGCAGGAATAGCACTGTGTGTGCAGAGGCCACCACAGCAACGCTTGGATACTGCCGAGAAGTGTCTGTTTCATGCTCGTTGCTCTGCCCAGTCCCTGAAGCAGTGCCCAGCGCATGCAGGTGCTCTGTACACACCGAGGGGAGCAGTGGAGAGGGCCAGTGGGCTGGCGTCTGTCCTGGGGTAGTAGGAGGCTAGGAGGACTTTGACAAGGGAGAAAAGGGTCCAGACTGGTATTTGAGCCAGGGGACCCCGGCTGCAGGGAGAGGCAGGAAAGTGCACGTGAATACTGCAAACTCCAGGCAAAGGCAGAGGATCCAAACAGGCCATGAGGGGAGCAGCAGGAAGAGGGGCAGGAGGCAAGTCAGGAGCACTGGGATGGGGCGGCGGTGGGGAGGGGGCCGGGGCCATCCACGTCTCAATTCCCTAACTCCACAGATGAAATTCAGCTCCCATTCCACCACTGCAGCTTTGACCCCACCGTAATCCAGTGGTTTGTGGGCCTGTCCTCCCGTGGATCTGTCCATTCCCTGAGGGCAGGGCCTATAGCTGAGATGCTCCTGCTGTGTCCCCAGAGCTGCACAGAGCAGGTCCCCACTTATGTGAGGAGAGCCCAGGAGCACCAGGCTGGCAGGGGCAGGGGCAGGCGGGGTGTGGAGGAGCCCCGGGGGGGTTGGTTTGGGACAGGTTGACCTTGCAGGACTGTGGACATCTAAATGGGCCATCCTGAAAGTGGTGTGTGCCTCTGTGCTTGTGCACGTGTGTCGTGTGTAGTGTGTAGTGTGTCGTGTGTGTGTTTAGCAACTGTGTGCTATCACGTTTAGGCCTGAGCCTTTCTCCCCTCTCTTGTGCTGGGAAGGGAGGGAGAATTGTAGAGAAAGCCAGAACACAGATACAATGGGGCTGTTGCCGCAGGCTCTGGGGAGTAGATACCAGAGAACAAACCCTTCACCATCCACAGTGAGAACGGTCACGTGATGGGGTCCCAGCAAACAGCACAGGTGCTGTGGACATCACCGTTAACCATGCCACAGGTGGGCCGCCTGGTCAAATGCCCCTGGCCTGCTCAGGCAGCCCCCTCCTGTCCCAATCAGCTATAAACCCATTTGTGAAAAGTTGGTTTTCCTTTAAAATATGAATAACTGAGAGGAAGTCATGTGTTGTCGAACACTAACTGTCTGGGCTCAGGTTAGATGGTGCAACCTCTACCCACCAAGTTCACGTGCAGACAGCGCAAGTTCTGAGCTCAGTGTCTCGTGGGGCTTTGGAGGGTGCAACGGCAGCTCTCAACACTGGCCACCAGTAAGACCCATGTGGAAGGTTTGGACAAACCCCTATGGCCAGGTCCTGCCTCAACTGCTCAGAACATCTAGGGGGCTGGGGTGTGGGCAGCTGAGGATCCAGCGGCGCCCCCAGGTGACTCGGATGTGCAGCCAGGCACCGCTGCTGGGCTAATGCTGTATTTTGTCATTTGTGAAACGAAAGTAATAGCACTTCCTCCTGAATGAGGAAAACATTTAGCTCCCCTCCATAAACACTTATTGCATGCCTACTCTGTGCTGATTCCCATAGCGCCTACCGCTGCTGGCACACAGTGGGGCTGAACACACGTGGTGAGTTCGGTCCTGCACTGACCTGGACCTGGCTCAGCACCTACAGCCTGGGTGACCCTGGGCCCCTTCCCTGAGCCCTGTGGACGAATGTTCCCATCACCTGGCCCTGTGGCTGACACACAAAGTGACGGGAGTACCATGAGTATTTGACGAATAAAAGCATAAAGGCTAAATTCCACTGTCCGCTGATCATGGTCCACCTGTGCAATGGGCCGCCAGTCGGCAGAGATTCGCTAACCCCACATGGAGTACAACACACACCGTGATCCCACTTAACAAAGTCCAGGAGCAGACAAAGCACACGTAAATAAGAAAACCACACAGAGGATCACCGCGGGGTGCACACCACGTGCAGGGTGCTGTACTCCCTGGGGGGGCCCTGGGGCCATCTTAGTGGCGCCCTGTTCCTTCAGCTGGTGGGACAGGGCTGTTCATGTTATAGTTATTAGATATAGTCTTTGCAAATATGAAATATTTTATCAGAAAAGAAAAACAAGTGAATTATCTCATCTCTTTCTGGAATTCTACTGTGTCTAAAACAAATTGCCCAACTTCAGATATCAAGCAACTATCCTAGAATCTAGAAAATGCCAGACTGAGGAAGAATGATAAAAAGATGGGAAAGGGGCGTGTTCTCTGGCTTCCTTTGTTGCCCCACAGCCTGGAGGCCTGATGGTGAGAAGGGCCTTCCACTCGGGGCTGTCCCCACTCTCAGCAACGCCTGCTCTGAATGGCCCCTAAGAAGCCATTGAAGAAAATTCAGCCGGGCACGGTGGCTCATGCCTGTAATCCCAGCACTTTGGGAGCCTGAGGCAGGCAGATCACCTGAGGTCAGGAGTTCAAGACCAACCTGGCCAACATGGTAAAACCCCCATCTCTACTAAAAATACAAAAGCTAGCCAGGTGTGGTGGTGGGCGCCTGTAATCCCAGCTACTCGGGAGGCTGAGGCAGGAGAATTGCTTGAACCCAGGAGGCGGAGATTGCAGTGAGCCAAGACTGTACTACTGCACTCCAGCCTGGGCGACAGAGCGAGACTCAGTCTAAAAAAAAAGGAAATTCTAGGAAGCCAGGGCTGAGGAAGGATGTCGGGAACGTGTTGCTCCTGCTGGCAGCTCAGAGCTGCATGGCCGAGCAGCCACACTCACTTGTGACATTCTCTTCCTCCTGGGTATGAAGAAAGACAGGAAGCTGTGGTCTGGCTGCCCCTGTGTGCTTGGTCAGGGAGGAAGGGGACAGATGTGAGAACTATCTTAACCCATCCGGACTGGGAATCAAGACAAACAAAAATAGACAACTGACAGTAAATAGGCAGAAAGGGGGAAGTCAGGTACAAACGCCACTCACCCAGGGCCCAGGAGGGAAGCTTGGACCTCCCAAGGTTATTCAAAGGCACTCTCTGCACCTGCTGCCTGCTGCTCTGAATGCCCTGCCCTCTCGTACTCCATGGCCAACTCCAACTTGTCTTACGTCGGCTCAGATACAGATACCAACTACCCCAGGAAGGCCTCTCTCCCCTGCCCCCTACTTCCTCCATCCAGGCTGTGGTGCCCCTACGCCTCTCAGGGCCTCCTCATGTTGCTTCTGACCATGACCATGTGGGGGACAAACCCGTGTCCTTCGTGCCTCTCCACAGCCCTGCCTTTGGGCCTCCAACTATGAACCAACCTGACCCCTCCCTTGTCCCCACTCTGGAGCCACCGCCCAGCCCCCGCACATGGGCACTTCTCATGAGGTCCCCATGGGAAGGGCACTGGCACTGGAGGAAGAAGGTCCCGGGAACGAGCCCCGCTCCACCCTTCCCCAGCTGTAGGGCAGGGAAGTGGCCGCACAAACCTCGAGGGGCTGTCATGCAGAACAGGGTGATGGGCAGGGCCTGCTGTGGGGTGGCACTCAGTGACTGCCAGGCACCCCCTGCTCCCCTGGCCTCAGGCTTTCCCCTGGTCAAAACCCGCTGGTTCTCTGCAAGGCAGGGCAAGGGCAGACATGGCGAGGGGCCACCCTAGTGGTGGTGACGATGGCTGCCAGTGGCTCATCTACCTGAAACTGGAGGCATTCCGCATGTGTGCACATTCTCTTACCAATCTTCTCAGCAACCCTATAAACCCTGTCACCCCATTTCACAGATCAGGCACCTGAGGCTCAGCCAGTTCAGCCACATGGCCAGGAGCACACAGCAGTGAGCACGGGAGCAGAGGTGTGCACCTGGGAAGATCCAACACCAAAGCCCAGGCGCCAGCCACTCCGAGGAGGAACTGCTTCTCCAGGTGGGGCCAGAGCCTTCCCAGGCTGGACTTCCACCCCCGTCCCCCGAATAGGCCCTGCCCACCCTGCCCTGTCACCCCTGCTGCAGGTGGTTCTAAAGTTTGCTTGGGGCTGGGCACGGTGGCTCATGCCTGTCATCCCAGCACTTTGGGAGTGGGTGGATCACAAGGTCAGGAGATGGAGACCATCCTGGCCAACATGGTGAAACCCTGTCTCTACTAAAATATAGAAAAATTAGCCAGGTATGGTGGCCTGTGCCTGTAGTCCCAGCTACTCATGAGACTGAGGCAGGGGAATCGTTTGAACCTGGGAGGCAGAGGTTGCAGTGAGCCAAGATCGCACCACCGCACTCCAGCCTGACGACACAGAGAGATTCCGCCTCAAAAAAAAAAAAAAAAAAAAAATATGGGTGACAAGACCTCCCATGCTGGAATCTTATAATTAGAAGAGATTTAAAACCATCTGGCCAAACTCAGTCAACTCTAACTCCCCTGGGCCCAGCGAAAGTTCAGAGCCGCTTCCTGCGATTCATTCTCACAGCTCTTTGTGAACACCCCAGTAGGGCCCCAGTGGTGTAGGTGCCGGGACTGACCGGTGGCTTCCCTGTCTCACTGCACCCAGGGCAGAGGCTTCTGCTGGGTCCTGAGTGCAGTGTCCAGCAAGGAGGCTTGGAGAGGACGCAGGGGCTCCCGGTCATCCAACGCCCAGATGGGGCTCAGGAATGCAGACAGCACCTGCAGGGCCAGGCTGGAAAAGCCACGTCCCCTCTGCCTTGAGCAGGAAAAATGCCTTCCCAAGAGCAGGGGCCGCATCTTCTGAGGGTTCCCAAATCCCCCAGCCTCCAGGAGCCCGTGCAGGCCAGCCCCCAGCAGGGCACACTTTTTCCCAGCAGCCCAGGAGGGGTGTCTGCTGCCCACCCCACAGGGCAGGGCATGACCTCCTGGAGGTGCTGGCCCAGCTAGCAGGTGGTGAGGTTGGAGGCCAACCAGGGGCCGCAGGCCTTGACCACAGGCACCTCCCTGACCCCTGGGCCTGGCTCAGGCCGGAGCATTACCCCAACTCTCCCACCCCCTTTCAGCCCTCTTCTCCAAACCCAAAGCCAGCGGGCCCCCAGGTGGAGGCAGGGCAGAGGCCTGGAGGCCAGCCACTGCCCAGCCCTGTCACTCCTCTCCCATCTGGCCATGGGCGGAGCCACCGACAGCCATCACCCAGGGATGTGTGTGTGTGTGTGTGAGAGAGAAAGAGAGACAGAAAGAGAGGGAGAGGGAGACAGGAAGAAGGAAAGAGTCAGGGAGAGAGAGGGAGACAAAGAGAGGGAGATAGCACAGTCTGTGGCTCCGTGGTGGGAGATGCCAGGCAAGGGGGGCCCTCCTGGACATGGGTCACCTCTGATTCCCCACTCACCCTTGACCCACTGAGACGTCGTTTTCAAGCACCTGGAATCTTTCCAAGAACTACACACACAGATCTTCACGGCGCCACCAGGAAAAGGAAGGAGCCGCACCTCCTCCCCCTCGCATCTGGGAACCCTTCCCTGGGCAGAGGGAGGAGGCAGCAGGCCCCATCCCATCAAATCATGCGGAAAAGCCTGGCGGGGAGAGTTGGCTAAGGGTGGATTTGTTTAAAAACAGCAAAGGCCTTGGGCCCCGGGTTTTTGCACCTGTGGGCTCCAGGCAGCAGTTTCTGTTTCAGGAGCTCTCCCGCTCCCAATGGGGAATCAGACCCAGAGGAGAGGGGTGATGAGCCCATGTTCTCTGGGCCCACACTGCTGACTGCACTGACACCCAGGCTGGGAATCTTCTCCCCTGCAGGTGGGGATGCCACAGGCTCCTCCACTCCCCATTCCCACCTTCTTCCACTCACTCCAACTCCCCCAGAATAGAGGGTCCCAGGAACCTGCAGGTGGCTCAGCAGCTCTCCTCCCAAACCCAGCTGCTCAGCCTCCACCTCCAGCTGTCCCCCACAGCCCTCACCCCTCCTGTGCTCCTCTCCCGCCCACCTTACCCACTGGACAGACTGGTCGTCCCGGGGTCTCAGGTCAGCACCATCAGCACAGATTCTATTGACAGTGGAACTAGTGCCTTCCCAGTGCACACCCCACCCTCTTGGGCCGCACCTGCGAGCTGGGGCCAGGGCATCCCCTCGGCTTCACGCTGTCCCCTACCCCAGCACTAGATTGGGGAACCACATCTCTGTGCCAGCCAGCAGTGTGGTGGGGGACAATAAGGTCAGGGGTCAGACCACCTCCCACGGTGACCCCTGAGCCCTGAGGCATGTCCTCGTGGACTCCACCCCTCCTGGGGCTCAGCATCCTAAGCCCAGACCCATCTCCTTCCCAAAACCTGCTCCCCGCAGAAAGAGGCCACAGGTCGGCAACCACAGCTGCCACCCTGGCTGACAGAGCCAGACACCTGGGTCAGCCCAGCCTCCTTGTGCCACTGCTGGACACTGGCCACCGGCCCAGTCTTCCCTTTCCCCACCGCAGATGAGCCCCTGCCTCTCAGGCCTGACAACTCTACATCCCTGCATCAGCCCAGGTCCTCGGGGAAGCCAACACTGAGACAGGATTAAACAGGCAGGAGCCGCATGACAGGCACCTGTGGGATAACCTGGGGATGGAGCTGGGGGCTGGGAGAGCCCTCGGAAGCTGGGAGGGAGTGAAGTGCCCCAATGTCCAAGTCTACCCAGAAACCCCGAATGTGACCTTATTTGGAAATAAGGTCTCTGCAGACGTAATGAGCTAAGTGAAGATGAGGTCATCCTGGAATAGGGTGGGCTTCCGATCCAATGGCTCCTTATAAGAGGAGAAGCCACCCAGAGACACACAGGGGAGACGAAGGCCGAAATTGGGAACATGCACAAACCAAGGGACACCGAGGATTTCCAGCCACCACCAGGAGAGGCAGGCAGCCTCCCCTCCCCCAGCCTGAGGGGAAGCCTGGCCCGCCCACCTTGGCTTTGCACTCGCCGCCCCGCCCCCCACATGCCCATCGCTGGGGAGGCAGGGGCTCAGTGCATCGTCTGTATTCAAAGCATCGTTTCAAGGAACCAGTGAGCAAATGAACTCAAATGTGTCCTGCTATTGTGTTGTTGCTACATGAACCTCAGCAGGGCCATGTGTTCATTCAGCAGCTGCTGGGACCCCTTGGCCAGTACCTGCACCAGGCTCCAGAAAGCAAAGAAAAGCAGCAAGTCCCCGGGGCCAAGGGCCAGGTCCAGAAGAGGAGCCCCACCCAGCCAGGTGCAGGGTGCAGGTGAGGCTCCCACAGCCCCGGTGCCTCCCCGTGGACTCGCGCTCACGGTCCTGCCCTCCCAGAGCTTGGGAGATGGCGGGGGTCTCTCCATCCTGCTTTCCTCTCCACCCTGCTGGTCTGAGCACCGGGGGCCTGCTGCTGCCCTTTGCTCCCTCTCCCATCCCCACTGCCACAGCCTTGGCACCCTCCTGCTCCCAGTCACCACAGTGCCACCCCCCACCCTGATGGAATAGCCTCTGGGCACAGGGCTCTGGATTACTCTAGTTCTGTGCTGCCAACACGGGAAACCAGCCACACAGGATGTGTCCCAATGGAGCTGTGCTGTGGGTGTGAATACATACGACGTCAAGGGTTTGGCAGGAAAAAGAACAGAAAGTACCTGGCTGTTCATTTATGGATTGATCACATGTTGACATGATAATACTTTCAATATAGTGATTAGTAAAATATTGTAGGAAAATAAATTTCACCAGCTTCTTTTTAGTTGTTTTTGTTGTTGTTGGTTTTTTTTTTTTTTTTTTTTATGGAGTCTCACTCTATTGCCCAGGCTGGAGTGCAGTGGTATGATCTTGGCTCACTGCAATCTCTGCCTCCCAGATTCAAGTGAGTCTCCTGCCTCAGCCTCCCGAGTAGCTAGGACTACAGGTGCCCACCACCACACCCGGCTAATTTTTGTATTTTTAGTAGAGACTGGGTTTCACCATGTTGGCCAGACTGGTCACGAACTCCTCAGCTCAAGTGATCCACCTGCCTTGGCCTCCCAAAGTGCTGAGATTACAGATATGAGCCACCATGCCTGGCCTCTTTTTACTTTTTAAAATGTGGTTTCTAAAATTACATCTGTGCCTTGAATTCTATTTATTTTTTTAAAACAATTTTATTTCTAATCATTATGAGTACCTGTACTTATATATGTATATGTGACATAGATGTGTGACACATAATGATCGCATGAGGGCAATTGGGGTGTCCGTCACCTCAAGCACGCATCATTTCTTTGTGTTAGTAAAATTCCAGTTCAACTCTTTTAGCTATTTTAAAATATACAATAAATTATTGTTGACTGTCTTCACCCTGTTGTGCTATCAAATACTAGATCTTATTTATTCTAACGATAGTTTTATACCCATTAACCATGCCCGTCCTGCAACTCTTCCCAGCCTCTGGTAACCATCCTTCTATTCTCCGTCCCATGCATTCAGTTGTTTTCATTTTTAGCTCTCACATATGAGTGAGAACATGCAAAATTTGTCTTTCTTCACCTGGCTTATTTCACTCAACATGTTGACCTTCAGTTCCACCCAAGTTGTTGCAAATGACAGGATTTCAACGGATTCTATTTCTTTTGGACAGCGCTAGTCCACTTGTAATGAGTCTCTTGAAAAGGAGTCTAGAAGGCACCTCACCTCACATTAACTGAGCACCTGTAAGTCAGGGATGTGGAGACACGGCAGCCAGGGTCCTGCCTTCTGGGACCTCCCAAGGGGCCAGGTGACCTGCTCCAGGCTACACTCCAAGGCCAACGAGGGTGCAGGTTTTAGAAGCGGGTCTTGAGGCTTGCTAAGCATGGGTGTTGGTCTTTCCTTCTCAGAGAGGCTGGCGTTCTGCCATGACCGACAGAGAGAAGCAAGGTGTTTGGAGCAAACCCAGCTCTGGGCTGAATCCCGCCTGGGTGATCTTCAAGTACCACTGCCTTTCTCTACGTTAAAGGGGAGTGGTCGTCCCAAGGGTCACAGAAGGGGACCAGTGTGGGTGACACGCCTACATGATGCTGACACTCCAAAGCCTCTCCAGTCATGGGCCCCAACTCCATCCCACCCTGCCCAAAACCCAGACATTGGAGGAAGATTTACAAAAAGGGCTTCTATGGTTTTGTATTTACTATGGGGTTTTTCTTACAATCATCTTACAATTACTATGGGGTTTTTCTTGCAATCATTTTCTTACAATAGCCCCTTACAAAGGGGACTATTTTTCTTAGCCACTTTTTAAAGACATGTAAATGAAGTGCTGAGTCAATCTGTAATTCTACTTTCCCTTAATGTGAAATCTTTCTTTAGACTAAAACTTGCTTATGTAAAAGAAGCTTTACTGAAATAAACCATGTGCTTCTCATGACCCAATCATTCCACAAGTCTTTTTAACCTCCAAACTGATCAGAAAGGCTGTTCTTGTCACCTCACCACGCTGGCCACAGTTTGGTGACAGATACTGAGTCCGCTGTTTAGTTTTCCCGAAAGTGTTTTATTCTCACCCTGGTTTTTGCTACCTTATCACACGAGTTAAGCACCTCCTCTTGCTGCATTAATGTCCAGTTTTAATCTTCCCAACTGGCTCATACATGAGACACCTGGCAAGTGTGTAATTGATTATTCTAATTGGAAACAAACACCCAGAGAAACATATAAAGGATGCATGCCGGGAAGCACACGGCTTCCTCACTGTCTGCAAAACTCTGCAGAGCTCTTTAACGCTGGTTTACGGAGAGGCCTGCATATTGACGACAGCCGCACTCATTGGGTTTTAGAGCTGTCTACACCTTCTCCATTATTTAATCCTCACCATACTTCAAGAGGGAAGAGCAAGCATGCCCATTTGACACAGAGAGAATGGGGGGTCCCAGCTAGCCAGCAGGTCCCGCTCACTAGGGGCCCGCTTCATCCCGGGGACTCTGAACAGGCTTCTCCCGTCGCCTCCAGGCTCCCGTTAGTCTTGCTTCAGAAGAAGTCCTGCTCAGAGGCACCCCGAAGTCCTGATCAGAGGCACCCCACAGCAGGTCTGCAGCTGGGAGTCCAGCCCCCATGTCCACATCCCTGGAGAGGCCTGGTGCCCTGCCGCGTGCAGCAGAAAGAAGCATTAGTGCTCTGCCCTGAAGCCTCGTTCCCCACACTTGCCGCCACAGTCCAGCCTTGGAGCATCTTTGTGGCCATGACCTCTTGGGCCGATCCCCCGTCTGCCTCCTAGTGATGGCTACGGGTGATCACCCCAGGCAGCCCTCCTCCCCAGCCTGGCCTGGTGGAGCCCTCTTTGGACCCTGCTAGGGTCTTGGCTTGACCCCAGCTCTCCCGCTGAGCTGAGGCTATAGCCACAGGGAGCCGGCCGTGCCTCTCTGGTAGCACTTTCCTGGCCGGGCAGCCACATGCTGGCCTAGGGGCCCAGGCCCTACTGATCTCTCCTCCTCCAGGAAGCAGCTCTCAGCGCAGACCCAGCCCAGAAGAAGGCTGGAGGTGCCACCTGACCCCCTCAGCCTCCGCTCTGTCCTCTGCCCTGGCCCCTGCATCTGGCAGTGCCTCCCAGTTTCCCTACCCTGGCGAAGCACGTGGATTGTCAGGCACCTCCCCTGCTTAATGATTCTCCTGCCTCAGCTTAGGATTCTCCAGTGGCTCCCAGTGCCCTCAAGACGTGCTGCAGCCCCACGGCAGATTCAAGGCCCTCCACAGGGCAACGTGTTCCGTCGAGATCCCTGCCAGCCCCTCTGCACATTCCCAACTCCCACCCAAGATAACCTTGGCTACGTCTAATTCTCCAGCCCTTCCTTGCCTTTGCCCAGGTGCTCCTCTGCTCCTTCCCCACCTGCCCCATGCAGCGGCTCCTCCTGACTCACCTGTGCAGGTGCTCCCTTGCCACTGCCCTCTCCCCGTGCACACACTGCTTTGTAACTACGGAACAACTACTGCAACTCAGAACAGGATGTCAAGTCCAGGTCCAGGAATGGCGGCCATGCAGGCATGGGGCTAGACCCTGGAGGCACAAGGATGGACGAGGCAGGGTCTCTCTACTCATGAGGGGCTTAACTGCTTGTCCAACAGACAGGTGCAGAAACAGTCCATCCCAACAGAATTCCCCAACGACAGCCCCAGAATGCCACAGAAACAGTCCGTCCCAACAGAATTTCCCAACTATGGCCCCAGAATGCTGCAGAAACAGTTTGTCCCAACAGAATTCCCCAAGGACAGCCCCAGAAGGCCACAGAAACAGTCCGTCCCAACAGAATTCCCCAAGGACAGCCCCAGAAGGCCACAGAAACAGTCCGTCCCAACAGAATTCCCCAACAACGGCCCCAGAACACAAGGGCGTTGGAGCCATGCTGTGGGAGGAGGGGCTCAGGAAGTCTTCCTGTGGAGGAGGCCGTGTGGGCAGAAGCTGGAGTGGCCAGCATCCTGGTTTCCCTGGGGCTGTCCCAGGTCTAGCACTAACAGCTCTGCTTCCCAGGAAGTCGCTCAGTCCCAGGCAAACTGGGACGGTCGGTCACCGTAGCAGAGCCAGGTGGCAGCCTCTTCGTGGTTCAGAGGCAGAACCGACAGGCAAGCAGCGTGGGGCCCTCAGGAAGGGCTTGTTATTAGCAGCCGATCCACTGAAATCCCGAAGGACCCCAAAGCTGGGTGCCCCCACCCTATTCTGCATACCCACTGGCCCGTCCTCCCTGACCCTACACATGGGCCCCAATAGCCTCGAAGTCTCTGTAGAATGTGTTCAGGTGTGGCCCACCTGAGAAGCAGGTTCAGGGCCCAGGGTGATGGTCTTGCATGAGTGAATGAATGAATTATTAAGTGAACAAAGGAATGAACACATGGCTCCTACTTTCTCTTTTTATTTTTTCTTTTTTTTTTTGGAGACAGAGTCTCCGTCTGTTGCCCAAGCTGGAGTGCTGCGGCGCGAAATCAGTTCACTGTAACCTCCACCTACTGGGTTCAAGGGATTCTCTTGCCTCAGCCTCCCCAGTAGCTGGGATTACAGGCGCTCACCACTGTGCCTGGCTAATTTTTTGTTTTTGTTTTTGTTTTTACTAGAGACAGGGTTTCACCATGTTGGCCAGGCTGGTCCCAAACTGCTGATCTCAAGTGATCTGCCCACCTCTGCCTCCCAAAGTGCTGGGATTATAGGCATGAGCCACTGTGCCCGGCCCTCCTTTCTCTTCAAAGACATTTTGCAAATAAAGGGCAGAGCTGGGGGGTCGTTCTTACCGTACACATGCACCCCTCCCACGACAGAAGCAAATTTTCATTTAATTCTGCCCTTGCCCTCCTTCTATTCTCAACATGCGATGGTCCTGCCTCACTCAGAGGAGAAGCAGGAGTGTGGGTCCCTTGCTCACAGCTGTATCCACAGCGTCTGGATCAGCCCCGGGAGCGGAATGGGGGCTCGTGAGAATTCCTGGGACCACGGCTGAAGGAATCCCCTCAAATCCTCAAGAAGAGCCACGGGATTCCCCTCTCAACCCAACCCTACAGATTTGCCCCACCCTGACCAGAATGACTCCAGGGGGCCCTGCACGCCTCTCGGCTGGAATGAGAGACAGACACGTGGCCTGCGTGGACGGCGTTGCCCGCAGGGGACATAGTGAGAATAGCATCAGGACAACAAAGCTGATGCGGGGCCTAATAGCTCAGGAAGTTGGTGCTATTGATAAGCAATTACCTATTTTAAAGATACATATATATATTTTTGAGATGGAGTCTCACTCTGTCGCCCAGGCTGGAGTGCAGTGGCACACTCTCAGCTCACTGCAACCTCCGCCTCCTAGTGGTTCGAGTGATTCTCCTGCCTCAGCCTCCTGAGTAGCTGGGATTTCAGGCACCCGCCACCACGCCTGGCTATTTTTTGTATTTGTGGTAGAAATGGGGTTTTGCCATGTTGGCCAGGCTGGTCTCGAATTCCTGACCTCAGGTGATCCCCCCATCTCAGCTTCCCAAAGTGCTGGGATTACAGGTGTGAGCCACTGCACCCAGCCATATATATATATATTTATATATATTTATATATATATATTTTTTTTATTTTTATTTTTATTTTTTTTTTGGAGACAGGGTCCTGCTCTGTGGCCCAAGCTGGAGTGCAGTGGTGTGATTACAGCTCACTACAGCCTCAACCTCCTGGGCACAAGTGATCCTCCCACCTCAGCCCCCCAAGTGGCAGGGACCGCAAGAGCATACCACCATGCCAGCTAATTTTTGCATTAGCCTCAAAAAGGAAGGAAATTCTGGTACGTGCTGCAACAAGACGGAAGCTTGAGGACACGGCGCTCTGTGAAAGAAACCAGTTAGGAAAGAGCAGATGCTGTGGGATTCCACTCACCTGAGTCCCTAGAGACAGTGAGAAGCGTGGTGGGAGCCGGGGCCTGGGGGAGGGGAATGGGGAGCCAGTGTTTCGTGGGGATGGAGTTTCAGCCGGGGAAGATGAAGCCGTTCTGGAGGTGATGGTGGTGATGGTCATACGATGTTATGAATGTGCTTAATGCCACTGAACTGCACACTTAAAAGTGGTAAACATGGCCGGGCGCGGTGGCCTGGCCAACATGGTGAAACCTCGTCTCTACTAAAAATACAAAAATTATCCGGGCATGGTGGTAGGCACCTGTAGTCCCAGCTACTGGGGAGCCTGAGGCAGGAGAATCGCTTGAACCAGGAAGGTGGAGGTTGCAGTGACCCAGCGGAGTTTTAGGGTCCCAGACAGCCCATGTTCCCAGCACTGCCACCTTCTTGCTGGCGGGCGCTGCCAGGACAGCCTCACAGCCAAGGGCAAGGATGGGTTTGTGCCCCCAAAACCCACCCAAGGTGGGCAGATGGGCTGGCAGGATCAGCTCTGCCCTCTAATGGGTTCCCGTGAGGAGAGACCCCAAGCACATCCCCACTTCATTGTTTAAAACTTTTTTTTTTTGAGACAGTATCTGTTGCCCAGGATGGCTAGAATGCAGCAGTGCCATTGCAGCCCACTGCAGCCTCGACTTCCCTGGCTCAAGTGATCCTCCTGCCTCAGCCTCCCAATTAGCTGGGACTACAGGTGAGCGTCACCACACCCAGCTAATTTTTTCTATTCTTTGCAGAGACAGGGTCTCCCTATGTTGCCCAGGCTGGTCTTGAACTCCTGGGCTCAAACAGTCCTCCTGCTTCAGCCTCCCAGTGTTGTGATTACAGTCATGAGCCACCGCACCCAGCCAAAACTTATTTTTATTACCCAAGTAATACACATTCATTGTAGAAAAAATGGAAAATACATATAAACAATTGGCAAAACAAACAGCAATCACCTATAATCCCAGCACCCAGAGAATTTATCATTAACACCATGTATGACCCAGATTTGTGCAGAGAAGTGCATATCAGCATTTTTAGAGGCTGACTTCATACTCATATCTCCAGAGTCCATGTGTCTCCTGCTATGACATTGACAAGGACGAAAAAGAACGTGGAGAATGTGAGGAACAGGGCCTGATGGATTCCAGTAGGGGAGGGCCCTGGTAGCCTCCCGAGGGAAGGCGTGATGTAACACAAGTGGCTTGACCTTGACCTTACACCTTCACTGTTGGAATTTACCCTAAAAACAACTGACCAGGCACAAGAAGGTGCCGTTGTGGATGAGCCATGCCAGTGGCCACATCCACGTGATGAGCATGATGCTGCTACCAAACAGAGGTGTGGAATCTATGTTCATGAAACATGGGAGGTGCGAGCAGATTCATGGTTTTCAAAACATTGGTTCTTCAATGGGTGAAACACAGAGCTGCCATCAGTCCCAGCAGTCCCACAGCGGGCACCTCACACACCCAAAAGAGCTGCAGGCATTTCACACACCCAAAAGAGCTGCAGGCATCACACACCCAAAAGAGCTGCAGGCATCTTACACACCCAGAAGAGCTGCAGGCATCTCACACCCAGAAGAGCCACAGGCATCTCACACCCAAAAGAGCTGCAGGCATCTCTCACACCCAGAAGAGCTGCAGGCATCTCACACCCAAAAGAGCTGCAGGCATCACACACACCCAAAAGAGCTGCAGGCATCTCACACCCAAAAGAGCTGCAGGCATCACACACACCCAAAAGAGCTGCAGGCATCTCACACCCAAAAGAGCTGCAGGCATCACACACACCCAAAAGAGCTGCAGGCATCTCACACCCAAAAGAGCTGCAGGCATCACACACACCCAGAAGAGCTGCAGGCATCTCACACCCAAAAGAGCTGCAGGCATCACACACACCCAGAAGAGCTGCAGCCATCACACACACCCAAAAGAGCTGCAGGCATCTCTCACACCCAAAAGAGCTGCAGGCATCACACACACACAGAAGAGCTGCAGGCATCTCTCACACCCAAAAGAGCCGCAGGCATCTCACACCCAAAAGAGCCGCAGGCATCTCATACACCCAGAAGACCTGCAGGCATCTCACACCCAGAAGACCTGCAGGCATCTCATACCCGAAAGAGCTGCAGGCATCTCACACACCCAAAAGAACTGCAGACATCACACACACCCAAAAGAGCTGCAGGCATCTCTCACAGTCAAAAGAGCTGCAGGCATCTCTCACACTCAAAAGAGCTGCAGGCATCACACACACTCAAAAGAGCTACAGGCATCTCACACCCAAAAGAGTTGCAGGCATCTCTCACACCCAAAAGAGCTGAAACTGGTCTTCAGATACTTGTACAGGAACATTTATAGCAGCATTATTTATGATGGCCACGATGTGGAAACTACCCAAGTTTCCATCAACAGATAAATGAACACATGAAATCGGGTATCTCCATACAGTGGGGTTGTAGTCAGCCCTGTGAAGGAATGAAGGGCTGACTCACGCTACAACGTGGGTGAACCTGGAAAACACCATGGCCAGTGAAAGAAGCCAGCCACAAATGCCCGCACCTTGCATGCCTCCATTTATAGGAGACATCCAGGATAGACAGAGAAAAGAGATAGAAAGTAGATTGGGGGTTGCCAGGAGCTAGGGGGAAGGAGGAGTGAGAGGTGACTGCTGGCGGGCTTGGGGTCCCCTTCGGGGGTGATGGAGCTGTCTTGGAACCGGATAGAGGTGGCAATAGAAGTTAGTGAGTGCAGTAAGTGCTACTGAACTGTGTACGTCAAAATGGTTGATGGTGAATTTTGTTATGTGAACTTTTCCCCAGTTGAATAAAACACTGAGTTTTCCTTTTAAAAAAAACTCTGAGTGGTGCTGTAAGGCCTCGCTTCTCAAAGTGAGGTCTGAGGACCAGCAGTGTCTCATCAGCCCAAGCCGGTCAAAAATGCAGAACCCCAGGTTCCACCCAACCTCCCCTGCCGTGGTCGTGTGGACACACCCTCCAGTCTGAGAGGCTGTTTAGCGGGGCACAGCTCAAGAGGAAGGGCTGTGCTAGATCCATCTTGGGGGTCCCAGCTCCCCATGTATCCCTCCTCAAAAGCTCACACCCCAACTCCTGCAGGCTACACTGGATCTGTTTGGGGAGACCCTGCTCCTCCCACATCCCCTCACTCCTGCAGCCGCGGTCACAGCTGATTGGACCAGCGGTGGTGTCTGACTGGGGTCCCTGGAACCTGCGCTGGGTGTCCTGGATCATCAAGGTGGGCTCCGTCTCTCTCTGGGATCTGGCCCAGGAGACCCCTGGGAAGCTGGGCTGGGAGCAAAGGAGGAGAAGAGCTGCTGCTCAAGGGGAGGAGCCACTGCTGGGGGCCAGGGCCCTACGGGCACCTCCAGCCACTCACTCGTCCCTCCTGCAGCCTTAGGTTCAACAAAGTATGGACAGTGTCTGGAAACAGGATTGGATGAAAGGGCTGATCTAATGTGAATAGACAGCAGGGAAACCCAGTGGGGCCTGTCCGTCAGGATTCTTCCCAGAAGGGCGTGGGGCAGGACCCTCTCTACAATGGGGGTCTTAGGACCTACAGTCAAATGAGGTAGTCAGATCATTTCTTTAGGGCCAGTTTTTACACAGAAAGGCAGAGAGAAAGTTTGCATCATATTTTTAGGTTTTATAGCTGCCTTTGGGAGAAAGGGGTTCTGGATTCCAGGACCTGCCTTGGGGAAGAGGGATTCTAGTCTCTGGTTGGCCTTGTGGGAGAATGAGTCTGAGACAGGAGGGCAGGAAAAGGTCAGAAAAAAACTTCTTTTTTTTTTTGAGACAGGATCTCCCTCTGTCACCCAGGCTGGAGTGCAATGGTGCAATCAGGACTCACTGTAGCCTCGACCTCCTGGGCTCAAGCAATCCTCCCAACTCAGCCTTCCGAGTAGCTGGGACCACAGGCACACCACCATGCCTGGCTCATTTCTTTTATTATCATTTTTTATAGAGATGGGGGCCTCACTATGTTGCCCAGGCTGGGCTCCAACTCCTGACCTCAAGTGATTCTTCTACCTCAGCCTCCCAAAATGCTGGGATAACAGGTGTGAGCCACCACACTCAGCCAACTTTAGCTTTTGAGGCTGCTTCTGAGTCCCTCATTTTGGGGTATTGTTTTCTGAGCTCCAACAAAGGTCAACCTCCCAAGGCCCCTGGGGCTGCAGGAGATGAGGGGCCCTGAGTGGGGTGGAGGTGGACAGGCTCAGGGCCAGGCTGACTCGGCTCGCACAGGGGCTCTGTATCACCCTAGGCTGGGCACCTTTCTGGCCTCCGCAGCCTCACCTGAATAATGGGCAGAAAGAGGCCAACCTCGCAGGGAATTGGGAACACGAGCAACCTCCACAGGGACTGTCCTCAACACAGCAGGGCCTGCAAGGGAGCCGCTGCCCCAGTCCAGGCAGCACCTGCCATGGAGCCCTGGGGGTGGAGCCTGCTGTTATCGGCGCTTCTCTCCAGAGGCTCAGCAGGAAGTGGGGAGGTTAAACGACCACAAGGAGTCAGGGCTGCTATGCCAAGAGGCCTCCACTGCCACGGCCACGCTCCCCGGGCCAGGACCCTGGGGCCTCACAACAGCCAAGCACCAGCACCCAGAGGAAATCAGCGAAGAGGCCGGGCACCTGTGTTCCATCCCCTCTCTCGCTGGGCCTTGGCCCCACATCCACCGCCAGGCACTCCCTGAGGTTGGAGCTGTGTCTTTCATCCCCATCCCCAGGACCAGCCCAGGGGAGGTGCCAGTAGGACTCAGGAAGACAGTGCAGAGCTCCCTGAAAAATCGGGAACAGATGATCCTCGGCACAGCGAACACAAGCTCAACTCAATGGTGAACAAGCTCCGAGTCGCTCAGTGTCACCCTGTGTACTTGAAAGCATTTGATTCTCTTATGCTGCACTGAATACAGCCTTGGCCAGGTTAGGCGGGAGAGGGAGGAAGCAAGATTAGGAAAGACTTCACTGAGGAGTCACTGTTTGGCTGGGGTCTTGAAGGTTGAATAGGAGTTTTCCAGGGGATGAAAGGAGAGAGAGGGGGACAGGCATGGTGGCTCACGCCTGTAATCCCAGCACTTTGGGAGGCCAAGTTGGGAGGATTACTGAGTCCAGGAGTTCAAGGCCAGTCTGGGCAACATGGTGGAACCCTGTCTTTACAAAAAAAGAAGAAAAGAAACTACAAAAATTAGCCAGCCGTGGTGGCACACACCTATAGTTCCAGCTACTCAGGATGCTGAGGTGGGAGAATCAATTGAAACTGAGAGGCTACAGTGGGCTGTGACGGCACCCTGCACTGCAGCCTGGGTGACAGAGAAAGATCCTATCTCAACTATAACAACAAAACAAACCAAAAAACAAAAACAAGAAAATAAAGAGAGGCAACTTCAGAAGAAAGAAAAGCCTCTGTCAGCTCATTCTCCAAAATGCGGTCCGGAGCGGCCCAGCAGCCTCCATCTCACCCGGGTCTCAGGGTCTCCGGCCTCCCCGAGGCCCCGCGGCATCACGTTAACAATGCCCGGGTGATGCGTGTACATGTGGAGGTTTGGGAGGCACGGACCGATCAGTTATTCAGCAAATACTTTCAGGGGGCGCCTGTCAGGCCCCAGGTGAGGCACTGAGGGCCCAGACAGGAGCAGGCTCCGGACGCTGCAGGGGCCCAGCCTGATGGGGAGGAGGGCAGGGCTGCCCCGAGTGGGCATATGCTTCTCTAGGTCTCCAAAGGGGAGTTGGTGTCCACGCAAGAGGGTCAGGTTGAGGACACTCTAGGTGCCTGGCAGAGGCATGTGGGTGGGCAAGCCTGGTTTACTCGGGGACCTGCAAATGGCTGGCCTGGAGGGGGATGACATGAGGACAGGGTGGGCTGGGACATGCTGGGAGTGCAGGACTCTGCCACCCAAAGGGCATGTGGACCCAAGCCCGGAGGAGAACTCTGCCGCTCAGCAGTGACGGCCTGGTAGCTGTGCAGACACAGGTGAGGTCCTGCCAGGGGTGCCCTTGGCCACCTCTGAGCCACTTGCACTGCAGGGACAGCTCCTGGCACACCAATAACTTCACCCCAGCACCGAGTCTCGGCCTCTCCAGCTGAGGGTTGACTTAGTGACATCTCAGGAGCTGGCTCAGCCTAGCCCTGGGCAGCAACAACGTGCAAGGGCCTCAGGCCCCCAGGGGCAGCCTCAACCAGTGAGGGATAGAAACCCCCGAAGCACCCAAGGGGTCCTCAGAGGGTCCCGAGGGGTGACCTTGGTGATGTTCATTTCTGTCACTCACAACTTAAGGAGATCTACATGAGAAACCGGCTGCCACCTCCAAGCTGTGCCCAGCAAGGTGGTGGAGGAACCCTGCCCGGTGAGTTCTGCCAGCCTGGTGCCTTTTCAGGAAGGGGCATGGGGAGGAGCAGTGGCACCGGGCAGAAGCCTGGGCCAGCTCTGCCCACCGAGCGCTGAGCCTGGACAGGGCTGCCGGCTTTGCTCCCAGGCCGCTGTTCTTTCCCCCCTCCCCGGTCCTAACTCCTGCACCCACCAGGAGCACTGAAGGGGCCTGGCTGGTGAACATGTCCCAGGAAAAGCATGGAAAAGAAGGCAGGAGGAAACTTTAGCCTCAGAGCCTGCGCCAGCAGGGCTTATATTGAGCAGCCCTCGTAGCAACCCTCAGAGTGGGGAGAACAGTCCTCATTTCTGAGATGAGAACACTGAGGCCCAGGGAAGGGACACAACCTGCCCTGGTCCGAAACCTGGTTCCTCCAGCTTCACGGCGGGAGCTGAGCTACTGCCCCAAAATATTTACAGCCAGGGTCGTGGTGACTGCGAGAACTGGAAGCTGTCCCATCACCTAACAGTGGGTGTGGCCGGGGAGTGAGTGAAAGGCACGGGAATCCATCAGTGGCTCCGGGGTAAGGACGCGACCCCTGCCGCGCTGGAAAACCCATGCGCCAAAGAACTGGATGGGGAAAAGTGGGCCCTGAACCCAGTTTCACCCCAATGCGGCCGTTCACAGGGACACGGATGGGTCATCAGAGTATCACGGCCGTGAGTGTTCCATCCCAGCGCCCGGGGCACTGTCCCCACGCGCTGCCCCTGGATGTCCAGCTCCCCAAACCAGGCTTGGGTCTTCCCAGAAATAGCCTTGCCCCATCTCACTCTTTCACTCATCTCCCCTGTGAAATGTGCCTGTTTTGAGTCCTGTTCATGGGGACAGCTCTGATAGTCATGAAAATCCCAATAGGCATGCTATAGTGCTTCTTCTTCTATTATTATTATTTGAGATGGAGTGTCACTCTGTCGCCCAGGCTGGAGTACAGTGGTGCGATCTCCGGTCACTGCAACCTCTGCCTCCCGGGTTCAAGCAATTCTCGTGCCTCAGCCTCCCAAGTAGCTGTGATTACAGGCGCCCGCCACCATGCCCAGTTAATTTTTGTATTTTTAGTAGAGACAGTGTTTCACCATGTTGGCCAGGCTGGTCTCGAAATCTTGACCTCAGGTGATCCGCCGCCTCAGCCTCCAAAAGTGCTGGGATTACAGGCATGAGACACAACGCCAGGCCAGTAGTGCTTCATTTTTATCATGCACGTGCAGACTCGTTATAAGCTCACTTGACCCTAATAAAAACCCTGTGATGGGCAAGGCAGAGGCTGCCCATCTTAGCCTGGGTTCCCCAGAAGCCCACTGTGAGTCAGGATCCCAGATGCAAGCTGTTTATTTGGGAAGTGATCCCCGGGAGCAGTGGGAGGGCAGTGGGGAAGGGCACGGAGAAGGGGGAAGCCACAGGGTTGTGTTCATGATACAATGACCACCTGCCTGCTTTGCCCAGACCAGAGAGTTTTCTGGGATGTGGGACTTTGGATGCTAAAACTGAGACCCTCCTAGACAAGCCAGGGCGGCTAGTCTCCCTGGTTCGTGGGCAGAGCTGTCCTGTGAGCAGCTGGCCTCCATCTGCTGGGGCTCTCGGGCGGATGCTGCAGAGCTGGCCTCAGAGCTGCCCCCCACAAGGAGTGAGGGAGCTGGGGTGTTTATCCTCCATGACCCGCGGCCACATGAAGAGCGGCTCCTGGGCGCAGCTCCCTGGCACGTGCACTCTGTCCTCCAGGGGCTGCTGGAGAGCATTCCTCCGGCCAGACACAGCCCTCAGGCAGAACCACGTGGCACAAGAGGGGATCATAAATGTCAAGTGGGCGTTGTGGGAGGGGGCATCTGTCATTCTTGCTTCTTCATGGTCTCCATTGAACGGGCAGGGAAACAAGCTGTGAGAGCTCACAGTCGTGGAACTGGGCCGGGGCTCCAAAACCCTCACCCTGACACTATTCTGGGCTACTTACAAATAATTTTGTTACAGTCATTTTGTCAAATCTATTATAATTTAATTTCCTCTCCAATATTCAGATCATGGTTTTTTCTCCTTTTTAAAATATGATTACAGTGAATAAACACCTTGATGACAATGATTCATTTCCCAAGTCGCTCTGTGAGGAGAGTCTGCCCGACACTCCTGGTCTCATGCCGGTATCCATGCTCCCCTTCCTCTCTGTGAACAGAACCCTTCTATTACTGCGGATGGTAACATGCTCAGCGAAACCAATGACATTTGCCAGCCTCCCTGGAAAACAGGAATGAGCAAGCTGCCACTGGTGACGCCTCCAGGAAAGTTCTTGTGCACTACACTCTTCCTTCTTTCTCTTTCCTGCTCCCTGGAGTTGAGATGTGATGGCTGGATCTTCAGCAGCCAATCTGTACCACAAGGTGATAAGGATGGCAGAATAGAAAAAGAGAAGGTGCCTGGGTCTCTGGTGACCATGGAACTCTCCTAGCCGTACACTATGTAGTTCCAGATTTTTTAATGTGAGAGAAACCAGCTTTTATGTTGTTTGAGGTTTTCTGTTATATGTTGTCTACTCTAATCCTAGTGGCTGCAGAAGGTATAACTCTTATCTCTATCTTATAAAATTTGACATTAAGCATCTACTATGGGCCAGGCTCCAAGCTGAGCTATTTACATATACAGTGTGATCTTGTGGAAAAGAAAAAAAAAAAGAAATAAGGGTCTCTGCCCCTGGTCCCTGGCATATAGCTCCTGAAACCCTTGTAATCTCGGGACTCTAAGAGTGCCTTTTGTGTGCTTATGAGACGGCTGATGCCTTGGGACTCCTGGATCACCTCAGGATGGGGCACTGGTTGAGGGTGGATCACCTGAGATCAGGAGTTCGAGACCAGCCTGGCCAACATGGTGAAACCCCCTCTCTACTAAAAACACAAAAAATTAGCTGTGTGTGGTGGCGAGTGCCTGTAATCCCAGGAACTCAGGAGGCTGAGGCAGGAGAATCACTTGAACTCAGCAGGCAGAGGTTGCAGTGAACCGAGATGGCACCACTGCACTCCAGCCTGGGTGACAGGGCGAGACTCCGTCTCAAAAAAAAAAAGAAGCAACCAAGCTTGTCCAACTCACGGCTCAGGACAGCTTTGAATGCAACCCAACACAAAGTAAATCCAACAAAGTAAATTTTTAAACTTTCTTAAAACATTATGAGATTTTGTGATTTTTTTTTTTTTTTTTAGCTCATAAACTATCATTCGTGTTAGTGTATTTTATGTGTGGCCCAAGACAATTCTTCTTCTTCCAGTGTGGCCCAGGGAAGCCAAAAGATTGGGCACCCCTGGAGTAGACAGTTGGGTATTTCAGCCCCAATCCCGCTTCTCTGGGGAGTGAAGTCGGGGCAGAAGGCTGTGTTGATCACTGATGGCCAATGATGTAATCAGTCATGCCTACTTAAGGAAGCCCCTCAAAACCTCAAAAGGACACGGTTCAGGGAGCCCCCAGATAGCTGAACACACACAAGTGCCTGGAGGTGGTGCTGGGAGGGCCTGGAAGCTCCACGCCCCTCCCCGTGCCTGCCCACACGTCTCCCCCACCTGCTGTGCATCCGCACCTTCGTCACCGCCTGTGTCATAAATGGGTAAACGCGGCTCAGAGTGTCCCTGAGTTCTGTGAGCCGCTCCAGCAATCCATCAGACCCGAGGAGGGGGTCGTGGGAACCCTGATTCATGGCAGGTCGGTCAGAAGCACAGGCCACACCTAAGGCTTGCGACTGGCATCAGAAGTGGAGGCTGTCACGTGAGACTGAGCCCTCCAGGTGGATGGTGTTGGAATTGAATTAAATGAGAGGACACCTGTTGGTATCAGCTAGGGAGAAGAATTGCTTGCTGGTGGACAGAAATCCCCACACACATTTTGATGAAGTATTCCGTGCTGAGTGGTAAATGATGTGTCTGAGAGTAGGAAAAAACCTGTTTGTTTTTTAATTCCAGATGCTGTCTTATTAATTCTCACAGCAGCTCTGGGGGTAGGTTTCATCATCCCTTTTTTTTTTTTTTTTTTTTCGCTCTGTTGCCCAGGCTGGAGTGCAGTGGCGCGATCTCGGCTCACTGCAAGCTCCGCCTCCTGGGTTCACGCCATTCTCCTGCCTCAGCCTCCCGAGTAGCTGGGACTACAGGCACCCGCCACCACGCCCAGCTAAGTTTTTGTATTTTTAGTAGAGACAGGGTTTCACCGTGTTAGCCAGGATGGTCTCGATCCCCTGACCTCGTGATCCACCCGCCTTGGCCTCCCAAAGTGCTGGGATTACAGGCGTGAGCCACCGTGCCTGGCCTCATCATCCCATTTTCTAGGGGAGGAGGCTGAGGTCAGGGAGGTAACACGGCTTGCCCGAGTCAGTAGCCAGGCCAGAACAGAAGGCCTCCTGACTCTGGTGTCCTTCCTGTCCTGGCCCAGCCACTCCAAAGGAGAAGAAGCTAGTGAAGGAAATGTTCTCTGCAATGGGACAGTGAGGAACAATTTGGGAGTAAGCAGGGCTTTCTGGCTCCCCTAAAGCTGCAGTGCCAGAACCTGTCTGTTCACAATGTCAACCAATCACCTGTTAAACGTTTAAACACTTAAACCCTCGGGGACTCAGTTTTCTCATCTGTAAAGTGGGTGGGGTGGGGGTGAGCTGCTGTCAGCCATCAAGACACCCCCAGCTCACCTCTGTGATTCTAGCAGTGTCCTCTCACCTGTTTTGTTTGTTTTTAAAACAATTCCATTAAAAAGTGAGCAAAGGATCTAAATAGACAAATAGACATCTCTCAGAAGAAGACACACAATGGCCAACAGGTATATGAAAAAAATGCTCAACATCACTATCATCAGGGAAATGCAAATCAAAACTGCAATGTGATATCATCTCACCCCAGCCAGAATGGCTGTTATTAAAAAGGCAAAAAATAACAGATGCTGGCAAGGATGTGGACAGAAAGGGATTCATCCACTGGTTGGTGGGAGCATAAATTAGTACAGCCATTATGGAAAACAGTAAGGAGATTTCTCAAAAAACTGAAAGTAGAACTACAAACCATCCAGCAATCCCACTACCAGGTATTTAAAGGAAAGAAAATCCATCTATTAAAGGGATGCTTGCACCCGCATAAACATCAACTGCAGCACTATTCACAACAGCAAAGATACGGACTCAACCGGAGTGTCACCAACAGATGAAAAGATAAAGAAAGGGCGGTATATTTACACAATGGAATATTATCCAGCCATAAAATGAGAATAAAATCCTGTCATTTGCAGCAACGTGGATGGAACTGGAGGTCACTGTGTTAAGTGAAATAAGCCAGGCACAGAAAGACAAATGTGGCACGTTCTCACTCGTACATGGGAGCCAAAAAAAGTGGATCTCATGAAGGTGGAGAGTAGAATGTTGGTTAACAGAGGCTGGGAAGGGAAAGGAGGGTGGGGGAATGAAGAGAGGTTGGCTAACGGTACAAACATACAGTTAGATAGGAGGAATAAGTTCTAACGTTGGATAGCAGAGTAGGGTGACTCTGGTTAACAACTACTGTATATTTCAAAATAGCTAGAAGAGAAGACTTGAAGTGTATCCAACACATACAAATGATGCATACTCAATGCTGGGCGCCAGTGGCTCATGCCTGTAATCCCAACACTTTGAGATGCTGAGGTGGGTGGATCACTTGAGGTCAGGAGTTCGAGACCAGCCTGGCCAGCATGGCAAAACCCCTTCTCTACAAAAAATACAAAGGGCATGATGGCAGGCACCTGTAATCCCAGCTACTCAGGAGGCAGAGGCAGGTGAGGCTCTTGAACCCAGGAGGCCGAGGCTGCAATGAGCCAAGATTGCACCATTGCATTCCAGCCTGGGCGACAGAGTGAGACTCCATCTCAAAAATAACAACAAAAAAAGGCCGAGTGCAGTGGCTCACGCCTGTAATCCCAGCACTTTGGGAGGCTGAGGCAGGTGGATCACGAGGTCAGGAGATCCAGACCATCCTGGCTAACACGGTGAAACCCCGTCTCTACTAAAAATACAAAAAATTAGCCGGGTGTGGTGGTGGGCGCCTGTAGTCCCAGCTACTCGGGAAGCTGAGGCAGGAGAATGGCGTGAACCCAGGAGGCAGAGCTTGCAGTGAGCTGAGATCGGGCCACTGCACTCCAACCTGGGCGACAGAGCGAGACTCCTTCTAAAAAATAAAAAATAAAAATAAAAATAAAAAATTCCCTTTCCTCCCCAACAAGGAGGGCAACATCAGAAGTGCTACCTGAGCCCCTGTACAGGCTGGGAGGGAAATATTTCTGTAGTTTGAGAACCTTCTGGATCAGGCAGGAGGCCTGTGGAAGCGAAAGAGGAAGCGTCCTTCTGTTTACCTCCCTCTGGTGGCGTCACACTTCCTTGCTTTGTGCATAACCTGCAGGCCGGCGGCCCACCCGTCCCCTGGGAGCACCTGGCTGGCTCAGAGGTCTCTGCAAAGCAGCGCAGAGCAGGCTTTGGCTGCTCCCCCAGAAGCAGGAGCCACTCCTCTGGAGCCCGTGGTGCTCTCACAAGCGTGTCTTTAGTCCGGCCACCCTTGGCAACGGCGGCACAGAGGTCAGCCATCAGTGGCCAGCACATCCCACGGGGTGTTCCTCGGTGCAGGAGAATCAGGGGTGGCTGCAGCCAGGTCTCGGAGTCCTCCGAGAGGGCAGGGAATTCCAGAAGGCACAGGTTCCAGCCCCAGTGCCTGGTTTGAGAACAGTGTCTTAAACAATAGAATTCTTTGTTTCAAAGAACGTTTTAGGCAAATCCAAGTGAAGCTGGGTGGGCGTGGGAGCTCAACCTTCCACGTCCCCTCCTCCTGCCCCTGGGACTTATAGAGGAACTCAGGGCCTTGGAAACATGGGGCTCCCAGGTCTGGAGCAGTGGGGCCTCCCTGCAGTCTCTCTTGAAACGGTTGATGGTAGCCACAAGGGTCATGAGAGTAGCAGTTCCCAGGATGTTCCGCTACGTACTCCACACCCGTCCTCTGGTTCACTCTGTCCAGGGTGCCCTGGGATGCAGGCTGACCATGTCACCCACCCCTCTGGCCTCTGCCCCTACCTGTGGGGTTTACAGAACTCAGTGGAGTGGCATAGACGCCGCAGGTGCTCAGAAAGGACACATGAGAGAAAGCTCTTAGGACAACGCAGGGGCTTAATAATGACATGCTCAAACGAGGGTCCCATCTACCCTGGGAGTAAGGACATCTGAGTTCTGGTCTGGCTCTGTCCATAACTAGCCTGGAACCCCCACCCCAGGGCCTCAGTCTCCCCACCAGTGAAATAAGAGCCTGCCCATGGGGCTCTGCGGGCCCTCCCGGCGCTGACACTGCAGCTCTGCCACCGTCAGACGCAGCTGGCTGGGCCGAGTAGCAGCCTGGGCCCGGGAAGGGCTGCTTCTGCCCTCCGTGTGGCTGTGGGCAAGGCACTTCCCTCCCAGCCCCAGGTTCCTCCTCGGTCTGGGGAGGGTGTGATCACGTGGTCAGACACCATCAGGCCTGGGACCATCCCGCACCCCGGCTCTGGCCACAGCCAGGGTCACAGGAACTCTCGAGAGAAGGAGCTCCAGCTGGGACAGCAGGCAGGTCTGCAGGAAGGCCCGAGGTCAGGCTGTGAGACCCAGGGTAAGGCTGGGCAGGAAGCAGACTCCTGTGAGGACCTCAGGCAGTGGCCATGCTGGCCTCTCACAGAACTAACACCTAAGGGCAGGAGGGAGCGTCTGCAAAGCTCAGACCCTCCAGGGAGTTTCAGGCTTTTCTCCATTTCTAATCTGTGCGTGGTTCTCGGATCCAGCAGTTCTCAGCTGGGGGAAATTTTGGGCCAGGTGCGGTGGCTCACACCTGTAATCCCAGTGCTTTGGGAGGCCGAGGCAGGCTGATCGCTTGAGGTCAGGAGTTCAAGAGCAGCCTGGCCAACATGGTGAAACCCCGTCTCTACTAAAAATACAAAAATTAGCTGGGCATGGTGGCAGGGGCCTGTAATCCCAGCTACTCGGGAGGCTGAAGCAGGAGACTTGCTTGAACCCTAGGGGCAGAGGTTGCAGTGAGCCGAGATCACACGACCGCACTCCAGCCCGGGCAAGAATGAGACTCCATCTCAAAAAAAAAAAAAAAAAAAAAAAATCAACTGGGGTAAATTTTGTTCCCAGGGAACATTTGGCAATTTCTCGAAATGCTTTTGATTGTCACAACTGTTCGGGGTCTGGGGGTGCCAAGTGGCATCAAATGCGTGGAGGCCTGGGATGTTGCTCAGCACCCTGCAGTGCACGGAACGGCCCCTCACCAGAGAATGATCCCCAGATGTCAATGTCAAGGTTGTGAAACCCTGGTCTACCCCAAATCCCGTCCACTCTCCGAAGCCCTGCTCCGATTCCACCTCCTCCAGGAAGACATCCCTGGTCCCCAGTGAGTCGTTAGTGACTCCATTGGCCTTGTATCAGGTTTTCTGATATTCTCATTATTTGTGGTAGCAGCACAGCTCTCATTTCTCACCTTTTCACGCAGCCTCAGAGAAACATACAAAACATGTGTGCACCTTAGTGATTATCACAAAGTGAATTCTTTTGAACCGCCTTCCAGGCCAAGAAAGAGAACTTTGTTGCCCCTGAGTCCCCTGAGGTACAATAACAGCCCTGCCTGCTGTTAAGCAACCAGTGTCCTAACTTTTAGGGAAATAGCCTCGTTGTGGGTTTTGTTTTACAGGCTTATCACCCAACCATCCTTCTCTAGATAATGTAGTTTAATCTTGACGTGGTAGACCATTTTTTTTTTTTTTGAGACTGAGTCTCACTTTGTCAGCCAGGCTGAAGTGCAGTGGCGCAATCTCAGCTCACTGCAACCTCCACCTCCCCGGTTCAAGCAATTCTCCTGCCTCAGCCTTCCAAGTAGCTAGGATTACAGGCGCACACCACCATGCCTGGCTAATTTTTGTATTTTTAGTAGATGTGGGGTTTCACCATGTTGACCAGGCTGGTCATAAACTCCTGACCTCAAGTGATCCACCCCCCCTTGGCCTCCCAAAGTGCTGGGATTACAGGCGTGAGCCACCACGCCCAGCCTTGTAGACATTTTTGACGTGCCTTTTGATAAGTCTCTAGTCACCTGCAGGCTGCGCCTCCCTCCCTGTCTTTTCCTCGCCGTTTCCTGCAGCCCGCATTGTGTTGCTTCAGGTTCACTCTGCTGTTTGACACCCTCCTCTGTCCTCTACGTTCTCTGCAAATTGGCAGCTGGGTCCAGAAGCTCCGTCAGGCTCCTGTTCAGTCCCTTGGCGAGCCCAAAGGTTGCCTTGTGTTCCCACTGCAGGGCACGGGAAGGCCAGCTTGTCTCTCCCCTGGTGACGTCAGTAGCTCTTGATGCTCCAGGCCCAGGCCCATTAATTCATCAGGGGCTGCAATGATGCAATTCTGACTCTAATGTTCCTGTTTTAGTTATTCTGTGGCACCCTCTTAGAAAGAGATGCTTCTTCTCATCTGCTGCTGGCTACCCAGTGGCACAGTTCAAATAAGAAATGGGGCTGGGCCAGCCATAGTGGCTCATGCCTGTAATCCCAACCCTTTGGGAGCCAAGGCAGGTGAATCACCTAAGGTCAGGAGTTCAAGACCAGCCTGGCCAATATGGCGAAACCCTGTCTCTACTAAAAATACAAAAATTAGCCAGGCGTGATAGCATGCACCTCTAGTCTCAGCTACTCAGGAGGCCGAGGCAGGAGGATCACTTGAACTGGGGAGGTGGAGGTTGCAGTGAGCTGAGATTGTGCCACTGTGCTCCAGTCTGGATGACAGAACAAAACTCCATTTCAAAAAAGAGAAAAAAGAAATGCACCTTCTCTTCTTTACCAGTTTTGGGAGAGTGACTTAGTTCCCTCTCACCTTCCACCATGGAACAATCAAGGTTTTCTTATTTAATAACACTACAAACACTTGGATTTAAACATATTTGAGGTCGCACGGGTGGCTCCCGCCTGTAATCCCAGCACTGTGGGAGGCCGAGGCGGGCAGATCACCTGAGGTCAGGAGTTCGAGACCAGCCTGGACAAAATGGTGAAACCTTGTCTCTACTAAAAATACAAAAAAATTAATTAGGCATGGTGGTGCACACCTGTAATCCCAGCTGCTTGGGAGGCTGAGGCAGGAGAATTGCTTGAACCCAGGAGGCAAAGGTTGCGGTGACCCAAGATCGTGCCACTGGACTCCAGCCTGGGCGAAAGAGCAAGACTCCGTCTCAAAATAAATAAATAAATAAACAAACAAACATTTGAAAGCTTCAATCAATGGCAATGACTATCCTTTTCCAAGCTCAAATGGTTTGATCTTTGCCCAGTGGATGCCTCTTAAGTTGGCGGCAGAAGCCTTGGAGGTGGCCCTGGTGGCTTTGACGGTTTCGTGCTATGCAATGTGTCAGGGTGGCTCCACTCATCTTGCATATTTCCTGCTCCAGACCTAGAATCAGCCATTGCTCCAAAAAGCCCTGGTTTCTTGCTGTAGGAGTTTGTATTTCAAGACCACAGTGTGGATTCTAGGGATGCTCATTGCTACTGGGTTGGTCTTTTTTTTCCTTTAAGACCTTTACAGTGGACAGAGCTAGGAAATATACCAACATTTTTTTAAAACATAAAAGGGCCTCATGAGTTCAAACTAATATTTCCAATTAGAATTCAGGACTAGAGTTTTGACTTAAACCCTACTATATTACATTTGCCATCTTCTTTCTTCCACACTTAGAATTCTGCTTCTCAGGAAAATGAATGTACACTGTCTCTCATAGTTGTTTATTTGCTCTTTTCCACTTTACACACTCAATGGTCTTAGAATAACAATAGTAAAATCCTAATGACAACCACCACTACTGCTACTAATACTCTACCAGCATTACTGAAAACAATTACATTGTTCTCATATGCTCTCCCCATTCTCCACCCAGTTTCCTTATCCCATCTGTATCTACACGGTCAGAAAATGTAGCCATCACACGCAAAACATAGGTCCTAATAAGGGAAAAGGAGTGAGGCTGGCAAAAAAAAAAAAAACTCAGATAAGCTATAAGTCTGCCTTTCTTCTTGATCCAGAACACATAGCCCTCCTGCACAAATAACTCACAACCTTCCCACACCTGACTCATCACCAGACCCTTGGCTGATAGAAAAATGCAAGTTAGCTCGCTGCAACCTTGGTGTTAGCGATACTTCACATGGCCCACTCCAGCACACAGCACGAGCACCGTCCTGCGAAATCCCCAGCAAGCCTCTGTCTCCTGGCAGTCAGCTCCTCTCTTGCTGATCTGCCCATTGCACCCTTGCAACGTCTTTCTTTTCTTTCTTTCTTTCTCTCTGTCTCTCTTTCTCTCTTTCTCTGTTTCTCTCCTTCTCTCCTTCTTTCCTTCTTTCTTTCGACAGAGTCTCACTGTCACCCAGGCTGGAGTGCAACAGTGCGATCTCGGATCACTGCAACATCCACCTCCCAGGTTCAAGTGATTCTTCTGCCTCAGCCTCCTGAGTAGATGAGACTACAGCCATGCACCACCATACCTGGCTAATTTTTTTGTATTTTTAGTAGAGACGGGGTTTCACCATGTTGCCCAAGCTGGTCTCAAACTCCTGACCTCAGGTAATCTGCCCACCTTGGCCTCCTAAAGTGCTAGGATTACAGGCGTGAGCCACTGCATCCTACCTTTTTTTTTTTTTTTTTTTTTTTGAGACGGAGTCTCGCTCTGTCGCCCAGGCTGGAGTGCAGTGGCGGGATCTCGGCTCACTGCAAGCTCCGCCTCCCGGGTTCACGTCATTCTCCTGCCTCAGCCTGCCAAGTAGCTGGGACTACAGGCGCCCGCCACTACGCCCGGCTAATTTTTTGTATTTTTAGTAGAGACGGGGTTTCACCGTTTTAGCCGGGATGGTCTCGATCTCCTGACCTCGTGATCCGCCCGCCTCGGCCTCCCAAAGTGCTGGGATTACAGGCGTGAGCCACCTACCTTTCATACTTCAATAAATCTGCCTTTCTTTACCTACAACTGTCTTGGTAAATTCCTTTACTTCCAGTGACACTGGCCCCAAGTAGTCGCTATCCAAGACACTATACTCTCCTTTTCAGCCTTGGTTTAGCCTTGGTTCCTTATCTAGTGCTTCCATTGAGGACTCTATTGGTTGCCTGAAGGTCATTCTCTGATAGGCTCCTTGGGCCCCTCAGACCCTGAGAACATTATTTCCTGAGTCCTTTGGGGCTGCTTTTTGTTTGTGCCTTTTATACTCCAAAGTCTGTTTTGCTGGGTGCATAGTACTTGGCTCACATTTTCTCTCGAGTATTTTAAGTACAGTATGTTTCTCCTTTTTCTTCTGGCAGAACGTGTTGTGGTTGAAAAGTCGCACGACAATCTAATTTTTATTTTAGTATAAGTCCCTCACTCTTTTAACCTGGACTCAAGGATTTTTTTTTTTTTTTTAGATTGGTAATTTTACTAGAACATGTTTTGATGTTGGTTACCCTGGGTCTGTCTTCTCAAATACATGGTGTACTCTTTCAATATGTAGTTCCAAATCTTTTTGTTTTAGGGAAGTTTTCTGAAGGTACAGATGTTTGTATTTATTCTGTTCTTTCCCTAGGGTCATCTCATGGGAAGAGATGTTAGTCTTGTCAAATGTTTTGTCACTGCCTAACTTGGGACCTCACTGTTCCTAGATGTCACCTCCTGCTGCTCCTGGCTCAGGGAAGGCAGCTTAGTCTCTCGGCAGAGCAGGCCACAGCCCCCAACACCCAGGCCAGCCCCCCAGCCAGCTGCTCCTGCAGCCAGACACCTCATTGTCCAACCACTGCCTGCGTCTGTGGGTCTACCTCACCCCCATCCAACATCCACAGGGCAGCCAGAGCCCCCAGGTCTCCCACCATGGTAAGAACACACCCAGCCCTAGAGGGGCAGGCAAGGCTCCCTGGGGGCACACCCTTGTCTCTATCTTCTTGTCTCCATCTTCCTCTCGTCTCCGTCTTCCTCTTGTCTTCTGGTCAGGTCAGTGCTGTTGCTGTGAGCGGGTTGAGGCTCTTGAGATGTGAACCACTGTGGGTTTCCCCCGGACTTCCTGCTACCCACAACCCTTCCCCCATCTGGGGTGAGTGGCCCGGGAAAGGGGTGGCAGAGCGATTCACGAAGAACAGAGGGGCTGAAATCGAGGCGGCAGCAGCAGAAACCCAGGCTCTGGCCATGCCCTGCCTGCCACCCAAGCCCACAGGGAGGGTGATACGAGGACAGACAGAGAGCCGGCCCCACCTCACTTTAGGCCAAGTCCCTTTCCAGGGTGGGGTGGGAATGACAGAAGCTCAGAAAAGTTTGGGGGAACTGAGAGAGAGGGGACTGGAAAGCCCTTTCCTTCACCTTCACTCCAGCCCGAGGCAGCCTCCCAGGCACACACATCTAGAGTGGCAGAGCGCATGTCCCCAGGGGCCCGAGGGTGTGCAGCTTTGGGCGGACCCACAGGGGCCTGTCTGTTAGACACAGGGCCCACAGCCATTTCCTGCATGGCGTGACGCCCAGAGACAGACGGAACTGGGGCCACCCGACCAGGTGTCAACACTCAGGGTCAGAGGCCCCAGCTCCATGCCAACCCCACAGCCTGGACTAGGACAGACTCCCAGGACAAGAGGAGGCCCCAGAGGAACTGAGAATAAGCTGGATAGTTAGGAACAAGCTGGCCACGACCCACATCACATTCAGCCCTAGAGCCACGTGCAGCATCGGGTACGGAGCGGGAGCTGATCAATGCTTTCAGAACTGGAAATCCCAAGTCATGTGAACAGAAGAATAGGTGCACTCTGTTTGACTAGTCAGGAAGCCAAGGAACTTGCCCAGTCACCCAGCAAGAACATGGGGACGCTGGGGTCTGAGCCGGGTATTCTCTGAGGCCTGAGCCCAGCCCACCACCCACCCATCACAAGCCATGCTGAGTGCTAAGTTGGCCCCAGCCTGGCTCCTGGCTGGTCTGGGCAGGCCACCACGGCCCTGGGGCTGCAAGAAGGTGTCGGGCTAATCCCCAGGGAGGGCACTCATCTGGGAGGGAGGCCTGGGCAACTCACGGAGCCAGGGGGTAGAATTGAGGCCTGAGCAAAGGCTATGCGGCTCAGCTTTGGAGTGTCTTCAAGAGAGAAGGATGCACCCCCTGCCGCAGAGCAGACCCTCCCAGCCCATCCACCCCACATGTACCCAGAAGAGGAGGAGCTTCTCAAACTGGTTCCCCAGGGCCTGGCCTGGCCCGGGGCCCTAGCTGTCCACCCCTCTGGCCTGAGCCAGGTTTGATTTCCTGCTACTTTGGAGGGGAGGGGTCCCGAGGCACCTAGGCCCCTGCCACTCTGAATGCAAGTGCAGTGGCTGCCAGAAGCCACTCATCCATTCACCGATTCCAGTTGTGCCCCTGTTATATGTCAGGCACTGTTCCGGGTGAAGAGGGCGGCAGAGAGCGCGCTGGCAAGCTGGCCTCATGGAGCTGGCATTCTAGTGAGGGAGTCAGACACCAAGTGAGAGGTGACATTGAGAACACAGCTAAATTGACACAGTGCCAGGTATTGTTCTAAGTGTTTTGTTCATGTCACTTAATTGTCACAGCACCCATGACATAGATATATTGCTGTCTCCACTTGCAGATGGGGAGGCCGAGACACAGAAGAGTGAACCTGAGGAGTCTGCGGCCAGAGTCCATGTTAAATACGTGAAATGGAGAGGGTATCAGATGTGGGAGTGCAGAGCAGACAAGGAAAGCAGTAGCAGGAGAGAAGCGCATGTGTCTCTGTGCGCACGTGTGTGTGTACGTGCATGTATCTGTGTGTACAGGTGTGTGTGTGTGTGCATGTGTATGGGTGTACATGTGTATATCTGCATGTACCTGTGTGCAAGCATGTGTGTACTGTATGTGTGTATGCGTAGGTTGTGTGCATGTGTGTCTGTCTGCATGTATGCATATGTGCGTCTATGAGAGGGTGCATGTGTGGCTATGTGTGTATATCTGTGTGTGTGTCTGTGTGGGCCTTGCGGGAGGTTGGTCACCATTTCTTCAGTCTTGTGGGTATACTGCTCTCTGGAGGGGGCTCTCCCGGGCACTTGAGGTGGGCTCTGTGTCTCCATTATGTGATGTGACCAGGGCCACAGAAACCAGGCTCCCTGTGCCCACGCCCACCCACTCCAGACCTGGAGAAGGGAGGTGGCACGCACAAGGGTGCACACGGCTAGAAGCCTTACCAAGCAGATGGATGCAGAGATGGCTCATTCATTCATTCTCCTAGACAACGTGGCAGGCAATGCACTGAGTTCTGAGGAAGGACCGGGGGAAGGAACCGTATTGCTGGGGACACGTTCAAATCCCAGCTCTGCCACTGCAGCTGAGAACTGAAGGACTGCAGGCCTCCCTTGGAAAGTTGCCCTGGGGATGGGGAGCCGTCGGGCTGTGAAGCACACACCCACCCACCTCCTGCTGCCACACAACCTCACGCCCCCTTTCCTGACTTCTTTTCACCCCGTCTGGGCCTGACAGGCTCAGTCCTGTCACTCCTGCCCTCCAAAGTCCAGGGGAGCTTTGTCCATAGGGCCGACTGCTCTCCCCACATTCACCCCTGCTGGGGCTGGACAGACAACTGGGGCTGTCTGCCAGAAAAGGCAGGCCCTGTGTTCTATAGAGGCACTGGGCCACAGAGGCAGGAGTGGGCTTGAGAAACGGTGCTCCTCGCACAGGCAAAGATGGGAAGGCCCCAGGATAGGGCACTGGGGCCCACAGAGGGACTGTGACCTCACAGGTGGCCATGCCTGAGACTTGCCCTAGCAGCTGGGTGTCTGCTCCTGACAGGATATGGGGTTGCGCCTGGACAGAGTTGATGAGACACATGGACAAATAAGACACATGGAAGAAGTGCCCGGAGGCACACTGCGTTGAGCGCAGACACTACCAGTGTAGACAGCCACACTGTGACGCGTTGTTGAATGGGGTGAATAGATGAAACCTCAGGTCCCAGGTCCCTCCGTCTCTGTATGGATTTGTTTTGCTACTGCCGTTCCCCAGGGCCCCCCAGTGCCTGGCACACAGCAGGTGCCCGATACATACATGCCAAACGAATAAGGAAATGGGCAAATGAGAAGGTGTGATGGGAAGGACTCATGCTGCCAGGTGGCAGGGAGGTTCTGGGTGACTTTTTCTTTTTTCTGATTTTTAAATGGCTTTGTAATAACTACAGTATATATAACTTCTAATATGAGAAAAAAGTTATTTCAATGTTTTGAAATAACCACACAGCGAGGGTAGCCACAGGGACATGAAGGGGCTTTTGGCCAGAAGCAGCCCTGTGACTCCCTCACAGTCACAGTGACCAATGTGGCATCCACACACGGCTGCGACGTGGACGTGGCCCAGGAACCACTGGCGCCGAGGGCTGGGCTGGGACTTTCTTTCCTTTTCTCAGTTCCTCCATGGCTGTCATGTTCCTGGGTGATCAATCATATTCAGGAAGGAAGGCGGGGTGGGGGTGCCCCCTGTGCAGGGGGAGTCAGCCACGGAGGTGGGGGTCGGGGCCGTGAGGCTGTGAGGGCTCCAGAGCCCGGGCTGCTCACTTCACTTCTTGGAGCCCCCATTTTCCCACCTGTAAAATGGGGTGCTGACGCAGACCCCTGGTGGTTATGAGAAGTGGCTGCTGCCGGCTCGACACTACTGTGTGCCTGGGAGGCCTCTTTCCTTCCCTTTCCCTGCCCTGCTGCTCACAGGGTTGAGCAAGACTGCTTATGCTGGTTTGCTGCCCCCAATCTCAGAACCCACAGTGGCTGCACATGGCAAGGCTGGTTCCCACCCCACTCATCACTGAGCGCCACGGCCCTGCTGCGGGCACCTCGCCCCTCTGTAACATGGGATCAGTAATGCCCATCCCTTGAGCCCCTTGAGATGAGTGGCTATGCTCAGAGGGCCCTCTGGCCCCAGCCCCACCCTCCCTCGTGGGGACCTGCACTTTCTCTGGCAGATTCCTCTACTGCGCCTGGCCACAAATATGATCTTGATAAATAACTCATCTTCATCTTACTGAAGGGACTTAGGGCAGAGATCTAGTTTACAACATGGTCCCCACAGTGTCTGACTCTAGTAGACTTCAAAAAATAACTGTTGGATGGATGCATCAAAAGGTAGACAGGTAGATGCAGGTGGGTGAACCGGAGAATGAAGGATAGGTGAGTGGCTGGTGTGAGTTTCAGTCACCTCCTTACAGCTTGCTAATGGCAGAACTGGCAAGGGTCCCACTTCAAGTCCAGACACTCAACCGCTTCTCTGAAAGAGGTCTGTGCTGCCTTTCACTCACACCCAACAACACATCTGCGTTCACTGGATCTGCACGTCAGGGACCCCCACAATCGCACACGTCAGGGACCCCCACAATCGCACCACTCTCCGGATTCCTCCCTTGGGATCCACCCCAGGAGGTTCCAGCACCTCCGACCTAGGCACATGTTTAATTTCTCCCTCCAGACATTGGCAAGGTCAGCGTCACGGACCTGGAGCACATGGCATCACACAGAGCTTCACTCAAAGGGCCCCACGTTGGTTTAATGTTCTGCTGTCACCACCATGGAATTATCAATAATTTATCTTTTTTAACATAGCCATATCGTGAAACAGATGATTTTATCTTTAAACTCGTGTTTTGTAAGTGAAGTTCAATGGGACAGCGTCAGGGTGTGTGAGCAGAGGAGACCTGTGTAATCCAAGTGTCCGGGTCCTTGCCGCCCTGTCCACATTCAGCGTTCACCGTGTCCTATGAGCACAGAATTCTGGTGGGGCTGACGTACCTGGGACGTCTGAGATCCGGGTTCCTATGGGGTGTTGGCAGAATGCACGAGCCCCAGAGGTGACAGTGGGTTTAGATTTGTGCAGCCTTTCCATTGTCCTGTAAGATCGAAATACACGTGCCTGTACGAACTGTGCACTACCCATGTGCCATTGTGGCGCGTTAGTGCACAAGTGAGACGCTCTGCGCCTAAGACGGCATCGCACCGTAAAATGATGAGCCCAACAATTCATGCGAATGACTCGACTGCTTGTTTTTCCTTTACTTAGAATGACATTAATTACCAAACTTAAAGAACCACAGCAAGTCAGGAGGAAGGAAGGGAATGGGAGGAGCCGGTGCTGAGCCCCTCAGGCCGAGTCTGGGCCCTCCCGGGGCCGCAGGAGGACCCCTGGTGTCACCGCACTTTCGCAGAAAGACCCCTGGTGGTGTCCACGGGCATTCCTGTGTTGGCTCATTCATTCATTCAGCCAGTCACCCGCAGCACGCACCGCCCACCTTCAGCGTGGCCTGGGACAGGACACCGAGGGGTTCCAGGTAGGGATCAAGCTGGGGAGGGCACTGCAGGTCACAACGGCAGGTGAAGGCGAGGAGGAGACACAGCCGGGCCCACGAACAGGGTGAGAAGAGCTTCCTGTCACTAGCAGGGACAGCGCAAGGGGGACACTGCGAGCAGGAGGTCCCTTCTCTTCCCGTGCCTCAGGGTCCCCAGAAGGAAGCTAAGTGCCTGGCTCCGGCTCTGAAGTCCCGGGGGCCGGCTCGCCTTCCCAGCAGCAGAGAACTCCGCGGAGAGGGCGCGCGCCCCCTAGCGGGCCCGGGGAAGAAGCCGGGCCGGTCCCAGCCTCCGCTCCCTTGCATACGCCTCTCCGCCAGCCTCTCTGGGGAGGGGAGGATGCCTAGCAGGTCGTGGTCTCAGCTGAAGCTTCAGGAGGGAGCTAAGCCTGACCCTGTAGGGGACTCTGCAGGGTGAGCTTGTGGCAGCAGGGCTTTCCTTACCCCCACTGCTAGTGGTTGGCTGAGGGCTGCCCTGGGAGATCTGAATTCCCAGCTACTTCTGACTCTGCATGTACAGACAAAGCAGAATCTGGTAGTCCAAGATCAGTCCTTCAGATAAAAGCTTCAGGCTCCAGCCCTCTAGAGGAAGCACACCCAGGTCAGGGGAAGGATGCACACCCACCCGCACGGTCTCTGTGCACAGGTGCACAACTGGGGCTCAGTACGGAGAATGCACACGGGACTTGCTTGCCTGTGTACAAACTGTCGCTGGACACACTGGGAGTCTGACATCAGTGGCTGCCTCTGGGGAGGCCCCAGGAAGCTGGGCAAGTCACTCTTCTGTACTCTTTTTAACTCTGCACGACAGATAACTTCTACCTACTCAAAAAATGTTATCACATTAAAAGCCAATCTTGCCACATTCATGGATCAGAAGGCTTACTAGTGTTACAATGGCAATAACTCAACAAATCGACATATGGATTCTGCGGAGTCAAAATCTATCAAAACCTCCCCTGACAATCTTGGCAGAAATTGACAAGCTGAAACTGAAGTTCATACAGAAATACAAGGGAACCATAATAACCAAAACAATCCTGAAAAAAGAATAAAATTAGAGAAGTCACACTGCTTCATTTCAAAACATACTACAAAGCTATGGTAATCAAGATTGTGTGGTACTAGCGTAAAGATAGATGAATGGAATAGAATTGAAAGTCTAGAATAAGCCCTTACATTTATGGTCAGTTGATATTTGACAGGGTGTCAAGACAATTCAGTTGGGGGTGGGGAGAAATGGTCTTTTTAACAAATGGTGCTGGGACAGCTAAATATCCACATATAAATGGATGAAGTTGGACTGCTCCCTTACACCACTGTGAAACTGATATATGGGATTTCATCCACGGTTCCTGACTTGTAACCCCCATAGCCCTTGCTATAATCTTTCGTTATAATGTTGGGGCACTTTAGGCCTCAGGAGCAGGCTGCAGAAAGCAGAATCTCTCTGACCTCCTTCTGTTTTCCTTTTATATGCCCAAGGCAGGACTCTAATCAGATTGTGGGCCAAAAGACCCTCATTCAGCCAGGTGCGGTGGCTCATGCCTGTAATCCCAGCACTTTGGGAGGCCGAGGCAAGTGGATCATCTGAGCTCAGGAGTTCAAGAGCAGCCTGGCCAACATGGTGAAACCCTGTCTCTACTAAAAATACAAAACTTAGCCAGGCATGGTGGCAGGTGCCTGTATTCCCAGCTACTCGGGAGGCTGAGGCAGGAGAATTGCTTGAACCCAGGAGGCAGAGGTTGCAGTGAGCCGAGATCGCGCCATTGTACTCCAGCCTGGGCAACAGAGACTCCATCTCAAAAAACAAAAACAAAAACAAAAAAAACCAGACCAGGGCGCAGTGGCTCATGCCTGTAATCCCAGCACTTTGGGAGGCTGAGGCAGGTGGATCACGAGGTCAGGAGATCGAGACCATCCTGGCTAACATGGTAAAACCCTGTCTCTACTAAAAAATACCCAAAAAATTAACCAGATGTGGTGGCGGGCACCTGTAGTCCCAGCTACTCCGGAGGCTGAGGCAGGAGAATGGCGTGAACCCGGGAGGCGGAGCTTGCAGTGAGCCGAGATCGCGCCACTGCACTCCAGCCTGGGCGACAGAGTGAGACTCCGTCTAAACACACACACACATACACACAACCTCATTCCAGAAAGGGTCCTGCCCCATACTCTGGAGGAAGGAATGCTACACAGAGGAGCCAAGAGAGGCCAGAACAGACAGGCCTTGCTGGGTTCAAATCATGTTCTTTCTGTCCAGTCACATTCCTACATGGTTGTTGATCGTGCCGATGTGAAGAAGCCTCCATAAACCCCCAAAAGGATGGGTTCGGGGCTTCCAGATGGCTGAACAGGTCCCTGGAGGGTGGTGCACCCAGGGAGGATGTGGAAGCCCCTCACCTCTTCCCTATGCCTTACTTGAGGCATCTTTTTTTTTTTTGAGACAGGCTCTATTGCCTAGACTGGAATGCAGTGGTGTGACCACAGCTCACTGTAGCCTCGACCTCCTGGGATCGAGCAATCCTCTCACTTCAGCCTCCAGAATAGCTGGAACTATAGGTGGACATCACCACATCAGGCTAATTTTTTACTTTCTGTAGACATGGGGTATTGCGATGTTGCCCAGGTTGGTATCAAACTCCTGGCCTCAAGTGATCCTCCCGTCTCAGCCTCCCAAAATGCTGGGATTCCAGGCGGGAGCCACCACACCCGGCCAGAGCATCTCTTCATCTGTATCCTTTGTAGTTTCCTTTATAACAAACCAATAAATGTAAGTAAATGTTTTCCTGAGTTCTGTGAGCAGCTCCAGCAAGTTAAGCAAACCCAAAGAGGGGGTCGTGAGTGACCCAACCAGAAGCCGGTCAGTCAGAAGTTCCCAAGGCCCAGGCTCGTGACTAGTGTCTGAAGCAGGGGGGAGTTTTGGAGACGGAGCCCCCAACCTGTGGGATCTGATGCTGTTTCCAGGTAGTGTCAGAACTGAAGAAGAGGACCCCCAGCTGGTGTTTGCTACAGAATTGATTGCTCGCTTACTGGGGAGGAGAAACCCCCACATATTTTGGGGTCAAAGAAGTCTTCTGTGTTGATTATTGTAGTTTTGGTGTGAGAGCAGAAGAAAAGCACATTTGAAAGGTTATTTTAAACAATCATATACAAAAATTAGCTAAATGTGGATCAAAGACCTAAACATAAGAGCTAAAACTATAAAATTCTTAGAAGAAAATACAGGAGTAAATAGATCATCACCGGTCAGACACGGTGCATGGTGGCTCACGCCTATATCCTAGCACCTAGGGAGGCAGAGGCAGGAGGATAGTTTGAGCTCAGGAATTCAAGACCAGCCTGGACAATATAGCAAGACCCCATTCTCTTTTTTTAAATTTTCTATTTTTTGAGACAGACTCTCACTCTGTCGCCCAGGCTGTAGGGCAGTGGCATAATCTCGCCTCACTGCAACCCTTGGCTCCTGGGCTCAAGCGATTCTCCTGCCTCAGTCTCCCAAGTAGCTGGGATTACAGGCACCTGCCACCATGCCCGGCTAATTTTTGTATTTTTAGTAGAGACAGGGTTTCGCCATGTTGGCCAGGCTGCTCTCCAACTCCTGACCTCAGGTGATCCACCCGCCCATAAGCCACCACGCCCAGCCAAGACCCCATTCTTGATTTAAAAAATAATAAAAGTAGCCGGGTGTGGTGGCTCACACCTGTAATCCCAACACTCTGGGAGGCCAAGGCAGGCAGATCACCTGTGGTCGGGAGTTTGAGACCAGCCTGACAAACATGGAGAAACCCCATCTCTATTAAAAACACAAAATTAGCCAGGCATGGTGGCGCATGCCTGTAATCCCAGCTACTCGGGAGGCTGAGGCAGGAGAATCACTTAAACCTGGGAGGCAGAGGTTGCGGTGAGCCAAGATCATGCCATTGCACTCCAGCCTGGGCAACAAGAGCAAAACTCCATCTCAAAAACAAAAAAAAAATTTTTTTAAGTAAAAATAAATAAATACAATTCATCATGACCTTGGATTAGGAATGGTTTCTTCGCTATGACATCAAAAGCACAGGCAACAAGAGGGGAAAAAATAGATAAGATAGGTGGCTTTCATTAAAAGTAAAAACTATTGTTCTTCAGAGGATTCATTAAGAAGTGAAAAGATGAACCACCGAATGGGAAAGAATATTTGCAAATCCTGCATCTGAGAAAGGATGTGAATCCAGAACATATAAAGAACTCTTACCACCTAAAAATGAAAAGGCTAATAATCCAATTCAAAAATGGGCCAAGGATGGAAAAAGACATTCATCTCTTCAAAGAAGATACACAAACAGCAAACAGCACGTGAAAAGACGTTCAACGTTATTGGCCATCAGAGAAAGGCAACCAAAACTAAAATGAGAGGCCACTTGTTTCGGTCTGTTTAGGCCACGGGGTGGCTGAAACAACAGAAATTTATTTCTTTACTGTTCTGGAGTCTGGCAATCCTGAGATCAAGGTCCCATCAGGGTTGGTTTCTCACGAAGCCTCTCTTCCAGGCTTACAGACAGCTGCCTTCTCACTACGTCCTCACATGATAAGAGAAAGAGAGAAAAATCTGGCATCTCTTCCTCCTCTTCTAAGGATGCCAGTCCTCTCGGATCAGGGCCCCACTCTCCTGACCTCCTTTACCTTTAATTACCCCCTTAAGGCCCTGTCTCCAAATACAGTCACTTTGGGGACTACGGCTTCAACACATGAATTTTGGGGAACACAATTCAGTCGATAACACGGCTCACACCCACTAGGTCGCTTACTCAAAAACACAATGACAAGTATCATAGAGGGTATGGAGGAATCGGAACCCTTGGACCTGCTGGTGGGAATGCGAAACGGCACGGCCCCTTTGGAAAACAGTCTGGTAAGTTCCTCAGTCAAACGCAGGGTTTCCATATGACCTAGCAATTCCACACACAGGCTTAAAAGAATTAAAAACATGTCAACACAACACACACGTACACAGATGCCCACAGCAGCATTGTTCGTAACAGCCAAAGTGTGGGAACAGCCCAAATGCCTGTCAACTCATGAACGGATCCACACAATGGAACATTCTCTAGCAGTAGAGAGGAAGTACTGACACACACTACGCAGCCTCCAGGGGAGGGACCGGGAAAACACACCGAGCGAAAGAAGCCAGACACAAAGGGCACACACACTTTGCATAATTCCATTTACATGAAATGGTCCAGAGAAGGCAAGTCATAGAGACAGAAAATAGATCCATGGTTGTTTAGGGTTGAGGATGATGGGGGAATTGGGAGGTTACTGCTTTTTTTTTTTTTTTTTTTTTTTTTTTTGAGGTGATGAAAATGTCCTGGCCAGGTGTGGTGGCTCACGCCTGTAGTCCCAGTGCTTTGGGAGGCCAGGCTGGGCGGATCACCTGAGGTCAGGAGTTCAAGACCAGCCTTGCCAACACAGTGAAACCTCGTCTGAAACCCTGTCTCTACTAAAAATACGAAAATTAGCCGGGCATGGTGGGGGGCACCTGTAATCGCAGCTAATTGGGAGGCTGAGACAGAAGAATCGCTTGAACTCGGGAGGCTGAGGTTGCAGTGAGCCGAGATCGCACCATTGCATTCCAGCCTGCGTAACGAGAGTGAAACTCCATCTCAAAAAAAAAAAAAAAGAAAAAGAAAAAAGAAAAATGTTCTAAAATTGATCATGGTGATGGTTGCACAAATCTGTGAATACACTAAAAATCGACGTACACTTTAAATAGGTGAACTGGATAGTATATGAATTCTGTCTCAATAAAGCTCTTCCAAAACAAACCAAAACGTAACAAAACCAGTCTTGGGAGGAGGGTTTAATTCAGCTGCAGGCTGTGAGGACGGCTGGAGCTGGGCTCAAATCTCAGCTCTCCACTAACCACCTGTGCCCCCTGGAGCTGACTGCTTCACTTTGTGAACGTGGGTTTCCTCCTCTGTGACCTGGAGCCAGTAACATCGCCAGCTCCGGGGCTGTCAGAGGGGTTAAGGCAGATGAGGCAAGAGACTGTCTCACAAGAAGGCTGCCCCCCAATCCGGGCTCAACCCTGGGGCCGTGGAGTGCCGTAAGACCTCTCCAGCCTCCTAGCTGACGCCCCACCCCGCAAAACACCTGACACAGGATGCAGGTCCCAGGGTCTTTGGGACCCTCTGTGACCACCCCACTTACGTCTCCAGCCCCTGCACTCACCAGCTTCCCAAATGTGAATAAGTCTCCCCAACTTCCACGACTTTACTGTTGTAGGTGGAATTGCGGCCCCCCAAAGATATGCTCAAGCCTGAAGCCCCAGTACCTGTGGATGGGACCTTACTGGGAAACAGGGTCTTTGCAGATGTCATTCAGTTAAGAAGAGGCCATGCTGGATTAGGGTGGGCCCCAAACCCAGTGGCTGGGGTCCTTATAAGAAGAGGTAAGTTTGCAAAGAGAGACGCAGGAGAAGGCCAGGTGAGGATGGAGGCAGAGATTGGAGTCATGTGTCTACGGAGCCAAGGAAGGCCAACTATGGTTGGCAACCACCAGAAACTAGGAAGAGGCAGGGAAGGATCCTGCCCTGGAGACTTCAGAGAGCATGGCCCTGCCCACACCTGGATTTTAGACTTCCATCCTCCAGCACCATGAGAATAAACTCCTGGTGTTCTAAGCCGCCCAGCTTGTGGTGCTTGGTCATGCAGCCCTGGGAGACAAATTCACTGACCTGTTCCCACTGTATCCGGAATTGGTGGGTTCTTGGTCTCACTGACTTCAAGAATGAAGCCGCATACCCTCGCGGTGTGTTACAGTTCTTAAAGTTGGCGTGTCTGGAGTTTGCTCCTTCTGATGTTCGGATGTGTTCGGAGTTTCTTCCTTCTGGTGGGTTCGCGGTCTCGCTGGCTCAGGAGTGAAGCTGCAGACCTTCGCAGTGAGTGTTACAGCTCCTAAGGCAGCGCGTCTGGAGTTGCTCATTTCTCCTGGTGGGTTCATGGTCTCGCTGGCTTCAGGAGTGAAGGTGCAGACTTTCCCAGTGAGTGTTACAGCTCATAAAGGCAGTGTGGACCCAAAGAGTGAGCAGCAGCAAGTTTTATCACAAAGAGCGAAAGAACAATACTTTCACAGCGTCGAACTGAACCCAAGCAGGTTGCCACTGCTCGCTCTGGCAGCCTGCTTTTATTCTCTTATCTGGCCCCCACCCACATCCTGCTGATTGGTCCATTTTACAGAGAGACTTGTGGTCTGTTTTGACAGGGTGCTGATTGGTGCGTTTACAATCCCTGAGCTAGACACAAAGGTTCTCCACTTCCCCACTAGATTAGCTAGATACAGAGTGTCCACACAGAGGTTCTCCAAGTCCCCACTAGAGTAGCCAGATACAGAGTGTCGATTGGTGCATTCACAAACCCTGAGCTAGACACAGGGTGCTGATTGGTGTGTTTACAAACCTTGAGCTAGATACAGAGTGCTGATTGGTGTATTTACAATCCCTTAGCTAGACATAAAGGTTCTCCAAGTCCCCACCAGAGTAACTAGATACAGAGTGCCAATTGGTGCATTCACAAACCTTGAGCTAGACACAGGGTGCTGATTGGTGTATTTACAATCCCCTAGCTAGACATAAAGATTCTTCAAGTCCCCACCAGACTCAGGAGCCCAGCTGGCTTCACCCAGTGGATCCCGCACCGGGGCTGCAGGTGGAGCTGCCTTCCAGTCCTGCGCCCTGCACCGGCACTCCTCAGCCCTTGGGCAGTGGATGGGACTGGGCGCTGTGGAACAGGGGGCGGCACTCGTCAGGGAGGCTCGGGCCGCACAGGAGCCCACCGCGGTGGAGAGGCTCAGACATGGCAGGCTGCAGGTCCCCAGCCCTGCCCCACAGGAGGCAGCTAAGGCCAACGAGAAGTCGAGCACAGCAGCTGCTGGCCCAGGTGCTAAGCCCCTCACTGCCCAGGGCCGGCAGGGCCGGCTGGACACTCCGAGTGCAGGGCCCACTGAGCCCACGCCCACCCGGAACTCACACTGGCCCGCAAGCACCGCGTGCAGCCCTGGTTCCCGCCGGCGCCTCTCCCTCCACACCTCTCCACAAGCTGAGGGAGGCGGCTCTGGCCTTGGCCAGCCCAGAAAGGGGCTCCCACAGTGCAGCGGCAGGCTGAAGGGCTCCTCAAGCGCGGCCAGAGTGAGCGCCAAGGCCGAGGAGGCGCCGAGAGCAAGCGAGGGCTGTGAGGGCTGCTAGCACGCTGTCACCTCTCACCACCACAACGCCACTACCATTTACCTTCCCCTGTCCCAGTACTGCCCCATTCTTCCAGGTCCATGTCAAAAGCCTTCTCTTCCTCCAGGAAGCCTTCCCCAGGTGTCCTCCTTCCTCCTCCCCCTCCCATTGCCACCTCTGCAAGAGTCTGCTCCTGCCCCCAACATCCCATAGCACCCTGTACCCGACTATAAAATGTATCACATTCTGCTCTAACGTGAAATATGCCAGGTGACCTTCTTAAAGGGGTTCCAAAGATGCTTCCTTCCTGGAAGGAAAGGGATTTTGAAGGATGAGTAAGAGTTTGCCAATTGGCCAAAAGTTTGATGGCTTTGTCCTGGTCAGTGAGTTTATTTATTTACTTATGTATGTATTCATTCAATAAGTATTTGTTGAGTAACTTTTGCACTGACTTGTTCCTCAGAATGTGGCCCCTGGGGGCAGGATAGCACCTCATGGATCTCTGGCCACACCCCTAACCACCATGCTTACCCCTCCCGCCCAAGAGCTCCTGGCAGCTCTGGGTCAGCCTCAGCCTGAATTTATGCTTAGCCAAGGTTTGTGAATCAAGGGTGTTTTCTAAGTGTGTGTGGCAGGAGGAAGAGGACAGAGGGCCTCCTGGGTTAGAGAAAATGGAGGCCCCTCTGTGTTGAAAAGCACACGGGCTGGTCAGACAGTCCCGATTCCAAATCCTTGCTCTGCTCCTTTCCAGCCGCGTGGCCTGGCAAGGTCTAAGGCCTGCTGCTTCTGTGCAATGGGGACGCGGGAGGCATCCCCGCTGGGCCTTGGAGCCCCTCCCGCAGTAACTAGTGCTGGCCAGCAGGGGGCGCAGTCGACACCGCCCCACCATCCCCCACCCACCTTCCTCGGGGCACAGGCCGGGCTGAATTCCAGGCGGCGTTAAAGCCAGTGCCTCTCTGCCCACAGGCCCCCAGCAAAGCTCCGAGAGGCTAGTGGCCGGCCAAGAAGGAGGAAGGAGGGTGGTGAGGCCTGCAGGCGCCAGATCACGGGAGCCGCTGGTGGTCTGAACGCAGGGGAGCCACGGGGTCTGGTGTGCGTCTCGAACTTTCTCTTAGGCGGTGGGGTGGAGAGGGGCCTGATGGGCAGGAAGGCCTGTGAGGAGGCCAGCGCCATCTCCAGGGGCAGCCCCAGAAGGCTCAGGACTCCAGGCTGCTGCGGCCAGGCTCCTCAGCCCGGCCTTTCTCAGTGGCCAGCGACAGAAACCCGCACAGGGTATGCGGTGGGAGGACCCAAGGCCTGCCATGCAGCTGCCTGGAGGACGCTGGAACCAGGGCTGGGAGAGCTGTGGGACTCCTGTCTGGCTCTCCTGTGTGCTCTTCTCAGCCTCGTGGCCTCCTTCCTCTCTCCTGCAGATGGTCTCTCTCCATGGGTAGTAAGCGTGGCCCCTGACATCTCCCAAGCCTTGTGTAAAAGTCTCAGGGAGGGAAGTCAGGGGCCCCTCTCAGGCAGATACCCACCCCAGACCATTAGTCTGTGCCTGGGGACAGTCAGGCAGCAGCATGGAGTGCCTGGGAGCCATCTGGATGGGGCAGGGATACACAGCTGCCAGAAGAAAGGAGCCACATCAGACCTCTGCAGCCAGCAGACCCCGGCCGTCCCGGCCTCGCGGACACCTGCTTTCCAAATAGGGACTTCCCCTAGTTTACACAAAGGTCTGTGCGATGGCCCAGACAGCTGGACGAGTCAGGCCCAGGCACACAATTCCCAGCGTGAGCCCACGTGTCTTCCCGAAGACCCAGTGCAGGAGGGCTTGGAGGCATCCTGAAGATCTAGGTTCAAGTCCTGGCTCTGTCACTAAGGTAGACTAAAGATGGCCACACATTCTTTAGCATCCTTTCGTTGAGAGGCAGGACCTGTGTCTGCTTGGCCAACAACATATGGCAGCAGTGATGTACTTCTGGACCTGGGCTTGGAGAGAAGGGCAGTTCCTGTCTCTAGGCCGCTTGCTCTTGGAATCCGGCTGCTGCAGCGTGAGGAAACCCAGGAAGGCGCCTCCAGCCCACAGAGAGCTCCCAGCACACAGCCTCAGAGAGCTCCCAACACACCACCGGCTCCAGCCAGCAGGCCAAGGGGGTGGCCCCGCTCCGAGGTGGCTACCTCGGCTCACGGAGCTGCCCTAGCAGATGCCACAGAGCACAGCCACACTATCCTCGCCAAGTCCTCCCCAGTCTACAGATTTGGGAACAAAACAAAGTGATTTATGAAATGCTTTAAGTGACTGAGTTTGTTACACAATCAGTACTAGAACCCTTATCATGAAAATGACCCTGGGCAAAATAGTCAAGTTCTGTGAAACATGTTTCCTCATGCAAAAGTGGACAGAGTCTCCGCCTTACAGGATTCCAGCACAGGGAAAGCACCTAACACAGCACAGGACGGGGACAGCCCCCATCCACCTCTGTGTCCCCAGCACGCAGTAGCTGAGAGGAGTTGAAACAAATGGCCCTGGATTGTGTTTCTTTGGGAGCCCCCACTTCTGAGTCCCCTCCTCTGGGGATCCCAGTCCCCCACTTGCCTGGCCTGTGCCCCACGCACTCTCTCCCAGATGGGCTACACAGCTGCCAGCATGCATGCCAGCTCGGAGTGCCCTGCGGGAGCTGCACATCAGCTCAGCCTCCGTGCACCAAGGCTTTTCAAGGGGGCCGAGTGCCCACCTGGCGCCTGCACCCTGCTAATGGGCCTCCCTACCTGGCATGTGCCCTGCCCCTCCCTGCGTGGCCTAACCCCCTGGGGCTGCAGGCAGGAGCTGGGGGTTTATGACCAGATGAAGGCTTTGGGGTTCAGTGTTGTCCAGCCTGGTCCCTCAGGCTTCGGGGGAGGCAGGGATCCCATCAGGGAGCCGTGATCAGTCAGCACCCAGCCCAGCTCCATTTCTCAACTTGATGCAGGAAGTCAGTTGGGAGGTTTACAGAAGCCTGAATCAATTTTCTTCTCAAGGTAAAGCACACACACACACACACACACACACACTCTCTCTCTCTCTCTCTCTCTCTCTCTCTCCCCGCTGGGGAAGGCAGGCAGGCAGGAAGAAGCCAAAGAATAAATAATGGTACTTTGTAATCCAAGCCACAAGCAGATGGCCGGGGAAGGCCAGGAGTTCTCTGCACAAGGCCCCTGCCCCAATACAGCGCGACCCTTGCCAAGGTCACAGCCTGGGAGGGACAGAACAGAGAGTAGACGCCCAGATGTCAGAGTAAGGGGGCCCCCTTACTGGGCCCAGGATGAGGCCTGCTCTGACTGTAATCTTTCTGAATCTCTTATGATGGAGACAGAGACACACAGTTTGTTACACTGTAACCACGCCCTTTCCTGGGGCTGAGGCAGCCTCACGTGCCAGCTGGGGCCAGGTAGGCTGCAGGAGTTGGGGAGTGCCTTGGTGTCAGGGAAAGCAGGGCAGGAGGGTGAAGGGGATCAGAACAAGCAGTCTCAGTGTGGGGCCAGCACCTGCAGGGGCCCAGAGGTCACTGTGAAAGGACACTCGGGCTGCAGGCAGGCAGGGCTGTTTTTAACCCTGTGCCTTTCCTGCTGTGTGTCCTTCGGGAAGTCACTCACCCTCTCTGTACTGCAGTAGCCTGGCCTGTGAAATGAGCCACAGCTGCTCCTCACAGGGGCATGGGTGACTGTGTGTGCACCTAACTGCCCCGAGGGCTTCCCCCGTAGTCACCACCCTGCCTCAGGGTTCTTAAGCCTGCCTGGACTGCAGGGGGAGGGGGCTCCCCTCTGGACCCCCCTGTGGACTCAGGCCCAGGCCTTGCTCGCCGGGGCTTTTTTCCAGTTGTGTCTGTCATGATCCCAGCAGGAAACAGATAACACACGCCAACGATCCTCAGGCAGGTGTTCAGCAGAAGGGCCGTTGACAGGTCTGAGAGCTGGGTTAAGAGAACCAACAAGGGAGGTAGCACCCCAGAAACAAAGACCACCCAAGGTCACCCAGGCAGTCAACCGGGAGTCTGTGTGGGACTGCACTTGATGTGTCACACCTGTAACTCCGGCACTTGAGAGGCCGAAGCAGGAGAATCGCTTGAGCCCAGGAGTTTGAGACCAGGCTGGCCAACACGGTGAAACTCTTGTCTCTGCAAAAAATACAAAAATTAGCTGGGCATGGTGGTGCGTGCCTGTAGTCCCAGCTACCCAGGAGGCTGAGGTGGGAAGATCACTTGAGCCCAGGAGGCTGACACTACAGTGAGCCATGATCACACCATTGCACTCCAGCCTGGGGAACAGAGTGAGACCTTGTCTAAAAAAAAAAAAAAACAAAAAAAAAAAAACAAAAAAAAACAAAAAAAAAACAACGATCAACAGATGCTTTTCACATAACAATTTTTTCTAAAATTGTTGAGGAAACACCCTGGCTGTCTGGGCATCCACTCACACACCACAGCCATAGCGTGCAGGGAGGGCCCTCTAGTAATGACTTCCGGGCTGGCTATAAAAAATAAGTGTGGGCCAGGCACGGTGGCTCACGCCTGTAATCCCAGCACTTTGGGAGTCCGAGGTGGGCGGATCACAAAGTCAGGAGATTGAGACCATCCTGGGTAACACGGTGAACCACCATCTCTACTAAAAATACAAAAAATTAGCCGGGCGTGGTGGCGGACGCCTGTAGTCCCAGCTACTCAGGAGGCTGAGACGGGAGAATGGCATGAACCCGGGAGGTGGAGCTTGCAGTGAGCTGAGATTGCGCCACTGCACTCCAGCCTGGGCGAGAGAGTGAGACTCTGTCTCAAAAAAAAGAAAAAAAGAAAAGAAATAAGAAATAAGTGTAGCCAGGTGTGTAGAAGAGCCCAGCACGGTCTGGCAGGAGGCACTCTGCAGATGTACTCAACACAGAGCCACCCAGGGCCTTGCACACAGCAGGTGCTTACTATGTGCAGATAAAATGAATGGGCAGATCCATCACTGAGGTGCAAAGGAGAGAGAAAGGTGGTGCTATGGACTGAATTATGTCCACCCTAAATGCAGATGTTGGAGCCCGGACCCCCAGTATGACTGTGCTTGGAGTAAGGAAGTCATTAAGGTTGAATGAGTCCCGGGGGTAGGGCCCTGCTCTGATAGGATTCACGTTCTTATAGAAAGAGAGCTCCTGGCCAGGCACCGTGGCTCACGCCTGAAATCCCAGCACTTTGGGAGGCTGAGGCAGGATCACCTGAAGTCAAGAGTTCGAGACCAACCTGGCCAACATGGCGAAACCCCATCTCTACTAAAAATATAGAAATTAGCCGGGCGTGGTGGCCCACGCCTGTACTCCCAGATACGTGGGAGGCTGAGGAGGGAGGATCACTTGAACCAAGGAGGTAGAGGTTGCAGTGAGCCGAGATTTTGCTACTGCACTCCAGCCTAGGCAACAGAGTAAGACTGTGTCTCAAAAAAAAAAAAAAAAAAAAAAGAGAGAGAGCCCCTCGCCCTCTGCCAAGTGAGGACACAGTGAGAAGGTGGCCAACTGCAAGCCAAGAAGCGGGTCCTCACAGAATCAGCGGCACCTTGATTTTGGACTCCTGGCCTCCGCGTCAGGGAGGAATAAATTTCAGTTGTTTCAGCTGTCCAGTCTGTGGGATTTTGCCGTGGCAGCCTGATCTGACATAGGTGAGAAGGCCATGGCGGAAGAGCCAAGGACAGGTGCATATTCTTTTCCTTATGTTGTTTGTACAAATGACCACAGAGCTGGTGGCAGAAGTGCCTCACATCTACTGTCTTACAGTTCTGGAGGTCAGGGGTCTGAAATCAGCTCCACTGGCCAAAATCAATGTGTCGGCAAGGCCTCCTCCAGAAGCTCCAGGGGAACATCTGTTTCTTCAGCTCTTCCAGCTTCTAGAGTTGCATCCCTTTCATTTCTCGGCTCCCGGCCCCTTCTTCCATCCTAAAGTCAGCAGGGTGGCCTCTTGCCTCAGTGGCCTCAATGCCCTCTTCTGTTTCAAGTCTCCCTTTACTTCCCTCTTTTTTTTTTTTTTTTTTTTTTTTTTTTGAGACAGAGTCTTGCTCTGTCACCCTGGCTGGAGTGCAGTGGTGCGTTCTCAGCTCGCTGCCACCTCCACCTCCTGGGTTCAAGTGATTCCCCTGCCTCAGCCTCTGGAGTAGCTGGAATTACAGGTGTGTGCCACCACGCCCAGCTAATTTTTGTATTTTTAGTAGAGATGGGTTTTTGCCATGTTGGCCAGGCTGGTCTGGAACTCCTGACCACTGCACCTGGCCAGTCAGCTCTTTTTGAAAGCTCTCAAACACAGAAGGGCTGATTACAGCAGAGCATTATGGAACAATGTGGCCTGACTCCCTTCTGAGGAGACCTCCATCCAGCTCCTGACTTCCTGCTCTGGCACATAGGCTGGGGGTCCAGCGTGTGGAAGTCCTAGGTTCCTTTGTGTCACAGGTTTCAGTAGCGGAGAAGGCACTGGGTCGGGTTGGCCTCCTTGCCAGACCCTAGGGGTGGAAACTGATTCCCATCATCAAGGCAAGAAAACCGGAGAGATTACAGAAGGCATTTTAATACATCTGCAGAATTAAACAGACAAAAAAGACAAGAAGGAAATGAAGGAATTGACTGATAGAATCATGTCGCTGTTTAGTGGGGAATTGTTCTTACATCCATCGATTAGCTGCAAACATGTCTTATATACTCGACCAAAACAAAAACTTGGCCAGATTTTAAAAAGCAGAGATTTTATAGAACACTTCTCTGATCATAGTCTAATAACATGAGGAATTAAAAAAAAAAAAAGATGACCAACAGCCTAACAACTTGGAAATTAAGAAACATTCTGGCCAGGCAAGGTGGCTCATGCTTGTAATTCCAGTACTTTGTGGGGCTGAGGCAGGAGGATTGCTTGAGGCCAGGTGTTTGAGACCAGCCCAGGCAGCATAGTGGGACTGTCTCTGCAAAATAATTTTAAAAATTTAGCCAGGTATGGTGGTGCATACCTGTAGTCCCAGCTACTCAGGCGGGGGTGGGTGGTTGAGGCGGGAGGATTACTTGAGCCCAGGAGTTGGCGAGTAGCCTGGGCAACATAGTGAGACCCCGTCTCAAACAGCAACAATGACAACAAGGCTTCTGAGGCTGCATATTCAGGCTCAGTGGAAAAAGTGCTGTAGCTCTTCACAGATGACAGCCATAGACCAAAGAGTGGTGGTCCCGTGGCCATGTGTACACTGCAGTAAGCTGAATAATCAATAACAATAAATAATCATACTAGATATCATGGCCCCCAGAGATACCCAGGTCCGCATCCCTGAAACCTGTGGAGGTTACCTTAGAAGGCAAAAGTCTTTGCAGATGGGATTAAGTTAGGGACCCTGAGATGGAGAGATTACCCTGGAGTATCTGGATGGGCCCTAAGTGTAATCAGGAATGTGATTATAAGGGAAGTCGCCCGGTCGCAGTGTTTCATGTCTGTAATCTCAGCACTTTGGGAGGCTGAGGTGTGCAGATCACTTGAGTCCCAGAGTTCAAGACCAGCATAGCGAGACCCTGTCTCTGGAAAAATATATACATGTATAAAACTTTGCTGGGCATGGTAGCATGCACCTGTAGTCCTAGCTACTTGGGAGGCTAAGGTGGGAGGATCACCTGAGCTTGGGGAGGTCAAGGCTGCGGTGAACCTTGATCACATCACTGCACTTCAGCGTGGGTGACAGAGTAAGACCCTGTCTCAAAAAAAAAAAAAGGAGCTGACTGCCCTTGGGGACTAGGGGCACTGGGACCGCTGGAAGAGAGAGTGGCAGGTAAAGTCATAGGCCTGAGCCTATCCAGAGTCCACGGCCTGGGCACAGCATCTGCCACGTGGATGCCACGGACACACGGGTCTCCCCGGGACAACTACAGTAATAAGAGCTGTACCGTGGTCTTCGCATGTAAGAGTTGAGAAGACAAGCAGAAAGAGATGAAATAAAGTGCCCAAAACCAGCACTGCCAGAAGAGCTGGGACCCACACCCAATCCTGGCTGTGTGACCTCGGACAAATTGCCGAACCTCCCTGTGTTCTGGTTTCCTGATCCATAAGATGGGCTTACTAATGGTGCCTGCTATGGTCTGAATGTGTCCGCCCAAATTCTTATGTTGCAACATAACCAGCAATGCCATAGCATTAACAGGTGGGGCCTTTGGGAGGTGATTAGGTCATGAGGGTGGAGCCCTTGAGAATGGGATTAGTGACCTTATATGAGAGGCACAAGGGAGCCGTTCATGCCTTTTTCCCTTCTGTTCCACCATAGGAGGACAGTGTTCATCTTCCTAGAAAAGATGCAGCAACAGGGCTCCATCTTGAAGCAGAGAAAACAGTCCTCACCAGACACGAATCTGCCGGCACCATGAGTTTGGATATCCCAGCCTCCAGAACTGTAAGAAATAAGTTTCTACGGTTTATAAATCACCCAGGCTGTGGCATTTTGTTATAGCAGCACAGATCAAGACAGCGGCCTCCTCAGAGGGTGGCTGCAAGTGTTAAATGCGAGATAATTCCTGTGAAGCACTTAGGACAACAGCATCCACAGTTACCTCCACAGGTTTATGTCCCCCCCATCCCGTTCCCCAGGAAGGAGCACACAGCGGCCCAGAGCCCAGCCTAGGGCACACAGAGTTCTGGGCACGCCTGGGCCCCTCTCTCTCAACACCCCCCTTAATCCAGGCCACAGTGGCCTCTTGCCCAGTGAAGTGGTGGGGGATGCCCTGCCCCTCCTCCCCTAGGGACAGAGAGGTCAGTCAGAGGCCTCCCATCTCCAGGCCCAACAGGCCAAACCCTCAGTAGCTGTCGGCATAGCCAGGAGCCCTGGAACCCCTAATTCCCTGAGAGAAAGGACCCCCCAACCCTGACCTGGCCCTTTCCTGCAGGATATCGCCAAGAGACCCGAGAGGCTGCAGCCCAGGCTGCTGGGGACAAGGTTTTTCCAAATCCACTTCTGGATCTAGGGGCTGACAAAGCACATCCATTGTTCTGATTTTATTTATATTCAACATGTGCTGAGAATGAATTGTTCTCAACAATATGGGGTGAAGGAAATGTCCGATTTCTGAAAGCCTCCTTTACAAGGCTGATGGGAAATTCAGTGCAGTCATTCCAGGACCGCTGCTTCCCCCAGTGACCCCTCAGGGCCCAGTTGTGCCCACATGGGCACCTGCAGTTCCTCAGCTCCTGGGCTGGGCCCAGGCACCCTTGCAGGATCCTGGCCACAGTGAGGAACCAGGTGCCAGGGGCCACATCCTGAGGGTCATCTGCCACCTGCCAGGCACCTGAGGCAGGCACTGGGCCCACAGCTCTGCCTCCCTCCCGAGCCAGTGAGGAGCTCTCAGAACTTCCCTCTGTCCCACCTGCCCCACTCCAGAGTGAACCCCTTTAAGGTCCGAGTACTTCCCCCTCCTTCCTGTGGATGGGGAGACAAGGGGCTAATACCAGCTGGTTTTTGTCTTCCTAAGATACAAATCCACAGGTACAAGTCCCTTTTGTGTTTAAAATACAAAAGAAGAAAAGAGAGCAAAAGTAAAGATCAGGCATTGAGCTCTTTGGATGTTTGAAGTCTAGAAGTAGGAGTGGCTGGGAGATAGTAGTTATCCTAGTATTAGTCAGGGGCCTACAGAGACTGACCAATAGGAGATGGATGGGTGAATGGATGGACAGACGGATGGAAAGACAGACAGACAGACGGAGAGATGAATGGATGGGTAGATTGATGCATGTATAGATGGTTGGATGGGTGGGTGGATGGACGGATGGATGGATGGACAGAGGGATGGATGGATGGATAGACAGACAGATGGACAGATGGATACATGAATGGGTAGATGGGTAGATGGATGGATTGATAGATGATTGATTGATTCATTGATTGATGGATGGGCAGATGGATGGATGGGTGGATGGACAGATTGATGGATAGATGGATGGACAGACAGACGGACAGATGGATAGATGGATAGATGGGTAGATGGATGGATGGATTGATAGATGATTGATTGATTCATTGATTAATGGATAGACGGATGGATGGATGGATGGAGATATAGAGAGGTAAGAGAGGGGATTTTTGAGGGGAGCTGGCGCACTCCATCATGGAGGCTGAGAAGTCCCACCACAATTGCCTCCACAAGCGGGAGAACTCTGCCGGCAGCAGAGTTCAGTCCAAGTCTGAAAGGCTCAGAACACAGGAAGCCAATGCTGTAACTCTCAGTCCAAGACCAAAGGCCTGAGAAGCCATGGAACCACTGGTACAAGTCTTAGAGCCTGGAATTCTGATATCCAAGGGCAGAAGGAGAGAGTCCCAGCCCCAGGAGGGAGAGAGGCATTCACTCTTTGTCTCCTTTTTTGTGCTGTCTGGGCCCCCAGTCAACTGGATGGTGCCTACACTCACTGGGGACGGATCTTCCCTACTCGGTCTCCTCTGGAAGCAGCTGCACAGACACACCCAGGAGCCACTCTTCACCAATTCTCTAGATGCTCCTCAATCCAGTCCTGTTGATGCCTACGATTAACCCTCATAGTCCACATGTGCTGGGCCTGCTATCTCTCCCCAGCCAGTGGGGGCCTGACTAGGCCAGGGTTGGGTCCAGCTAAGTAGCCTGGGGGAAGTCTGGGGAAGGGACTGGCATGAAGTCTGGGGACACATGCCCCAGGTTAGCAACCCAGAGGGGTCAAGTTCAAGGCTCAGGCAGAAAGTTCAAAACCAGGTTGATGGGCCAGGTGCGGTGGCTCACGCCTGTAATCCTAGCACTTTGGGAGGCCGAGGCAGGAGGATCACTTGAGGTTAGGAGTTTGAGTCCAGCCTGGCCAACATAGTGAAACACCGTCTCTACTAAAAATACAAAAGTTAGCTGGGTGCGATGGCACATGCCTGTAATCCCAGCTACTCAGGAGGCTAAGGCAGAAGAATCCCTTGAACCCAAGAGGTGAAGGTTGCAGTGAGCCGAGATCACTCCACTGCACTCCAGCTTGGGTAACAGAATGAGATTCCGTCTCAAAATAAAAAACAAAACAAAAAAAAAACCAACCAACAAACAAAAAACCCAGGTTGATGGAATATGGAAGATAGATGCCAGGCAGGGAGCAGGGAACCCCGACAGGCTGGGGCTAGGATGCCAGCAAGCTGAGGAGAGTGGCTTGGAGACCCTGCCCACACAGAGATGGATGCCACTGCAGGTTGGCAGGGGTCTGGTGGGACCTCCCTTCCGCCCTGTGCCCCAATTGGCCAGCCAGGCCCTGTTTGCCACACATTTCCCAGGGCTGGATTCTGGTACCACCCTTCCCTGCCTTGTCATATGGTCCCCACTCAAGTCCCATCTGGGTTCTGGCCATAATCCCAAAAGACACAATCCCAAACACTATAATTCCAAATGTTAAATCCTAACAGAGTAAAATCTCTAAAATCTAAAATCCACAAAGTCACAAATCCCGAAAGATCAAAAATCCTGAAAATATAATTCTGGAAAAAAATAATTTTTCAAAGTTATTTAAAAAATGTATTTACATTTTTAACAGGAGATTTACATGAGAAACATAAAAACATGACAGAACACTTCATAGGCCATTTTATACAATGAAATAGGCAAAAATGACATACATATATTTGCAAGCATAAACAGGTATGCTAGCAGCAATCATGAGGGTATGACAGTTATGAGCAGACAAAAAAGTGAAAGGTATAAGCACACATCACTGTGGCTGGTAATTAAGCATGGCTGGTAATTGTATGCACTCAGCTTTATAACTGCGGTCATCTGAAATACCCTGACGGACAACCTAAGTCTTTCACAAGATCTATCAAAAACCATGATGGGGCTGGGCGCAGTGGCTCACACACACACCTGTAATCCCAGCACGTTGGGAGGCCGAGGCAAGCAGACCATTTGAGGTCAGGAGTTCGAGACCAGCCTGACCAACATGGTGAAACCCCATCTCTATTAAAATACAAAAATTAGCTGGGCGTGGTGGCGGGCACCTGTAATCTCAGCTTCTCGTGAGGCTGAGGCAGGAGATTCGCTTGAACCCAGGAGGCAGAGGTTGCAGTGAGCGAGATCACGCCATCGCACTCCAGCCTGGATGACAGAGTAAGACTCTGTCTCAAAAAAATAAAAAGAAAAATTTTAAAAACCATGATGGGTCATGACAGCCTAGGCAGTCACCCAAAAAGCCGAGCTCTGAAGAAATTTTACCTTTCACACGTACAGTCATACATAAAGTGCACCTGTTCGTTTACTGAGGAAGTTTCGATGTTTTTCCATACATGTCCAATGCTTACACACACAGTCAGCATATGGTAATGCAGCTCCATGGAGTCAAATTTCTAATGTCCAAGGCAGCAGAGGAGAAGTCCCAGCTCTCAGAAAGAGACCAATTCGGGCCAGGCACAGTGGTTCAGGCCTGTAATCCCAGCACTTTGGGAGGTTGAGGCGGGAGGATCACTTGAGGTCAGGAGTTCAAGACCAGTCTGGTTAACAGGGCAAAATCCCATTTCTACTGAAAAAAAAAATGCAAAAATTAGCTGGGCATGGTGGCGGGCACCTGTAATCCCAGCTACTCAGGAGGCTGAGGCAGGAGAATCGCTTGAACCTGGGAGGCGGAGGTCACAGACAGCCAAGATCATGCCACTGCACTCCAGCCTGGGCAAAAGAGCGAGACTCCGTCTCAAACAAACAAACAAAAAAAGAGACAATTTGCCTTCTTACTTTGTTCTCTCAGGCCCCTGGCCAATTACATGGTGCCCACCAACAGTGAGGGGAGAGCTTCCCCACCTAATCCATCTAGACTCACTCACCAACCGCTTCTGGAAGCACCTTCACAGAAACACCCAAATTTCTTTTTTTTTTTTTCTTTTGAGACAGGGTCTCACTCTGTTGCCCAGACAGTAGCACGATCCCAGCTCACTGCAGCGTTTGACTTCCTGAGCTCAAATGATCCTTCCTCCTCAGCCTTGACCTCCTGGGCTGAAATGATCCTTCCTTCTCAGCCTCCCAAGTAGCTGGGACCACAGGTGTGCACCATTATGCCAGGCTAATTTTTGTATTTTTTAATTTTTTTAATTTTTTTTTTTTAGAGATGGGGTTTCACCATGTTGTCTAGGCTGGTCTCAAACTCCTAAACTCCAGTGATTTGCCCACTTCAGCCTCTCAAAGTGCTGGGATCACAGGCATGTGCCACCGTACCTGGCCCACGCCCAGATTCCTTAATCCAGCCAAGTCAACACCTGAAATAAAGTCCGCAAATCCACCCATTGTCAACTCGGCACCCATACACGTCTCCTTAAACCATGCTATTTCCAAATAAAGACAATAACAAGGCACTAGCTCGCCTAACTTGATGCAGTGAACATGGTGCAACTATCTCGTGTACAACCGAAAACGCACTGATCCTTTCCTCAGAATTTGGCTTTCAAGATTTCAACATTCAAGATTTTAACCTCTTGGAATTGTGATTTGGGGGATTTAGACTTTGGAGATTTTGACCTTTTGGGGTTTCAGTGTTTGGGATCACGGCATCGGGATTGTGTCTTTGGGATTATGATCAGCACCCGTCCCATCTACCTGAGTCCGTCCCTTGGAACCAGCTGGAACTGGACTTGCTGCATCCCCATTTGGGGGAATCATGACAGAGCCCACCAGCCTATCGTTTGTCCTCTCCCACCCATCATCCATCCACCTACTCCTCCATGAAATCTAACCCAGCAACTTTTGTCCTTGGTCATAATCCTTTATTCTTACTGTGTTGCCCAGATGTAAATTGGTTCAAAAAGTACAACTTGCCCACTCACTCCTTTATCCATCTACCACCCACCTGCCCACCTATCCAGCCACCCACCCACTTGTCTGCCTATCTATGTATTCACCATTCCTCCTCTACCTATCTATCCACAATGATCCCCTCCCCCATCTGTCTATCTACCTATTCGCCTATCCATCACCTCCCTACCTGCCTATCCACCCACCTATTCACTTATCCACCCAGCCAGAGATCCATGATCCCTCCACTTCCCCATCCAACTATCCATTATCACCACCCATCCTTCCATCCTCTCTCCATCCAGTCATCCATCCATCCATCCCACCATCCCCCCACCTACCTTGCCAGCAATCTCATTCCTTCTTTCATCAAAAGCCCTGAGCAGCTACTGTGTGGCGAACCTTGTTCCTAGGGGCTAGTGATATATAGAGATAATTAAGAAGCCTACACTCAACAGCAGGGAAGAGGAAACTCACATACATGAGCCATGGCAGTGCAGTGTGGCGACAGCATGAATGAATAGGCAGATGTCCAGGCTGCAGTGGCCGAGAGGAGGCACCAGCCTCTTTTTGTGGGGACACTGGGAATGTTTCTCAGATGATGGCACATTTGGGCTTCAACTGATGCACGGGTGGGCATGCCCCAGGGAGTGAGGGGACAAGCAGGTGCAAAGGTGTACAGGTGTGACGGTTTCCTAGCTGGGAAGATGTTCTCGGCTGGAAGGTGTGAGTGGCAGCTGCAGAGGGATTGGGCTGGGCAGGTAGGCTAAGGTCAGACTGCATAGGACTATGAACTTGGCCATGAGGGTCTAGTCAGCTCCTGGGAAGCAGCCAGACCCACGGAACTACTGAGACTACACCTTACCCCAGCGGCCCTCCTCCTCCCATCACTGCCCTGCCATGCCTCCCTCTGCCTGTCTGCACTAGCCTCTCACCCAGCCCCTGTCCTGTCCTGGCCTCCACCTCCACTTCTCGACACCCCCAACACCAACCACTTGGAGCCCCTGATAGTCCCCAAAGTCTGCCTCACCTTGTCTTCCCACGTGCTGTCCCACATCCTGGGGCACACGCCTTTGCTCTTGTTCTGAACCAAACTCCTTGACACCCACCGTAAATGACACCTCTGTCCCCTGCCCACCCTCAAGGGCAGTGGGCATTCCCACCCCACCCATCCAACTTGCCTGTATCTTGAACAGACCTCCACTGTCATTTTATCACCAGTGTCTGTCAAAGGGCCTGCGTCTCCTGATGGGTTGGAGACCCTGGAGGCAGGAACAGGGCCTTGTCCACCTCTGCAAACCTGGTGTTTAACTTGGTTCCCAGTATACAGCAGGTGCTCAATAGGTGCATGTTATGTAAAGTGAACAAATGAATGATGGAAAATAACTTTCAGCCTTGTAACCTGGAAGGCCTTATGTTAGCCTTAGCCGATTGTGAAATCTGAGCCCCCGAGGCCGTCAGAGTCCACTTGTGAGTGAGGATCCCTGGGAGGAAAACGACTGGGAACATTAGAGTAAACAGGCAAATTAAAAAACAAAACAAAATATTCTGCATAAAATGGAGCCATCACAGGTCAGGATCACCCTTTGAGCTCCCAAGGTTTGACCCAAGAAAACAATGCTTGGAATTGCGGTCAGGTGGGTTTAAAATCCATTTGCTGTGTATCAGCTGCGTGACCCTGGCAAGCCACTTGGCCTCTCTGAACTCAGTCTCCCCATCCGTCAAGTGGGTCCAAAAAAGAAGCATGAGGCCCTGCTGTGTGGCCCCAGGTATATGCACCAGGCTCACCCTGCCCTGCCCAGCTGGCATGCAGACCGGTGCCAGGGCCCCTTCTCAGCTTCCCTGAAAGTCCACAGGCCTTCCCAGGCCTGCAGTTTAAATGAGGCTCCCTCGGTTTTCTCTCTACGTGGCGCAGAAGGGCACCGTCTATCAAGCACTTCCCTCGTGACAGGCACGGAGCCAACGTTCCCGTTTGATTCTTCTCATCTCCATAAGGGAGGCAATGATGCCATCCACAGGGGACAGGGACACCCGGAGCGGTGAACGTACTGCTGAGGTCGCTCGGTCAGTAACTGGTGGAGACTTAGACACGAGGTGTCTGACTCCAGAGCCCCTGGCGGCCCAGAACCGAGATCTTGGCTGACTTTGGAACCACCGAGAGCTGCACAAACGCCGATGCTTGGGACCCCCAGATTCGATTTCACGGCCCGGGCTGCTGTCTTGACCGGGATTTTCCACACTCCATGGGTGATGGGCAGTGGGAGGGACGCTGCCCTCTGTCGTCTCTGCACACAGACCTCTGGTGGTGGGGGTGAGTCCTGTGCATCGTTCTGTCTGTCTACAAGTTCCACGTCCACTCTGTCCCCTGCTGCCCACCGACTGGGTCAGGGCCCCTTTGTAGGATCCTTGGAACCCTCCACTTTCACTTAAGGCTGGTCCGGCTTCCCCCTGAGGCTGCCCAAGAAGGCCTTAGGATGGGTTGATGGTGTCCCCGCCGTGTCCACTCAGGACCCCAGAATGGGACCTTATTTGGAAATGGAGATTTTGTAGACGTAATGAGTTAAGATGAGGCCATGCTGGATGAGAGTGGGTCCTAATCCAATGGCTGCTGTGCTTCTAAGCAGCAGCAAGGACACAGAAACACGCAGGGAAGGCCACGTGCAGACCGGGGCAGAGACCAGAGGGAGGCAGCCACGAGCCCAGCAGTGCGTGGAGCCACCAGAAGCTGGAAGAGGCAAAGAAGCTTCCCCCAGAGACTTCAGAGCGGGCAGGGCCCTGCCGGCACCTTCATCTCAGATTTCCGGCGTCCAGGGCTGCAAGAGATAAATTCTGTTGTTTTAAGCCGGTTTGTGGCAGTTTCTTAATGACAACCCTGGGAAACAAATATGGGGCTCATCCCCCCATTTCCTGCTCTGGTGGAGTTCTAGAAACAGCAAAAGCCCTGGAGCTTTGGGGGTGCGCTTGTGCAGGGGCGGCTGTGAGGACCTGCCGCCCAGCCCTCCGGCTTCAGGGGCTGCGGGACCCAGCTGCCATCCTGCCTCCCACGGGGGCTCCTGGCTGGAAACTGGGTGCAGTGGGGCCACCGAGGCAGGCCCGGTCCTGAGAGGTGCAGGCCGACTCTGAGGGGCCACTTAGGCTCAAGGACTCCTGATGGCCTTGCCAAACCTTCTGGACTCGGGACCACCCAGGATGCTCCTGCAGCCCCCTCCCTCCCCCTAAAAATGTTTCCGAGGAGCTAACCACTATGGGTCTGGCCCCTTGGGACTCCTCCCAGCCACCGCCCCACCCGTATGGCCATCCCCACAAAACAGATGCCCAAACTGAGGCTCGGAGAGGGGAATCGACTCGCCCAGGGCCACAGAGCTGCCCTCCACCCCCAGCCCGCCCCCACCGTCAGATCAGCAGTTCTCAGAGGCCTGTTGCCATGGTGCTGGAGGGAGGAGCAGATTCCTGAGCTACATCCAAAAATACACACCAGCTCCTTCCTCCCTCCTGACTTCCCTTCTCCCAACCAATGTCAAAGCCTCCTTTTGTGCAGTCTGAGGTCCAGGGCCGCTTCCTCCCAAAACAGCCAAGGAGCAACCAGCTGGGGGAGCCCCGACTTCCTGGGCTAATGGCTCCAGACCCCGCAGGGGCCCCTCACCACCCACCGACGAGAAACCACTGGTGGTTCCCAGAGCAGGCAGGTTTTTTCCTGCCTCTGTGCCTTCCCACATGCAGTTCCTTCAACCAGAATGCCCTTCCTCATCCTTCAGGTCCCAGCTCCAGCTTCGAGTCCACTGGGAAACCTTCCCGGAGGCTCTGCACCTACCTCCAGCACAGCCATTTTCTTGTTGTACCATGGGGTTGTTGGCAGGCCTGATGCTCTCACTGGGATGTGAGGAAGGAAGGGGGAGAAAGAGGGAGCTGATGAGATGTAAGTCCCTGCGGTTATCCTTCCACATTCACACAGATCCCAGGCATGCTGGTCCTTCTCATCGTTGCACCCACATCTCCCGGCACAGATCTCAGCCCTTTGCAGCCTAGCAGGTTCCTGACCAATGACGGGCTCCTCCCTAGGGGTCCCAGCTCACTCAGCTCTGTTCTCCAAGGGTCCAGAGTGGGTGCTTGGGGAATGCGTGGAGTGAATGAATGAACACCAGGCTCTCTCCAGGCTAAGGGGCTTTTCTGAGGCATGCATTCACCCCGACCTCTCCAGGACTCCGCATGGGAAGGCCCACCTCAAAGCCTGCATCACAGGGTGGGCTTGAGGTGGAAGAGGGAACGAAGCAGGAATATTTACCAAGGTCCTGAGCTGCGTGTGCACAGCCTGTTCCTCAGTCAGCCCTCATGACCACCCTGGCAGCAAGGATGAAGAGTAACAAGTAAGAGACTGATGAAGAGACTGCAGGTCAGAGAGGTGAAGTCACTGGCAACAGTCAGACTCTGCTGCTGTGGAGCCGACCTGACTGGTGCTGGCCACCCGGGCATAGAGGAAGGGGCACAGACAGCTCTGAGAGGGACCTGGGGCTGAAGGACACATAAGATCTCAGCCACAGGTCACTGAGAGCTGCCCGTGGTGGCCCCAGCTCAAGTGGGGGGAGAAACCGGTCAGACCTGTCAGGTTCCCAAAACTTTCCACTAAAAACCAGTCTCCCCGGCAGAGGTTACCTCTGAAACAGAAGGGGACTGTGGGCGGGGAGTGAAGAACTGGCAGCTTTTACTTTGCACAATTCCATAACGATTTGAATTTTTACCAAGAGCACAGATTATATATATTTTTTTAATAAAAAGAAAATTAACAGCTGACTACCCGAGCTCTCCACCTTCTCTGGAGCCTTTGGCCCTCGAGGGCAGGTGTGGCAAAGACACAGTGATTCTGTCTTCCACCTGCCCTCAACCAATCTGCACTTCCTACTAGCTAGGCCCCGCACCCAAAGTTGCAGTTTGGTTATTTATTCATTTGCTCATTCACTCCGTCACTACTCTGTGCCAGACCTTGCTCTGGGTACTATACAGGGAGTCAGGCCCCTGCCCTCGAAAAGTTGCCAGTCTAGTAGGGAGTCAGACATGAGAACCACATGGCACAAAACAAAGTGGAAAGCACTGAAAATGAATGTGAGGTAGGAGTGTGGCTGTGGGAGCAATCAGGGAGGGCTGCACAGAGGAGGTGACCTTTGAGTAGTGCCTTGGAATGTGAATAGGAGTTTGCCACAAGGAAAGTTGCTGGGGAGAAGATGTTCTGGACAGCAAGGAGAGTGTGAGCAAAAATGTGGGTGTGACCCAGGCATCAGGAGTTTAGGGCAAATGGAACATGGGGTGTGGGGTCTGGGATTGGGGCAAGGGATCAGGCTGGAGATGAAGATGCAAGCCAAAATCTCAAGGTACCTGAATGACCAACAAAGGACTTGGAGTTTTTCCTTTGGGCCAATGACTTTGAACTTGCTCGCTGAGGCAGGGCTTTTGGTTTTGGGTTCCGATCCAGTAGGCCAGGGTGGGACTGACACCCACACTCTGGAAAAGCTCCCCAGCAGATTCTGATGGCAGGGTGTCCACTGCTGCAGTTGGGACTGTTATAAATGCAAAAGCGGGAAGTGACAGGGTCCAGCTGTAGCCTCGGTGTGAGGACACAGTGCCCCAGTCCTGGAGGGCCGCCGTGGGGCTGAGCTAGGGTGGGACTGGTCTGGGGTAGGGCTGTGGGGCAGAGAGAAGGGGGTGGGCTTGGAAATATGGTAGAAGTGAACATGGCGGGGACCCCCAATGTCTGGTTGGGGACAAGGCAGGGACAGGTGACTGAGGCAAAGGTCCTCGTGCCCAGCACTGAGCCCTTGGCCCTCCCACGGGGCAGCTCAAAGGAGCCACTAATGACCCCAGAAGTATTGCTTCAGAACACCTTTTGCTGGGTGGCTGCAGGATGGAGGTCTCCTCCTGTGGGGAGCAGCTCGCCTCATGAGCTCCCCGGTCCCTGCACATTTCTGGTTAGGAGGGGCCACAGGAGCCGCTCCCGTAGATTTGGAGGGAGGAGGTGAAAGTGGCAGCAGCAGTTTGTCGCTCATACATGTCGCTGCTGATCTGCCTGCCGCCTCCCTGGCGTGAGGCAGTGGCGGGCCACAACTGGCCCACCTTTCCCTTGTCCCATTCTTGTGCCAGGTGTGTTTAGCTGTGTGACAGAGGCCAGGCTCAAGCAGGGCGCCCACACCACCCAGGTCACTGGCAGACACGGGTTTCAGCCTACGCCGCTGGCTCCAGCTCATACCTGTGGTTCCGGCTTGTTCTCCCTCTCGCCCATGTGTCCTCCCTCGTCCCTCCCTGCCTACCTGTCCTGTGGACCCAGAGCTTCAGCGAGACTCAGGATGGCAGCTATCTAGGGACCACAGGCTGCCCCCACCACCGAGCACGTGCCTATTCACAGACACCCATTCCATGGGGTCTGCTTCTTGGTTTGAGTCCTGACCTGTGGCCTCTCCCGCTTCCACAAAGCATAGCTGAAGTCCCTGACCCGGTCGGGGGGCACAGTTGGAGACCTCCTTCCTACCCCAACGCATATGACATGCACACAGTGAGCTGTGGGAAGGTAAACAGAAGCTCGGCTTGGTATTTCCTGGCTCACCAAGTAATGAACATTGCCACTGGTGGAGTCCCTGTTGGGGTCCTCGGAGCACCCCCTAACTGCCCTACCATGAGGTGGTAAACAGCTATATCTTCAGAAGGGTAAACCGAGGCTCACAAAAGTGAGCTGCCTGAGGCCGCAGGGATGAGGGACAGAGCTGGGAGTTAAACCCAGGTCATCGGACTTCAAGACCCTCTGCTTCAGACCACACAGCCAGCTCTCTGGAGCGCCAGTGGGGGGCTCATTCTCCCCAGGCCCCCTACTCATCCACTCCACATACCTTCCTGTGCCTGGCCCTGCTGCACGGGCTGCGGGGGGATAATGCAAAAGTGCTGGGTCATGCCTGGCCCTGCTGCACGGCGGGGTGGGGGGGATGCAAAAGTGCTGAGTCGTGTTTTGGGGTGTCTGTCTCCAAAGGCAGCAACGAAGGTGTACCCCGAGCTCCTCGGCTCCAACCCCTGCCTACGTCTTTCCTTCCCTCTGTGCGGCCTGGGCGGGAACAGCAAGTCTGGGCATGAGGCAGCCCCAGGTTCACATCTAGGCCACCCCACTGACGGGTGGGGTCTCGGGCAGATGCGTACTTCTCGGCCTCAGTTGAGGAGAGGACCACCCCCCTCAAGAGATCGGTGAAGATCCTGAGTGTGGGGCTCTGGGCGCAGGGCGGGGCACAGAACTGGGGCCTGAGAGAAGCCCACTCCCTTCCCGCAGTCCAGGCACCCTCTGCCTCAACCTACTGGAGCCAGCTTACCGGGGGTTTGCCACACCTGCCGGCCTTGTCTGCTGCCAATTAGGAAGCAAGGTAATTACACGGTGATTGCAGACGTGTGCTTCCACTTCTTAATGAGCTGTGAGTGCTCAGGCAGAAAGGGCAGCAAGGGCTCCATTCTCTGAGACTCGAGGGCTGGGCAAGCTGCAGGGCCCTGAGGGCCAAGCTGGAGCAGCAGCTTTCAAGCTTTCTAATCCCATTGGTGGCTGAATACATTCTACAAACAATGCCTTATATGGACACCCAGCATCAAAATAGGTGAAACCTGGGCTACCTTGGTGGAAGGGGAGTGTGGAAGGGGGGCTGGCAGAAGAGTCCAGAGTCCCATTTGCCCCAAGAAATGGGGTCTGGGGTGGTCTTGGCAGGGCACTCAGGGTAATCAGAACAGAGGGGGACCTCGAGGGAGAGCGGCCCAGCAGCCACTCTTCACCAATTGGCATTGGCATGGAAGGATTTCATTATCTTTTTTTTTTTTTTTTTGAGACGGAGTCTCACTCTGTCACCAGGGCTGGAGTGCAGTGGTGCAATCTCAGCTCACTGAAACCTCCGCCTCCCGGGTTCAAGCGATTCTCCTGCCTCAGCCTCCCGAGTAGCTGGGATTACAGGCACCCGCCACTATACCCAGCTAAATTTTTTTTTTTTTTGTATTTTTAGTAGAGACAGAGTTTCACCATGTTGGCCGGTCTGGTCTCGAACTCCTGACCTCGTAATTAGCCCGCCTCGGCCTCCCAAAATGCTGGGATTACAGATGTGAGCCATCGCACCTGGCCAGGATTTCATTATCTTAAGAACTGTATGTTCACACCAGTGTGGCAGGGCCAGTTAACTCAGCTTTCACAGCAAGAAGTCAGTCTATACAAATCAAAGTAGAAATGAATCCTTGAAAAAAGTCATAATGACTTCAACCTGTTAATGTTTTCACAGTTTCTTTTCTTAAACTTAGAGGAATGTTTTTGGGACACTATGTCTCATATAGAAGAAATATTTATGTGAATCCAATAACTCCATTGACTTCCCTTTTACTTCCTTCTGTTAAATTCAAGTAAAATTAAATTTAAAAGAGTATCCAAAATCTGGCTAGGCACAGTGGCTCGGGCCTGTAATCCCAGCACTTTGGGAGGCAGGGATGGGTGAATCACCTGAGGTCAGGATTTCGAGGCCATCCTGGCCAACATGGTAAAACCCTGTCTCTACTGAAAATACAAAAACTAGCCGGGTGTGGTGGTGTGCACCTGTAGTCCCAGCTACTCGGGAGGCTAAGGCAGGATAATCACTTGAACCTGGGAAGTGGAGGGTGCAGTGAGCCAAGATCACACCACTGCACTCCAGCCTGGGCAACAGAGCGAGGCTCTGTCTCAAAAAAAAAAAAAAAATAGTATCCAAAATCTGATCCTTCTGGTTTTGTAAAAGTATTTCTGCCCATCTGTTCCTTCATCCATCCTGTTTGTGTATTTGCAGATAGAGGTGTCCAAAATAATGTTCACCAAATATTAATGGTTATCTCTGGCTGGTGGGATTTGGGTTTTTTTTTAACTTCTAACTTTGGGATTTTCAGCATGTTTTGATTTCAGTATATGTAATGAATAGGTATCACTTTTATTCTTGAAAATTTTAATTTTTATGGACTATTTTTGGCTTGAGTTAAAAAATTATGGCCAGGAGCAGTGGCTCACATCTGTAATCCCAGCACTTTGGGAGGCCGAGGTGGGCGGATCACGAGGTCAGGAGATCGAGACCATCGTGGCTAACACCGTGAAACCCCGTCTCTACTAAAAATACAAAAAAAAAAAAAATTAGCCGGATGTGGCAGCAGGTGCCTGGAGTCCCAGCTACCCAGGAGGCTGAGGCAGGAGAATGGCGTGAACCCGGGAGGCGGAGCTTGCAGTGAGCCAAGATCATACCACTGCACTCCAGCCTGGGTGACAGAGTGAGACTCCATCTCAAAATAATAATAATAATAACAATAATTATAATGATTTTTTAAAACAACAAATTCTGATAATTTTTCTTATGGAGCACTACTGGAAGAAAACATATTAAGACTGTTGACCAGAATTGATTCTGGAAGTATTGAAATGATGGATGTTTGCTATTTCTTACTTTTACTTTTTTTTTTTGGTCTTTTTAACATTTCTAAAAGCAAGAAAAAACAATTTTACTTTTAAAATAAGGGGAAAAATAAATCATGGAGATTGTGAAACAAAACCAGCTGACATAACAGCTTGGCGATGAATTATTCATTCAACAAATATTTATTAAACAACTTGATGTCAGGTTCCAATGTTCACTGTCATTTTATGGCTTTAGGTTTTTGGTTACTACACTCTAAAGCTTTATTTTCTCTTTTCTTGTATATTTTCCCTGCAATTATCATATGTTGCCATTAGATGACAGTAAGCATATCAGTACATATTCTGGGACATGCATGCTTTGGCTGATGTCTCCGCTAAGACTTTCAGTGAAGCCACCTGTTACAGATTTATGAGTTCTCATTGATAACACATGCTTTTGTTGTTATACCATCTAACAATGTTTTCTTTTTAACTTGGGAACATTATAATTCATAACATAATCATGGCTGCTCAACTCTTGTCTTCCTCAAATAAATGCTTCAGACACAAGTCAAACCCATGATACAACAAACAAATGCAATGCGTCTGCACAGAGGCAGAATGGCCAAAGACAAAACACCTCGGCTTTGGAAGTGGATAGATCTCAGTTCAAATCCTGACTCTATCACTCACTTCCTTCATCATCTGAATCAAACTTCTTCACCTCTTTTGGCCTCAGTATCATTTATCTGCTGGGGACTTAATGGTGCGCACACTGCAGGATTGTTTTAAGATTGTCGTGAAATGGTATAGGTAAATAAATCAGGAAATAGCAGTTCTTATTATTCCTGTTGCCATTTTCACCTAGAAAATGCCTAGACATTCTTGAAGACCCATGTCTTAGTCCACTGGGGCTGCTGTAACAAAAATACCATAGACTGGATGGCTTAAACAACAATGATTTATTTCTCTCAGTTCTGGAGGCTGGGAAGTCCAAGATCAAGGTGCCAGTGGATCCAGTGTCTGGTGAGAGCTTACTTCCTAGTGCAAAGGTGGCAGAAGCCAGGATCATCTCTCCTGTGTCTCTTCTTATAAGGACACTAATCCCATTCAGGAAAGCTCTTCTCTCTTCTAAAGGCCCCACCTTCTAAAATCATCACATTGGGATTAGGATTTCAACATAGGAATTTTGGGGGTCCACACATTCAGTCCATAGCAAGCCAGCTCAAATAGCTCCTCCTCAGTGAAGCCTCCATTCACGTTCCTAGCAAAAGTTAGTTGCTGACTCCTCTGTCCTGTATTACACTCCTTAACCTATTAGGCTGTCAGTGTTTGCTTTATATCTTTTGAGGCTGTGTTATCAGGTGAATGCAGATTTGGGGTTTTATATCTTACTGTTAGAATGACCATTTTTTTCTTTTGAAATATCTCTTTATCTCCTAAGGTCAATTTTGTCTGATAATAGTTTACACCAGTTGCCTCCTTTCTTTCTTCTTTCTCTGTGTGTGTGTGTGCACATGCATATATGCACATATGTATGTGTGCGTGTATGTTTGCATGCATAGTATATTTTATTCATCCTTTTACTTTCAATTTTTCTGTATCCTTATACTTCAGATGCATCTCTTGAAAATAGCAAATAGTTGGGGTGGTGGTGTTTTCTTTTAAACCGGCCTGGCAGGCCAGGCACGGTGGCTCACACCGGTAATCCCAGCACTCTGGGAGGCCAAGGCATGTGGATCACATGAGGTCAGGAGTTCGAGAAAAACCTGGCCAACATGGCAAAACCCTGTCTCTACTAAAAATAAAAGAAAATAGCTGGGCGTGGTGGCATGCACCTGTAATTCCAGCTACTTGGGAGGCTGAGGCAGGAGAATCGCTTGAACCTGGGAGGCAGAGGTTGCAGTGAGCCCAGATAGCACCACTGTACTCAAGCCTGGGTGACAGATTGAGACTCCATCTCAAAAAAAGTGAAAAAGCCCGGAAATCTTTGTCTTTTTACTGGTTCATTTACATTTAATGCAATTACTGATATTTTTGGGTTTAAATTTACCATATGGCTATTTGTTTTCTATTTGTCTTGCAGAGTCTCGCTCTGTCGCCCAGGCTGGAATGCAGTGGTGCGATCTCAGCTTACTGCAATCTCCACCTTCCGGGTTCAATCGATTTTCCTGCCTCAGCCTCCCAAGTAGCTGGGACCACAGGTGCATGCCAGCACGCCCGGCTAATTTTTTGTATTTTTAGTAGAGACGGGTTCATCATATTAGCAAGGATGGTCTCGATCTTCTGACCTTGTGATCTGCCTGCCTCGGCCTCCCAAAGTGGTGGGATTACAGGCGTGAGCCACCGGGCCTGTCCTCTACATTCCTTTATCCCCCTTTCTTGCCCTTTTACTTGGTTATTTAAACATCTTTTGTTATTCTATTTCTCCCTTTATCAGATTAGTTATGCATCCTATTATTTATCTTTTGATGGTTATTCTAGGAGTTACAACATGCACCTTGAGTTTTAAGACATTACCATAACTTTTTAAAATCATTTATCACTTCCCAGATAATATGAGAATGTTGAAATTTAACTCCATGCACCCCTTTCCTAACTTTTGTACTGTTATTAATTCTTTTTATTCTATGTATGTTTTAAATCCCGTAAGATGTTACTGTCATTGTTAGAAACAGTTAATATTCACTTAGTTTTATCTATATATTTACTTTTTTGGACACTATTTCTTTTAGCATTATTACTTTCATCTGGGATAATTTTCCTTCTGCCTTCTTTAGTGTTTCTTCTAATGTGGACCTGCTGGTGACAAATCCTGACAGCTTTGGTTTATCTAAAAATATCCTTATTTCTTGTTCATTTTCAACTGCATTTTAGCTTAGTTTGAATTCTAGATTTGCAGTCGTTTTCTTTTTAAGAGATGGGGTCTCACTCTGTCTCCCAGGTGGGAGTGCAGTGGCATGATCATAGCTTACAGCAGCCTCAAACTCCTGGGCTCAATCCATCTCCCAGCCTCAGCCTCCCAAGTAGCTGGGACTGCAGTTATGTACCACCACACCCATCCTCCCATCCCTTTTTTTTTTTTTTTTGGAGCGAGATGGGGTCTTGCTATATTGTCCAGGCTATGGCAGTGGCTTTCTTTCAGCACTTTGAAGATACCCTACCATTATTTTCCATCTCCATGATCTCTTCTGAGAAGTCAGCTCTTGGTTCTATTATTGCTTTGTTTAAAATCTTCTTTGCTAGCTGTTTTGAAGACTTTCTCTTTGACTTCATTTTTCACTAGTTTGGCAATGACATGCTTCACTGTGACCTTTTTTTTTTTTTTTTTTTTTGAGATGGAGTCTCGCTCTGTCACCCAGGCTGGAGTGCAGTGGTGCGATCTCGGCTCACTGCAAGCTCCACCTCCCGGGTTCACACCATTCTCCTGCCTCAGCCTCCCAAGTAGCTAGGACTACAGGCGTCCGCCATCACACCCGGCTAATTTTTTGTATTTTTAGTGGAGACGGGATTTCACCGTGTTAGCCATGTTGGTCTCAATCTCCCAACCTCATGATCCGCCCACCTCGGCCTCCCAAATTGCTGGGATTACAGGCGTGAGCCACCCACTGTGACCTTCTTTTTATCCACCTTGTTTGAAATTAAGAGTTTCTTTCATTTGTGGCTTGATGTCTTGTTAATTTGGAAATGCTCAGCCTCAGACATTATTTCTTTCTTTCTTTCTTTTAGAGACAGAGTCTCACTCTGTTGCTCAGTCCGGAGTACAGTGGCACCCTCATAGCTCACTGCAGCCTGGAACTCCTGGACTCAAGTGATCTTCTGACTACGGCCTCCAAAGTAGCTGGGACTATGGGACTACAGGCACAGGCCACTGCACCTAGCTAATTAAAAAAAAAAAATTAATAGAGGCAGCTCTCTTAAAAGAGAGCCTTGTTGTCCAGGCTTGTCTTGAACTCCTGGCTTCAAGCAATCCTCCTGCCTCAGCCTCCCAAAATCCTGGGATTATAGGCATGAGCCACCATGGCCAGCCACAGCCATTATTTCTTCAAATATTGGTTCTGGCTTACTCTCTCCTTTTCTTCTGGGACTGTAATTAACATATGTTAAACTTTTTCACAATGCTTCATATTTCCCTGATGTTTTTGTCTATATTTTTCATCCTATTTATTCTTCCCATGCTTCAGTGTGAACATTTCTGCTCACCTAGATTCTACTTCATTAATCCTCTTTTCTACTGTGCCTAATCTGTTGTTAAATCCGTATATTGAGCTATTGGTTTTAGTTGTTATATTTTTTAGTTCTACAACTTCTATTTGGTTCGTTTTTTTTTTTTTTTTTTTGAGACAGAGTCTCACTCTTGTCGCCCAGGCTAGAGTACAGTGGCGTGATCTCGGCTCACTGCAACCTCTGCCTCCCGGGTTCAAGTGATTCTTCTGCCTCAGCCTCCTGAGTAGCTGGGATTACAGGTGCCTGCCACCACACCCGGTTAATTTTTGTACTTTTAGTAGAGATGGGGTTTCTCCAAGTTGGCCAGGCTGGTCTCGAACTCCTGACCTCAGGTGATCCGCCTGCCTCGGCCTCCCAAAGTGCTGGGATTACAGGCATGAGCCACCGTGTCCGGCCTACTTGGTTCTTTTTATAAGTTCCAGTTTTTGAAAACTCTCCATCTTGATATCTATATGTTAAACATTAATCACAGTATTTTCAAATCCAATATTGTGGGTTATTTTTCATTATCTGGGTTTGGTTTGGTTTTTTCCTCTTGCTTTTCTTTCATTGGCTCTGTTTGATGATATGCCTGGTAATTTTCTTTCTTTCTTTCTTTCTTTCTTTTTTTGAGACGGAGTCTCGCTCTCTCGCCCACACTGGAGTGCAGTGGCGTGATCTCGGCTCACTGCAACCTCCACCTCCAGGGTTCAAGCAATTCTCTGCCTCAGCCTCCCGAGTAGCTGTGATTATAGGTGCCTGCCATCGTGCCTGGCTAATTTTTGTATTTTTAGTACAGACAGGGTTTCACCATCTTGGCCAGGCTGGTCTTAAACTCCTGGTCTCGTGATCCACCCACCTCGGCCTCCAAAAGTGCTGGGATTACAGGCGTGAGCTACCGTCCCCGGCCTATGCCTGGTAATTTTCTATTGAACATCAGATTCTGTCTTTAAAAAAATCACAGAAGCTCTGGAGGATTTTATCTTCCCACAGAAATGGTTTAATTTTCTTCTTGCTGGCAGTTAGAGTTAGGAGAGATTACTTGGTGTAAACTAGGAAATGAGAGAAACTGAGGCTGAATTTCAGACTTTGTGAGGATTGACCTTAATCCTAGGGCATAGTTTATGTTTATTTTGAGGTTGGACACATATACCTCATGATTTGGAGGCACAATGTATGTTCACCGTGATGATAAGAGAACCAAGCATGTGTGATAAGAACACAGATCACAAGATTAAATCTGGCAGGGGAATCCAGGAAGGCTTACTGGAGGAGGTACCCATAAACTGGCCTTTGTGCCAGTTAGGATTTTAGTCTGCTACATGTATCAGCAACGCATCCTAGTGGCTTAACCATTAAGGATTCATCTTTCTTGTGAAACAAGAAGCCTGGGCTGGAGCAGCCATTTGAGATGCAGTGTTTACAGGAGTCTCCAAAGAAAACCAGGGCTGTTTACAGGCCGATTTTCCTTCAATAGCTCTGAACTTCCATTTTTTTCCCATGGCATCTTGAGACTACTGAAACTTCAGCTTATTCTCTCAGCAACCACTTTTTTGGGGGGTTTTTTGGCCTCTTCCCTGTGAGCACCTCAGGATTCAGCAAACATCATGAGGGCAATAGCTGCATAGGATGCCAGGCTCTCTCCTCCTTTTGAGACGGAGTCTCGCTCTGTCACCCAGGCTGGAGTGCAGTGGCATGATCTCGGCTCACTGCAACCTCCGCCTCTCAGGTTCAAGCAATTCCCTGCCTCAGCCTCCCGAGTAGCTGGGACTACAGGCACCCGCCACCACACCCAGCTAATTTTTGTAGTTTTAGTAGAGACGGGGTTTCACTATGTTGGCCAGGCTGGTCTCGAACTCCCGACCTCAGGTGATCCAACCGCCTCGGCCTCCCGAAGTGCTGGGATTACAGGTGTGAGCCACTGCACCCGGCCTGCTCTCTCCTCTTTAGTCTCCTTTTCTCAGAGTTCTTCAACCCCAGGAGCCTTGGGAGCCATGAACTCCAGTGGTTGTCTCTCCAGCTCTAGGAAGCTGCAGAAGCTGCGATGCTCCACATTGGAACACACCCTGAGGTGGAAAGCGATGGAGGTCTGTCTGACTTTATCATGTTCCCCTTTCTAGGGTCTTGACCCCCCCAATTGCAATTTACGCTACAAAGCTCTCCGATCAATTTTTCTTTCTTTCTTTCTTTCTTTCTTTTTTGAGATGGAGTCTCGCCTTGTTGCCCAGGCTGAAGTGCAGAGGTACAATCTCAGCTCACTGCAACCTCCGCTTCCCTAGTTCAAGTGATTCTCCTGCCTCAGTCTCTTGAGTAGCTGGGATTACAGGCGTCTGCCACTACGCCTGGCTAATTTTTTGTATTTTTAGTAGAGACGGGGTTTCGCCATGTTGGCCAGGCTGGTCTTGAACGCCTGACCTCAGGTGATCCACCCACCTCGGCCTCCCCAAGTGCTGGGATTACAAGCGTGAGCCACCATGCCCGGCCACCAATCGATTTCATTTTGCAATGTTTCCAGGCTTCATAATTGTCTTCTGCATGAGAGTTGGCTTGCTATGAGCTACTCCAGCATAGCTGGCAGCAGAAATTACGACACAATGTTGTAAATGCCTGTGCACCCGACTGGACGTCAGTGCCTCAAGGACAGGGACTGAGTTCCCTTCCCTTGGTATGGACATTGCTGCCACCAGGAAGGCTCTTCTCATCTCAAGTCTGGGTTAGGCACCCTGGTCTGCACCTGCAGCTCCACACGGTGTCCCTCACTGTAACACGCCTTCCACTAACTGCCATTGCTCTTCTACCAGTAAGCCTCCCTTCTGAACACGGGCAACCTGAGGGCAGGCAGGAGCTGTGAGCAAATGCATGCTGAACAAAGGCCGACTCGGGGCTTTACTCAGCACCAACTCCCCCAGTTCCTGAAGACCACAGGCTACTGAGAGCAAAAAGAAGCAAGCATCAGGGCAGAGAGGGCATTGAGTAACGAGGGAACCATACCAGCCTTTTAGATCCTTATGAATGACTCTCGGAAACGTCTCAGGACATCCTGGCCGGCACCCACTGGCTGCTCCAGCTTTGACAAAGCTACTCAGGAATGCCCAGGCTTAAGGGGCTCACTAACCTCACATGCAAGAGGGAGAGCTGGCAAGCTTGTACCTGTGTGTCCAGCCTCCACGTAGGCCTGCACAGACACAGGCAGGGAGCGCCTTTAGAGGACACCGTGGATGTGCCACCTGGGGACAATGGGGCCTTCTGCATCTGCAATACCATGGTAATAGGTAACATGTACTCGGCACTTTGTCACTCATTCTGCTCAAGTAATCTCATTGGCATCTCCTGGGTGTTGGCAAAATGATTCTCTCTGAGTTACACATAGGAGAATGAGGCCCAGAGAGTGTCATGACTGGCCACATATAAATTGGTAGAGCTGGGTTGGACCTAGGCAGCCTGACTCCAAGCCCGTAGGCATGGCCACCAGGTTTTGCCACCTCCTAGTGCGCCTGCAGAAAAGGTTCTGAAGTCCTCCTATCTGGGGCTGCATTTCTGAAAATGTCAGCTCTTGGTTTGTGGCTCTGAGCCACCCCTGCTAACAGCCCCCTCACTGATCTCTTTGCTGCCAGCTCCCCGCCCCTCAATTTCCGCCACACTGCCGCTGGAATCTCACCAAGCCACTCCTCGGTGTGGTCAGGGGCTCTCAACATGGAATCAGCCTGAGCTGCTTCTTCTTTTTCTTTGAGACAAGATCTCACTCTGTTGCCCAAGCTGGAATACAGTGGCGCGATCTCAGCTCACTACAACCTCCGCCTCCTAGGCTCAAGCGATCCTCCTGCCTCAGCCTCCTCAGTATCTGGGACCACAGGCACAGGCTACTATGCCAGGCTATTTTTCTTTTTTTGTATTTTGGTAGAGATGAGGTTTCATTATGGTGCCCAGGCTGGTCTCAAACTCCTGAACTCAAGCAATCTACCCACCTTGGCTTCCCAAAGTTCTGGGATTACAATCTGAGTTTTCTCTGTTGTTGTTGTTATTGTTTTTTGAGACAGAGTTTTGCTCTTGTTGCCCAGGCTGGAGTGCAGTGGCACGATCTTGGCTCACCATAACCTCCGCCTCCCGAGTTCAGGTGATTCTCCTGCTTCAGTCTCGTGAGTACCTGGGATTACAGGCATGCACCACCACGCCCAGCTAATTTTGTATTTTTAGTAGAGACGGGGTTTCTCCATGTTGGTCAGGCTGGTCACGAACTCCTGACCTCAGGTAATCCACCTGCCTCGGCCTCCCAAAGTGCCGGGATTACAGGCGTGAGCCACTGTGCCCGGCCACAACCCGAGCTTCTTAAGGCCTTCACGATCAAGCTCATTATTTATCCCCCATTATAATCACCACCTCCTCATGGCAACACACACATGCATGCCTGCACACCCTCATACACCTATGTGTATGCACACATAGACACGTGTGTGCATACGTGACTACGTGTTGTGTGTGCACATGTATAGGTGCAGGTGGGCACATGGGCACACACAACCATACACAGAAATGTTACATCCCTCTGACCAGAGTGAACCACCTCCTGTTTCCATGGAGCCTGCACTTCCCCACCCACTGCCTCGCTGTGGGCTCTCCCCGCACCTGTTGCCTGCTGGGTTCCTACCCAGCTAAAAAGATGAGGCAGACACTGCCCAGTGCCCTCCCAATATCCTTACTAAGCTCTGACTTTGTTCTGCCATGCTCAGGTCAAAAATCTCTTTTGCCGTAAGGAGTGGCCTTGGGGCCTAGCTCAAAAGCCCACCAACTCAGCCAGTGTGAGCCTGGCTGACTTTTTGCTTTTCAACCCTTACCCTTTCCTCCTTCCCTCCTGGGCTGTAAGCCCAAAGCCTAGAAATAGAGCTGCCATGTCGCAGCATGAGGACAAGCACCACGCTCTACAGAGGGTAGAGTGGGAAGCTGGAAGGAGCCGCATCCTTCACAGCCTTCTCGAGTGGCTGCTGCGGCCCTGGACTGCCTCCCTCCAGGCTTCTTGCTTTGTGAGAACAGTAAGTCTCTAATGGGCAAGCCGCTATGGATAGTTGCTGGCATATGTAGCTGGCTGAAATCCTAATTGGCAGAAAGACCAGTTCACAGGACACCTCCCCCAGTAAGCCTTCCTGGATTCCCCTGCCAGATTTATCTGGTGCTCTGTATTCTTATCACACATGGTGAATTATGTCATCATCGCAGTTAATGTACATTGTGACTCCAGATCATTAGATTCACCTGTCCTTCACTCACAATCAAATGTAAATTTCCTAGGACAGGTCCATCTCACTTGCCCAGCTATCCCACATACGTCTTAGCCTAGTGCCTGCCAAGATGTCTCTGTACAATGTTGAAGACAGAACAGAGGCATCACTCATGGAGCCCGGGTTCACGTCCTGGCCACCATGACCCAGCTCTGTGATGCTGAGTTACCTGTGTAAGCTGCTGTTTCTCCATCTATAAAACTACAACCATTCATCTCCTAGGTATTGCAATGTTCAAATGAGTTCATCCATATGAATAAGATTTGGAGACAGAAAAGCTGCACTGTACAAAATGGAAATTATCATCAACGTCACTGTCTGGTAAGGGCTGCTGAATCAGAGCCTTGTCATTCACTTAGGACCACAAATAGCAACACACACACACACACGATACACACACACAAACCACACACACAGGCATGGACAAATCTCTTAAGCCAAAGCAACTTGAACTTCCCTTGGAGGCCACCCAAACCAACCTTAACCACAAGATAGTTCAAGCTTGATGACATGGTGCTGATTTGAGAACTAGTTGGACTTCTATATGTTGTTTTCTTTGGACCACATGTGGTGTCATCACTGTATATTTTAGCATGTGGAGTCCCTGCTCCCTCACACTGAGACACAGGGGAGGCCTTTATATGGCTTCACAAGTGAGAGAGCTGGACATAAAAAAAATCTTTCCAGCCAGGCATGGTGGCTCACCCCTGTAATCCCAGCACTTTGGGAGGCTGAGGCGGGTGGATCACGAGGTCAAGAGTTGGAGACCAGCTTGGCCAACATGGTGAAACCCAGTCTCTACTAAAAATACAAAAATTAGCGGGCATGGTGGTGTGCGCCTGTAATCCCAGCTACCGGGAGGCTGAGGCAAGAGAATTGCTTGAACCTGGGAGGAGGAGGTTGCAGTGAGCTGAGATTGAGCCACTGCACTCCAGCCTGGGAGACAGAGCAAGACGCAGTCTCAGAACAAAACAAAAAACAAAAGAAAACAAAAACCCTTCCAACCAAGGCTGTCTAACTTGAGGTTTGGAGAGACACCCTGGCCCCTCCCAGTGCCTGCAGCAAGCAGAAAGCCCCTACTCCAGGCCTGCAACCGGGCCTGGCAGGGGCAAGAAAACCCAGCCTGGCTCAGGGCTGGCTCGAGGTAGGCAACCAGGGGGCTGAACCCAGGGTCAGAGGGTCCCAGGCCTCTCTCCCTCATGGTTCAGAAACAGTACCCAGGTTGCTCGTTCATTCAACAGACATTGCATGAGCACCAACTGGGTGTCAGGCCCTGGGCTCAGCTCAGGGAGTACAGGCTAGGGAAGGAATAGAAAAGAGACAAACATCTTCTGGGCACCCTCCTTGGGCCGTGCACTGTATTGGATAATTTCAAGAATTTCAGGCCGGGCGCGGTGGCTCACGCCTGTAATCCCAGCACTTTGGGAGGCCGAGGCGAGCAGATCACAAAGTCAGGAGATTGAGACCATCCTGGCTAACACAATGAAACCCTGTCTCTACTAAAAATACAAAAAATTAGCCCGGCGTGGTGGTGGGCGACTGTAGTCCCAGCTACTTGGGAGGCTGAGGCAGGAGAATGGCGTGAGCCCGGGAAGCAGAGCTTGCAGTGAGCCAAGATCACGCCACTGCAATCCAGCCTGGGTGACAGAGAGAGACTCCGTCTCAAAAACACAAGAACAAAAAAAAGAATTTCATTCAATTCCTGCACTGTAATCCCAGCTACTCGGGAGGCTACCCTTTGAGGCATTTGCTTATTTTAAATAGGTGTGAACAACTTTACCGGCTTAAGATACAAATAACATCGATTTTAAATATTAAAATTACTCTTACTGGAGCCTCCCAGATCAGCAGGAAGGCCACCCTATCTCTCTCTGTCTTTCTCTTTCTCTGTTTCTCTCTCTCTTCCCTTCCTTCCTGCCTTCCTCTCTCTCTCACTTTCCCTCCTTCTTGCCTCCTGTTTAGAGAGAGGAGAAGCTCAGAGCGGCCTTTTTGTGGGCCTGGGTTTCGCCTGCCAATGCTCTGCCACACACCTACCATATGGTCGGGTGCCACCCTTGCTCAGAGGTGTGATCCTGCACATCTGGCCCGGCAGCAGCTTCTTGTGAATGCGGTTGGGGGTTGGGCAAAGAAGGTCATCCCCAGGGCCACAGCCATACCACAGGGCTGGGCTCGCTCCCTTTAACAATGAGGGTTAGCCTGAGGCCCTGCACAGACCACAGTTACTCTTCAGGGCATGTAACTCAGCACCATACACCTTGCCAGGGTGAGTAGGAGTCAGGCCCCACCTCTCTCCACATCCACTTTGTTCCTCTCATGCCCTGACATGCTCATTAGCAGGAAATCCAACATCTCCATCTTAGGGCCTCTGCCCTCCTTGACTGTCGCAGAACAAACAACAGGTGCTGTGTTCTAGGGGCCAGTTCCCATTTGGGTCTGAATTTCCCAACAGCAAATGCACGGAGAGACAGCTGGGGTGTTCCTATTACTCCCAATAAAAAAGAGAAAATGGGACTAAGAGGGACGAAGCGACCAGATAAGCCACACGGCTGGGAAGCAGCAAGACCAAGAGGCAAGCCTGGGTCTGCCAGACTCCAAGTGGGGACTCTCTCCTACTTCACTGCTGTCCCAGTGTGGGGTCCCACCTATCAGAGCTGAGACAAGAGACAACTACTACTTTGTCTTGGAGATGACACTAGTACTGTCAGGACAGTGGGAAGGTGTGACAGGGACAGGGGTGAGAGAAGTAAAGGGTGCCCTAATGTGCAGGTGATCTCTGTGGACAACAGGGGACAACCAGGGCTCAAACCCACAGGCACTCAGGGAGTGTAGACTACACATAGAATGGCCTCACTGAAGGCCGAGGGAGCTGGGGCATTTATCCACCAACTTCTGTCCCTCACTGGTTGAGGGCGCTTCTGGGGGAGTGTGAACCGCTCAGGACTTCCTGCATGCCCTGCCCCAGGGCCTGCCAGCTTCTGCAGCTAGAAAAGGCCTCAGGTGGCCGGGCGCAGTGGCTCACACCTGTAATCCCAGCACTTTGGGAGGCCAAGGCAGGCGGATCACCTGAAGTCAGGCGTTTGAGACCAGCCTGACCAATATGATGAAACCCCATCTCTATTAAAAGTACAAAAATTAGCCGGGCGTGGTGGCATGTGCCTGTAGTCCCAGCTACTCAGGAGGCTGAGACAGGGGAATCGCTTGAACCCAGGAAGCGGAGGTTGCAGTGAGACAAGATTGCGCCATTGCACTCCAGCCTGGGCAACAAGAGTGAAACTCTGTCTCAAAAAAAAAGAAAAGGCCCCAGGCAGAGACAACCCTGCAATAACCTCCTAATCGCCTTCCATCAGGGTACAGGAAGGGCCAAGCAGTGGGAAATCCAGGAGCAGACACTGGTGTTGGGCATGAGAGTGGCATGATTCAGGAGGATGTGTACAGGCAGCTGCTAGCCAGGCACAGGGCTGGCCATAGAGCAGGACTCTTTAGGGGACGGCAAGGGGGCAACCTGGGGGCAAAACTCCAGGCTCAGAGAGGATTTGAGGGATCTGGGTGGAGCCAGCTGGATGGCAGGAGTCGGGAGGGCTGTGTTTTTTCCTGGCCAGGAGACCCGGTGGGTGGGGTGCATTGGAGCAGAGAAGGATGGGCTGTGGGGCCTTGACCAAGCCGAGCACAGATCATGTCCCAAGGGCAGAGCCAGGAGAATCCAGGGCAAGTCCTGAGTGCTAGGATGAGACCCCATATTGGTTAAGACATTTCTCCAAAGAAGATGTGCGAGTGGCCAAAAAACACAAAAAAGATGCTCAGCATCATTAGTCATCAGGGAAATGCAAACCAAATCCACAGTGAGATGCCAGGTCGGGCCCATTAGGAAGGCTACTATCAAAGGAGAAAAGTGAGTGCTGGCTAGGATGTAGGGAAACTGGAATCTCTGCCAGGCCAAGTGGCTCACGCCTGTAATTCCAGAACCTTGGGAGGCTGAGGTGGGTAGATCCCTTGAGCTGAGGAGTTCAAGACCAGCCTGGGCAACATGGTGAGACCCCATCTCTACTAAAAATACAAAAAAGATAGCTGGCCGTAGTGATGCACACCTGTGGTCCCAGCTACTCAGGAGGCTGAGTTGAGAGGCCTGCTTGAGCCTCAGAGGTCGAGGCTGCAGTGAGCTGTGATTGCACCACTGCGCTTGAGCCTGGGTGACAGAGCGAGACCCTGTCTCAAAAAAGAGAAAGAAATTCGAATCTTTGTGCACTGTTGCAGGGAGTGGCAGGTGGTGTGGCTGCTGTGGAAAGCAGTACGGTGGTTCCTCAAAAACTCAAAATAGAACTACCATATGATCCAGCAACCCCGCTTCTTGGTTCATATCCCACAAAACTGAAAAAGGGACTCTCACAGATATTTGCACACCCATGTTCATGGCAGCATAATTCACAATAGCGCAAAGGTGGAAGCAACCCAGGTTTCCATCTACAGATGAATGGATCAACAAAATGTAGAATATATCAAACAAAACATGATTCAGCCTTAAAAAGTATGAAAATTCTGTCCACGCTACCACATGAATGAACCTTGAGGACATTATGCTTTTGAATTAAGCCGGCTAGGAAAGGACAGATGCTGTATGAGTCCACTCACATGAGGTGCCTGGAGGAGTCACATTCTTGGAGACAGAAAGCAGAACAGTGGGTGCCAGGGACTGTGGAGAGGAAGGAAGGGGAGTTAGTGTTTAAAGTGGGGATGGAGTTTCAGTTTGGGAAGATGAAATCGTTCTGGAAATGGATGGTGGCGATGTGCGTACAACACCAGGAATGTACTTAATGCCACTGAAATGTACACCTAAAAATGATGAAGATGGTAAATTTTACGTTACACATATTTTACCACAGTTAAAACAACAACTGTAATTGTTTTATTATTTTTCACAATCCCTGTGGGTGATGAGTTTGGGAAGGGCTTGGTTGGGGATTCTGGTTGGTTCTGGATGGTTCTGGGTGGTTTTGGCTTGAGGTCTTTCATCACACTCTTACCTCCTTGAAGGCAGGAACCAAGTCATAGTTATCTAACTGACTAACTGGCTCTTCCAGCCTGGGGGGCCTCTGGGAGCACTCAGACCCTGGACAGCCAGGCAGCAGAGGGGTTCAGGAGCCCAAGGCCCACTGCCAAGAAGGAAGTGCCAAACAATAGCCCCCAAGAGGCCTGCCACTCTCACAGCCAGATTTGCACTTCCAGGGACAAAGGAGATTTCCTCTGTAGGAAATGATACCTGAGGGAGGGCTTCCTGCGGGAGCAAGCCAAGAAGGGGCTGGGGAGGAGGAGAGCAGCGGGGAAGTGAGCTCTGGATACTCACGTCCCTGGTTCTGGGCACAAAGCCAGCCCACAGGCCACTAAGGGCCTGGCATATTCTACATGAGTCAGGCTCTGAGCCTGGAGGTCAGCGGCCAGGGGATTAGGGTCATGAAAACACTCCTTTAAACCCCGGCTCCCCGTGTACCCGCTGTGTGACATACAGCCCTCTCTGTAAAAGGGGGACAATGATGAATTCAGTGTTCACTGGGCATCTAGGCACTGAGGATAGGATTGCAAGACCCAGACCCAGGCTTGCCCTCAGGTACTTCACTGCCTTCCTAGGGAAAACCAACAAAAATAAACCAGCAGAGGCAAATAAAAACAAAACACCATGAAATCCGAGTGTGGGGTATTTGAAGGTGTTGATTCATCTCACCCCCTCACCTCTGCAATTGGAATTAATTAGGAAACAGAATCAGCAGGTGGTAAGGGCTGAAGTGTCAGCTCCGTGCTGGAAATGTGAAGCTGCTGGAGTTGTTCTGACTCATAACCAGATGGGCTCTTGCTCCTTCCTCCTGAATTAAACATAACCATCCCAGGAAGGGGCCGAGCAGGGCCAAACAGGGGCGGTGCCCACTAGGGGAGAGCTGGCCACGGGGAGCCATCCCAAGGGCCACAGGCAGGCTGGGCTTCCCGGACTCCTCAGACTCCCTCTCCCCAGGGAGTGACGGGGAGGGACCAGTGCTGTTCTGCCCCCACCCGTGGAGTCAGCCTGCCTCCAAGGAAACCCGAGGAGGGGGCAGAGGCGTCCCTATGGCAGTAACAAATGTCCTGAAGGACCCAAATAGAGGCTGAGATCTAGAGTGACGGGCTAGGGCAGGTGGTAACCAAGCCAGGAATGGGACGAGATGCCAGAACCAGCAGGTGGGTGGGTTTCTGGGTGTGTGTGTGTGTGGAGGGGTCTTTTCCAGAAAGATGGACTGCCAAGTGCACAGACAGAGGAGGAGACCCTGGTGAAGTCCCGGCCCAGAGCTCATCTCCATTGCGAGGGGCCTCAGGAAAGGGCGCCTTCCCAGCCGCTTCCCTGTCACCCTCTGCTTGGAGCTTGGAGCCAGGCCAAGGGGGAGGCCAGGAAGAGGAGTGCAGGGGAAACGGGGAGAAGGGGGGAAGACTGAGAACTACTTACTCAGGACCAGTCAGAGGGAGGGAGGGGAAGATGAAGGCTGGAAGCAGAGGGGCAAACGGTGGAGGCTCCACAGGTGGGGGTGAAGCTGGGGTGGAAGATGCGCCTGTCCCCAGGAGCTCTTGGTCTTGCTGCCAACTGACTGGGTGTAGTCGGTGGCTCACTCCGGGAATCCCAGCACTTTGGGAGGCTGAGGCGAGTGGGTCACGGGAGGTCAGGAGTTCGAGACCAGCCTGGTCATCACGGCCCCATCTCTACAAAAAAATACAAAAATTAGCTGGGCATGATGGTGCACGCCTGTAGTCCCAGCCACTTAGGAGGCTGAGGCACGAGAATCATTTGAACCTGCGAGGTGGGCAACAGAGCAAGACTCTTTCTCAAAAAAAAAAAAAAGAGGGAGCACGGGTAGCTGTGGAGTGATGGGTGGGCTCTTTGTAGGGCCCTCCCATCTCTGCAGTTGCAGAGCAGCCAGCTGTCCTCCCAGGTGAGGTGGGGTCCGATCATTGTCCCCATGTGTAACAGTCTGAATTGTGTCCCCCAGGAGATCTGTTCAAGTCCTAACCCCTTGGTTCCTGTAAATGTGACCTTATTTGGAAAAAGGTCTTTGCAGATGCAAGTGAAGGATCTTGAGCTGACATCATCCTGGCTTTAGGGTGAGCCTTAAATCCAATGATCGGCGTCCATATAAGAAGTGGGAAGACAGAGAGGGAAAGCCATGTGAAGGTGGAGGCAGGACAAGCCAAGGAATGCCAGGAGCTGCCAGGAGCCACCAGGAGCAGGAAGAAGTGGGGAGGATCCTGCCCCAGAGCCTTTGGCGGCAGCGGCCCTGCCGGCACCTGGACATTTGGCCTCCAGAACTGGAAGAATAAATTTCTGTTGTTTGAAGACACCCTGTTGGTGGTCATTTGTTACAAGAGCTTTGAAAACAAATATACCACAATAGCCCTTCCACGATCCTGCAAGCCTGCAAGCAGGTGACAGAAACGTAGGTCTCCTTGGCACCCCCATCCCATGGAGCTTGGCCAGCCACGGGGGCAGCATGTGGGAGGAGGCAAGGCAAACATATTCTAAAGGTGGCGCTCACCCTGGCTGGGCTGGAGGCTGATGAAGCTTCAGCCTGTGCTCCTGAGACAGCGGAGGCTCTCCCGGGCCCAGAGACCTGCAGACCTCAAGGGGAAGCAATCTCAGCGAAAGTGCTGCCTGCGGTCCGCGGTCAGGCAAGGAGGAAGTGGTGAGCGCGGCAGGAGCTCAAGGCCGGGACATGGGGGTGTGCCCAGCGAAGCGAACAGCAAAGGTGAATTTGCCGGGATGCTGATAAAGCTTACGTTTCTGCGCCCCCTCTAAAGCCCTGTACCTGCTTTTGTAGTTTTTTCTGGAAGGGGATGCCCCTCAGTTGTATCAGCATCGGATCCCACAAACCCTGGATCCCTCCCTGCTAACACCAGGGCCACAAGAGCACATCGCGCATGCAGAGCCAATTGTGTTGATGTTTTCTCAGGTTTTCTGTTGTCTGACCATCCAGCCAACCAGTTTTTTTATGCAGTCGTTCATCCAGCCCTCTACACAGCCAACCAATCTCCATGATTGAGTCTCTGCCACGGGACATACTCCCTGCTCTCAAGAGACTCATGCTTCGAGGCGGGGGAAAGGGGGCATAAATAAGAAGCAATTAAACTGGCTCTGCCATGAGGAGTGGGGGCAAGAGGTGAGCTGAAGGGAAGAACAGTGGAGGGAATGATTGCCTCAATCTGGAGGTCAGAACCGCCCTACCACGGAGATGACCTGAGTTTTGAAGGATGCGTAGAAGTCACCATCAGACAAGAGGGAGGGCAGCTCAGGCAGGGGAACAGCAGGGGCAAAGGTGTGGGACAGCACTGGGCACTTGGGGACTCACTGTGACTCAGCCTGTGACTCAGCCCTCCTGTGGCACCAGGGCTGCTGGATGGAAAGGGAAGAGCAGGGAAGGCCAGAGCCAGGCAGTGGGGAGCGAGGGCAGGAGGGGAGATGGGAAAGAGGGCCTCACGGAGTGTGCTGGTTTCCTGTGGCTGCCGTAACAAAGCACCATACACATGCGGGCTGAAAACAGCAGAAATGTATTGTTTTAGAGTTCTGGAGACTGAAGCCTGAAATCAAGGTGTTGCAGGGCCAGGCTCTAAGGGCAGAACCTTCCTGCCTCTTCCAGCTTCTGGTTTCAATCTTCAGCGTTCCTTGGCTTTCAGCTGCCCCACTCCAATCTCTGCCTCCAGTGTGGTGTTCCTGTGGGTCTCTCGTACCTCTTCTTATAAAGACACTCAGATAAGTTTAGGCCCCCCAATTGAGCCTAACGCGATTGCATCTACAAAGACCCTATTTCCAAATAAGGTCCTATTCACGGTTACTGGGAGCTGGAGCTTCAACAGATCTTTTGGGAAGACACAATTCAACTCACGACAGGGAGGAAGAATTGCGAGTACTTGCTACTGCTGTGATGCCGTGGAGTGAGCAGAAAGGTGAGGAGTTCCTGGGTTTAGGAGGAAGTTGGGATCCACACATGCTGACGTGGATGGCCCTGGTCAGGAGCTGAGGCCTCTAAGATGAGCTGGGCATGGTCGGTGGCTTACAGGGGCTCCTGGTCAAGCAGGGAGGCAGGAAGGAGCCCAGCCCTGCCAGGCACAGAGATGAGCATGTCTTGGGGACACAGGGCAGGGGCAGAAGTGGCCTGAGGGGGCAGCGCAGGCCCCAGAGAAGTACCTGTAGACTCGAGCCAAAAATGCTGTCATCGTCTCTGACTGATGGCTCCCGGGTGTGCCCATCCAGCCTGGCCTCTCCTGAGCACCTGGCTCCCGTGTGTATCCACCAGCTCAGTCCTCTCTGTCCCATCAAGCTCCGCACACCCTCAGCCAAATCCACCAGCCTCGCTTTCCAAAACAGCTCTTCCTGTCTTCCACCCTGGCCTCTTCAAGAAGGGCCCTCCCCGAAGTCCCTCAACCTGCCCTTGAGGGTGGCCTTCCCACAACTCCCCCAGCCTCCGCCTCCACCTAAGCCTTACTTTCACTTGTTCCCAGGGTCACCCAAAGCTTCCAAGGATTTAGGCAGCAAGTAAAAGAAAACAATCCTTGGTCTGGGCGTGGTGGCTCACGCCTGTAATCCCAGCACTTTTGGAGGCCGAGGCGGGTGGATCACGAGGTCAGGAGATCGAGACCATCCTGGCTAACATGGTGAAACCCCATCTCTACTAAAAATACAAAAAAATTAGCCGGGCGTCGTGGCGGGCGCCTGTAGTCCCAGCTACTCTGGAGGCTGAGGCAGGAGAATAGCGTGAATCCGGGAGGCGGAGCTTGCAGTGAGCCAAGATGGCACTGCACTCCAGCCTGGGTGACAGAGCAAGACTCCATCTCAAAAAAAAAAAGAAAACAATCCTTCCCAGCCAGTCTGCCTCTGCCCGGCCTCCAGCAAGCTCCAAGCTGGTGCGTGTTTTCTCAACTTTCTTTAAAACAAAGGTATAGTTATCCTTTGATATCTGTGGGGGGATTGATTCCAGGACCCCCACAGATACTAAAATCCAAGGATGTTCAAGTTGCTTACATAAATTGGAGTATTACTTGCATACAACCTATGCACATTCTCCCGTACACTTCAAATCATCTCTAGATTACTTATAATACCTAATATAATGAAAATGCTATGGAAATAGTTGTTATACTGTATTTTGAAATTGTGTATTATTTTTATTGTTTTATTGTTATTTTTCATTGTGGATTTTTTTCCCCCAAATATTTTCAATCCACAGTTGGTAGAACCCAACCCACAAATCCCCGCAGATATGGAGGGCCAACAGTAATCGCCGTACCTCCTCCTAAGTTTGTTACAAAGAGTAAGTGAGAAAATACATATGAAGGATTTGGCACAGTTCCTACCAGATGTTATCACTGTTATTATAAGAACAAAAGGAGACCCATGGAAACTCAAGACCCAGAGGGTTAAATTTATTGGGGCCTTTGATGGAACTATTCACAAATCTTTGGCCGGATGTAGTGGATCATGCCTATAATCCCACAAGTTTGGGATACAAAAGCAGGAGGATGGCTTGAGCTCAGGAGTTTGAGGCCAGGCAACATGCCAAAACCCTGTCTCTACAAAAAATTAAAAATTAGCCGGGCATGATAGTGCACGCCTATAGTCCCAGCTACTAGGGAGGCTGAGGCAGGAGGATGGCTTGAGCCCAGGAGGTCGAGGCTGCAGTGAGCCATGTTTGCACCACTGCACTCCAGCCTGGGTGACAGGGGAAGACCCTGTCTCAAAAAAAGCAAAAAAAATATATATATATATACACACAATGTTTTGCCTTGGGGAAGGTAAACTTCTAAAAGATTGTTGGACTTGAAAATGGAAGCATAGATATAAACTAACTGGGCCGTTTTTTCTATGGAGAGCTCCTCCCCTATGGACGGTCTAAATTTCCTATTACTGAAATCTACCATGCCCACTCACTCAAACCTAGTCCCCCCTTTTTCTTCATTGTGTCATCATCTCAGTCACATTGGGGCAGAAAAATGCACACTTTAAAGGGATTTCACATGTGCCCAATGTTTATTCTTATGTCACTTAAATGTCGCCTCTGCTATGTACAAAAGCCTGGTTGAGATGAGCACTTAGAACGGGCAACATTTGGAGGGTTTGGCCTCACAGATGGTCAACACTCTGGGTTGGCAAATTCCAGTCTGGCTTTCTTTGCTGTTGTCACGGAGTTGCTGTTGCCATGGCATTTGTGTGTGTGAGGGAGACGATCCTGCATCTCGTCAGCTTCTGGAACACTCACCCAGAGCCTCGGAACAAGGTGGTGGGAAGACTGTCTGCAGAGAGAATAAAGGAGCGTGGGAAGGAGTCGTTCTGGGCTCTCGCACCCTGTGTTAATAGCAGCTGGGGAAGAGGAAGGGGTGCCTCTGTCATCTCTAAACCAGAAGAGATGGATTGAGGCATCGTGCAAATGTGGACAAGGGTGACGGCAAGGCATGCTGGGGTCTCAGCAGCACAGGCCAGTGAGGCAGGGGATGTCAGATGGAGGGCCTTCTACTGGCTTTGTGCCTGCCCCTCCCCTGCATCAGCCAGCTCCCCATTCAACAGCCCAGGTCACATTTTGAAAAGATAAATTGCATCATTCCACTGTTCAAAACGCCTCGGTGGCCTCCAGTCACCCTCAAAATAGAATCTGAGCTCCCTTCTTGGCCTACAGAGCACCACGTGATCTGAACTCCACTTCTGAGCTTTCCTTGATTCTTTCCTCTGGCTTCCCTCATGGCCCTCCACCGCGGTGGAGCTTCCTTCTGCTGTCCCTCACATTTGGCAGGTTCATTTCCTCCTCAGGGCCTTTGCACGGGCAGTTTCTTTCTGGAAGGCTATTTGTTCAGGTTTTCACAGGAGGGCTTCTCCTTGTCATTCAGATCTCAGGTCCAATGTCACCTCTCAGAGAGCGCCTCACCCCATGTGAAATGCACAAGTACAGATCACGCCTCAGACCCACTACATTTTCTTCATGTCACTCAGAGCTATGATCTGTTACTTGTTTGTTGCCTGTCTCTCCTAATAGAACAAAAGCCCAGTGAGGGCAGAGGTTTGCCTGTTTCCCAAGAACCTAAATCAGTGTATGGCACATAGAGAAGCCAGCATTTGTTGATGGATTCTGAATGAATAAGTGACCAGCAGCATTGGAACCCATGGTCTCCTTTCCTCAAAGCCAGTGCCCTTAACCCTGGAATAAATGAGGTGCAAAGCCTGGGAAGGCACTTCTCAGCCCCCTGAGGAGGGGCAGACAATACCACAGAAGTCCTCAGCCACAGACACCATTCCAAGGAGACTCTATTTCTAAGGATCGGTTCTTTGATGGTTAGTTGGTTAAAAACATCACACTGTGTCAAATGAAAAGAGACTCATCTAGAATCCTGCTATGGTCTGAATGTGTCCCCCCGAAAGCATGTGTTGGAAACTTAATCCTCGAGGCAACAGTTTTGGGAGGTGGGGCCTAATGGGAGGTGTTTCGGTTACAAAGGCTCTATTCTCATTAATAGATCAATGCCAGATCTAAAAGGACTTGAGGCTGTGAGTTCCATCTCTTGTTCTCTCTCACCCTCTTGCCTTCCACCATGGGGTGATACAAGAATGCCCTCGACAGATGCTAGCACTTTGATACTGGATTTCCCACCCTCCAAAGCTGAAAAATAAATTTCTTTCCTTTATAAATTATGCAGTCTGTGGTATTCTGTTATAGCCACATAAAATGGATTATGACAAATCCTGATCTTGTTCTTGACAGTAGATCCCAAATTGTAAGCTTCTCCCCGTAACAGACCATCAGATGGTCTGTTATTCCTGAGATCTGATCCTTGTCATTCAGATCTCAGGTCCAATGTCACCATCCCCATCGCTTCCTCATTATATGCCCAGCAAATGTGTAACTTGGTGCCTGACTGCACCTGCTCCTGTTCCCCTGTCACGCTTCTCCACTGCCCAGACTTTGGAGCTTAGGTTCTGGCCATGTCTCATGTCAACACTAGGCTGCCTGGACCCTGGAGAGCTGGGGCATCCTGTAGACAGAACCCCAAATCTACAGAAGCTGGTCTGTTTACACTGGGGGTGCTCAAACGAGGGCTGGGATCCAGGAAGCTGTACTTTAACATGCAACCCAGATGCCTCATTCAGGTGAGCAAAACTGCCATCGCCCCAAGCAGCACCACTCACCTGCTGGCCACAGAAAAGCTTAGAAAGTGGATGGGGTTCCAAGCAGAGGACCAGCTTCCCAGAAACTGATAATGGAAAACAGAAAGTACAAAACCATGCCAGGGGAGGAGAGGGTGGAGGTGTCTGCTCAGATCCAAGGATTGGATGCGGAGTGGAAAATTCCAGAAAAGGGGAGATGAGGTGGCAGAAAGGGTGGGGCAAGGAAGGAAGAGAGGGTCCAGGATGGAGCTGTCTGTACTGGATAGGAGTGTCTCAGCTAAAGCTATGCACCAGGAAGACGTAAATTCTCATGCTTAGAGGTGTACCCATTTCTTCCATGCCTCCGGTTTACCAGCTGCCATGCTAATTCCTTCACCTGTGTCGTCTCATTCAACCCTTGCATCACTGCTGAGAGATCAGTGTTATTGCTAATCCTATCTACTAGACAGGAAAACTGAAGAGCAGAGGGTAAACAATATGTCTAAGGGTTCCTAAGGGAGTAAATGTGAGAGTCAAGATTCCACTCCACGTCCATCCGATTTACAAATTCATGCAATTCACAGGTTTTCTTCTCACTCCCCATCCCAACAAATAATGCCACCAGGAGACAAGAATGAACAAGACAAGATTCCCACCTTCAAGGAATCATGGATCCAGCACTGGTGGCAGGGCACATACCCAGAAATATAGAGGACATGTGAGATTGCAGGGGCAGGACAGTGTCTGGCCTGGGCTGTGCCCTTCAGCTTCCAAGACAAAGTGCCCGTGAGGCAGATGAAGTCCACGTGCAGGTTGCTCAGGGACCGCCTCCACTCCACGGGTGCTCAGATCAAGGCCGCAGATGGCTGATTTACTCGAACAGCCTGCTGGGCTTTGCAATCTGGCTTCCCCAACATTGTGCTCGGTTCTAGAAACTGCAGCCCACAGACAGCAAGGTCACTTGGCTCATGGATGCGCTGCCCCAGCTGGACCTTGTATCCCCGGGCCGTGGGCTGCGAGACAGGGAGAGGGTCGGCGGCTCAGGGCAGCGAGCCTTGGTGGTGGCGTCACCACAGAGACACTGGGGGACACCTGGGGCAGCAGCGGTGACCTGCAGAAGGGACAGAATGGCTCCCGGGCAATCCTCGGCCCCACCACACCAGACTCACAGGTGCTTGGCTGTCTCATGATGTGAGCAGCTTGCCCTGGCTTTGAGGGGAATCTGAAGAGCCTGACCCTGGAGCTTTCTTTTGAACCTCCCGGGTTCAAGCGATTCTCCTGCCTCCACCTCCCAAGTAGCTGGGATTACAAGTGCACACCACCACGCCCAGCTAATTTTTTTTTTTTTAGTAGAGACAAGGTTTCGCCATTTGGGCCAGGCTGGCCTTGAACTCCTGACCTCAGGTGATCCACCCACCTCGGCCTCCTAAAGTGCTGGGATAGAGGCGTGAGCCACCATGCCAGCCTGGAGCTTTCTTTTTAAATACAGAACAAAATCTTGGCTGGAGGCCCTTTACTGCTGAGCTTGCATATTTATCTGTGTGTAAATCAAACCCAACAAGACCACCAGTGAAGTGTAACTGTGACATCTGACGTGAAGGAAGGACGCACTTTCCATCAACCGCTCATGCCTCCTTGTTCTTGTTGCCTCCACATGATGCGGATGACTAAACAGGTCACTGGAGCTGCCATTTAATTTGCGAGGAAAACATTAACTCCACCTTTTTACTTTTCAGCTCTAAAAGACAAGCATTTATATCCCGATTCAGATCAAATGTGTAAAAGTCTCTTCCTGGTCTCAGAATTCATTTCTTTGTTTCTCAGAGATCACAGTTATGGCCCTTCTATGTGCAGGCTTCTGTGCAAAGTGCTGGGAAGCGTTTAAATGAAGGGAAAGCAAGGAATGCTTGGATGACCTCATCATCAAATATTAATAGCAATCATGTAATGAGTTTCTATTAGGCATCATCTTTATTTCATGTAATCCTCTTAAGAACTTTATAGTAACATGCATTTGGCTGCAGATAACAGAAAACCCAACCCTCTGGCTTAACCAAGAGGAGATCATTTCTTACCTAACAAGTTCTCCAGAGATCAGCATTCCAGGACTGGTGTAGTGACTCAACAACCTTGTGAGAGACCGGACCCAGATTCTTACTGCCTTTCCATTCTGCCGTCTGTGGTGTGCTGGCTTTTGTTATCATGCTGGTTGCTTTGAGGTCACAAGATGACAACTCCATCTCCAACCCCAGCTTCATCTGATAAATAAGAACAATGTCCACAGGCACCACTAGCAGCAAAGAGATTTTGGAGGAGCATGTCAGGTGGGCACATTACCATCCCACACAAAATTAGGATGTGTTGGTAGTGAAGAAGGGGAGAATGGACCCTGGGAGAGAAACCAGCAGTTTCAGCCGAACTATACGATGGATATGATCTTCCTCTTACAAATGAAGCTCAGTGGCTGGGGGCGGTGGCTCACGCCTGTAATCCCAGCACTTTGGGAGGCCGAGGCAGGTGGATCACAAGGTCAGGAGTTCGAGACCAGCCTGGCCAATATGGTGGAACCCCGTCATTACTAAAAATACAAAAATTAGCTGGGTGTGGTGGTGGGTGCCTATAGTCCCAGCTGCTCCGGAGGCTGAGGCAGAAGAATCTCTTGAACCCGGGAGGCGGAGGTTGCAGTGAACTGAGATCGGGCTACTGCACTCCAGCCTGAGCCACAGAGCGAGACTCCATCTCAAAAAAAAAAAAAATTTTCTAGTCAGTTTCTACTACTGTCTTGAAGCTACTCTAAATGGCGTCCAGGAAATAAATATTACTGATTTAAGACTGTGCCTCTAATAAATGAATGAATATATATTTAACAACCTGCCTGCAATACTGGCCTCACAGACTTTTACATAGCTGGCTCATTCTTGTCATTCTGGGCTTTGCTCAAAAGTTATCTTTTCAAAGAGGCCTTTCCTGACCTCCACTGAGTCCCTCACCATTACAAGGTTCTATTTTGTTTTCTTATAGCACGTTGTAGTGTCTGAAATGATCTACACACTCTCCATTAGTATGTATGTAACACGTATGTATCTCCACAACCAGTTCAGTTCCTGGATCATTGTAGGCACTAATAATATTGGATGCATAAATTAATGAATTGATATGTTCTCAAATCATGGTAAGGTTTCAGAGCAGGTCAGTTGCAGAGAGATTTGCCCACTCCTTTGTGACCCCAGGAAAGTCACCTAGCACAATGCCCTAACCTAGTCTGTAAAATGAGCATAGTGATAATTATCCAGAGACGGTAGCTTGAAAGCATCTACAGAGTCCTGGCACCGGGCTCAGCCAGCCCATTCTTCCTTTACTGGGAGAAGCCGAGTCAGCTGAGCCATGGTATTGCTTCACTCTGGGGGTACCCACAGTTCCCAGCAATGGTGGAGCATCTGAAGGCACCAAGATGGGCAGTGAGGTTGACAGGGGCCATGGGATGGAATCAGTGAGGGGCTTGCCTGGGGGAGAGGGGCTGGGAGGTGAGTTGGGGCTAGGTCTCCCCAACCTGTTCCCTGTCCTCCCTCCTGGCCTTGTCTCCCTCTGCTGCTCTGTGCTTACTGGGTCCCCCGTGTTGCCAGGATCTGGGCCAGGACTGAGACACAGGAGAGCTAGGAGACTCCTGGCAAGGACAGGAAGCATGGTAGAGGCCCTGGGCCTGGCTCATCCTGGGCTGTCTTGCCCCCTGTGGGCAGCAGGCCTTCTTTGATTCAGTGCTTTGTGGTGACTCAGCGTCTCTCCATCTCCCCCCAGAGCTCCTGCTGCCATCAGCCAGCTCAGAGCTTAGGCTTACTCACAACTGGGTTTCCAACACCTCCTGCTTACTCAGGTTTTCCTCTCACTTACTCATAACCTTATCTCTCCCATGGCCGTCCTGGCTCCTGCTGCCTCAGGGCTTGCTGTGTTTCCTTTTAGCTCCAGCTCCCACCACCAACTCTGGATTCTTTCCACATCTCCCAGTCCCAGTGAATGAGACAGATCAGCTGGCCAGTTGTCCTGGCTTGGGCAGCTTCTCAGGTGCAGCCAGGTCGACAGCATGACCAGCCCACGAGCTCGTCTCTGAGGGTGAGCTGCTCACTCCACTTTGGTGGGGTCTGGGGCCATCTGCTTGAGGAGCACCTAAGATAGTTTCCCTTGGAAGGGAAGGCATTTGCGGGCCGCACCATGGATGTGTCTGGTACATCCCCTCTAACCTGCCTGATGCTGTAATCAACACCTTGATCTCCCACAAGCACCCCTTGCCTGCCCAGCCTCTCAGCACCTCTGCCCATTTGCCACCTTCTGCCTGGAGTGCGCTGCTGCTCTGCCATCCCAGCTCAGATGCCACCTCCTCAGTGGGATCCTCCCAGACCACCACAGTCAAATGGCACCTTTCCCTTCTTAGGGCCACTACATCCCTTTGTCCTGCTTCTTTGGGAGTATCTCATGACACTTTGACTTGTAATCATTTGTGTAATGGTCCCCCAAAGATGTCTGCACCCTAATCCTTCTGCCCTGTGAATATGTGTCCTTACGTGGCAAAAGGGACTTTGCAGATGTGATTAAATTATGGATCTTGAGATGGGAATATCACCCCAGAATATCTAGTGGGCCCAATATAACCAAATGGGTTTTTTGGTTTCTTTTTATTTGTTTGTTTGTTTTTGAGACGGAGTCTTGCTCTGTCACCCAGGCTGGAGTGCAGTGGCGCGATCTTGGCTCACTGCAAGCTCCGCCTCCCAGGTTCACGCCATTCTCCTGCCTCAGCCTCTGGAGTAGCTGGGACTACAGGCGGCCGCCACTATGCCTGGCTAATTTTTTTTTTTGTATGTTTAGTAGAGATGGGGTTTCACTATATTAGCCAGGATAGTCTTGATCTCCTGACCTCATGATCCACCCGCCTCGGCCTCCCAAAGTGCTGGGATTACAGATGTGAAACACTGCGCCCAGCCTGGTTTTTGTTTTTTATTGAGACAGAGTCTCGCTCTGTCGCCCAGGCTGGAGTGCAGTGGCACAATTTTGGCTCACTGGAACCTCCGCCACCTGGGTTCAATTCTCATGCCTCAGCTTCCCGAGTACCTGGGACTACAGGTGCCCACCACCACACCAGGCTAATTTTTTTGTACTTTGAGTAGAGACGAGGTTTCACCATGTTGGCCAGGCTGGTCTCGAACTCCTGACCTCAGGTGATCCACCCACCTCGGCCTCCCAAAGTACTGAAATTACAGGTGTGAACCACCACTCACGGCCTCAAAAGGGTTCTTCCAAGAGGGAGGCAAGAAGGTCAGAGTCAGAAAAGGAGGTGCAGTGACATGCAGAGGTTGGAGTGATTCATTCTGAAGGTGGAAGAAGGAGCCACGAGCCAAGGAATATGGGCAACCTCTGGGAGCTGGGGAAAGCAAGGCAACAGATTCTTGCCTGGAGCCTCTGGAAGGAACACAGCCCGGGCAACACGTTGGTTTTAGCCCATGAGACCCATATTGGACTTCTGGCCTCCAGAACTGTAGGACAAGGAATTTGAGTTGTTTTAAGCCTCTGAGTTTGTGGTAATTTGTTACAGCAGCAATGGGAAACATACAATTAGCTTATGTAGAATTGTTCCTATACTAGAATATTGGCTTCTTCAAGGAAGGGGCTGCGTCTTACACATCTTTGCACATCTTTGTACACATTTTAAAAATATCTACTGATCACATTATTCTGTTAGCTATTAACTGTATCAACCATTCATTCAGCACCCTTTTTCTACCTTGCTCTGAGCTTCTCCCACTAGAACAGTGTTGGGAGGAAACATTTTCTAGAGGACGGGAAAACATCTTCCCTGGACCATCAGCATCAGTCCATCCCTCCATACCTTTTGGTGTGTGTGTGTGTGTGTGTGTGTGTGTGTGTGTGTGTGTTTAGGGACAGGGTCTCTGTCACCCAGGCTGGAATACAATGGCACAATTATAGCTCACTGCAGCCTCAAACTCCTGGACTCAAGCAATCCACCCATGTCAGCCTCCCAAAGCACTGGCACGAGCCACCACACCTGGCCCATATTTTTATGATAGCATAAAACAATTCTTTTTACCATACAATTCTCATGTATTGTAAGGAAATTTTATAAAATTTCAAGGAATATCTTGCTTCAAGCAAGTCATTTTGGCCTCCATTTCAGGCCACGGGACAAGGTTTGAGAACTAGCCAAAAGATAAGATCTAAACTTTTGCGGCTTGCGTGCCAAGGCCATGCAATCTAAACCTGTCCCCTCCAGAGTCCTCAGTGGCCTTCCCTGACACAAAGCCTCTGCACTTGGCCTGTCCAATGCCAGGATTCTACCAACATCAAAACAGTTCCATGTTAGCAAATGTTTTCCCTCCAGCCTAGGGAGACTTTTCCAGCCCTGGGCCAGCCCTGCTCCTTCTGAAAGATTCGGCACAGTTGCCATATCCCCTAGGAAATGCCCTCCTGCAAGCAGAGGTCAATGGATGGTGGCTCCAAGCAGAGGCTGAGAATGTTGATGGTTTGAGCTATACCATCTCTATGCCAAACTGTTGCCCCATGGAGAAGCAAGAGGCCTCAGAAGAGCTCTCCCCTTCTGCTGTGGACAGTACCGAGCAGAGTTTAAGGTTGTGGCTTCTCAATATTGTCCCAGCCACATGGTGCCAGCTACAAAATTTGTGGAACTCAATGCAAAGCAAAAATGTGGCACTCCTTGGCTGGGCGCAGTGGCTCACACCTGTAATCCCAGCACTTTGGGAGGCTGAGGCAGGCAGATCACTTGAGATCAGGAGTTCAAGACCAGCCTGGCCAACACGGCAAAATCCCATCTCTACTAAAAATACAAAAATTAGCTGGGTGTGGTGGTGGGTGCCTGTAATCCCAGCTACTCAGGTGGCTGAGGCAGGAGAATTGCTTGAATCTGGGAGATGGATTCAGTGAGCTGAGATCACACCACTGCACTCCAGCCTGGGAGACAGAGTGAGATCCTGTCTCAAAATAAAAAGGAAGTGTGACACTCCAGTAGGAGGGGGAAAGGGGAAAAATGGAAACTATCTCCCCTTGCATGGTCATCACCCCAACCCATGGTGAAGGACAACCCCCAAAAGATGCACCCTCAGTACCCAGACATGTTTGGTACCTGGCTCAGAGGTAGGTGCCATGCTGCTGCCAGCCAAGGATGGGGACAGCCACTGCGGTGCCCCACCCCAGACACTGTGGGAGGCAGTGTTGCCACCACTACAGGTGAGCATAGGAAGAATGAGCTGGGCATGCCCAGGGCACCGGGACTAACACAGGGAGACAGGGAGGGGACGGGGTGGGGCCATGTGTGAGCTGAGGCTCCAAGCCCCGGTGTGTGCTCCATTTTCTTATCAGACTTTGCTTCCACAACACAGATTCAAGGATACAATTATTAAGAATTTCAAGTTGGTGACTGCAGAGGGTTAACCCCCAATCACAGGTCCCCCTTCTGAACATGAGGCCTTCTGTGACTGCAGTGGTCACATGCTCCAGAAGCCAGTCCTACAGGCACACTCTGCTCCATCTGCCAGACACAGCAGCCTGGGCCTGGCCGCCCACTTCCCGCAGACGTGGCCCTGCCCATCCGTCAGGATGGCAGCTCTGGGTCAGGCCCCAGCCAGTCTCCAGCAGTGCTCACAATAGTCTCTGGGAGGGCTTGTCCAGCACATTCTGGGCGGCCAGCATTTTCTTGGGCCATAATGGCCCCAAGAAAACAACCGAGAAGTCCAGGCCCTTGTCAGAAATACTTCTTTTTTTTTTTGTCTGTTGTTTTCCTGAGAGGGAGTCTCACTCTGTTGCCCAGGCTAGAGTACGGTGGCGTCATCTTGGCTCACTGCCACCTCTGCCTCCTGGGTTCAAGTGATTCTCATGCGTCAGCCTCCCAAGTAGCGGGGATTACAGACATGCGCCACCACGCCCAGCTAATTTTTGTATTTTTAGTAGAGATGGGGTTTCACCATGTTGGCCAGGCTGGTCTCGAACTCCTGACCTCCAGTGATCTGCTTGCCTTGGCCTCCCAAAGTGCTGAGATGACAGGCATGAGACACCACGCCCGGCCAGAAATACTTCTCTTATCCCCTACCCCATCGGCCTGATGCCATGCCACCCCACACACCAGGTCCCCAGCTGCACCCTTCACACTGACAAGAATCTCAACAGAGAGCTGTTCACGTGCCCGCAGGCCCCCTCCCCAGATGGAGAAACCAGTTCAGAGCTTCAAGGCGACACAGCTGGAGAGAGGGTGAGCTGGGCCACACCCTGAGCTGGAGCTGTCAGACCTGGAAAGCTGTGCTGCTATCGGGCCCTTCCCCCGTCTCGGCATTTGCAAGGCCAGGCCCAGCTTCCTTCCTGGATGAGCTGTTGCTATTTTCCCCCCTGCCATATGTACCTGTTCACTGAATTTACATTAACTATTCAAGAGCAAAATGAGCACGTGCTTCTGAATAGCTAGCACATCTCCATGTGCCTAAGACTGCTCTTCCGACACAGTTTCCTGTAAGGCAGGCAGCAGTCCTGGGCCCACTGCTCAGCCTTTGCCTCCCTGTCTTTGGTTAGTAGCTACATTTCCCCCCTTTCCTCTTTTGGTATGTTTCCCTGTGCTTATTAGATTTCTTCGCAGTGGCTCATGTATTTTCATGTCCAGTTAGTAATTTCTGCCTCCAGGAGGGCTGACCAGGACGGAGCCGCCCCCACACTCCCTGCAGCCTCTCGGGCCTTACCCGTCCTGCCGGTGGTCACCCTGATCTGCACTGATGGGAGGGCCAGACGAGCCCCAGAGCTCCAGGAAGCACAAACTCCTTATCTATTTCCTCCCAGCCATTGTTTTGTCTTAAAATAGGAGTACAACACTAATATATTTTGCAGGCCGGCGTGCTTGGTGGATGGAGTAAATGTTACGGAATGCACTGACAGGGGCCATGGGAGGGCTGCAGCAGTGGGAAAGACAGGGACTTCGGAGCTGTGTTACCTGGGTTCCAAACCTGGCTCTGCACCTATCAGCTGTGGGCTCCTGGGCCAGTTACCCAATCTGGGCCTCAGTGTTCTCATCTGTAAAATGGAAGTAACAGGAGTAACTACCTCATAGGGTTGCTGGGAAGTTTAAATGGGTTAAGACTGGTAAAGCAATCGCAATGGGGCCTGGCACATAGAAGTGTTATACAAGCGTTTGCTAGATAATTGACACTTTCCTCCTTCCCTTTTGCGATCTGGACCAAATGAGAAGGAAATTGGAGATCTGAAGATCAGCTTTATCACCGTTTGGGCTGAATTTGAGAAGAAGGCTTGACTCACAGCCACACTCATACACCCCCATAAGAATTCAGCATGCCTCCTGCTGCAGGCTTGCTGGGGATTGTTGTGGAAGCTCCCTGTGTCCCCCTCACCCTCCACCAAGGCTGGCAACCTGAGGACAGGGCAGGCTGGTAAGGGAAAGGGCCGATGGGGCTGAGCATGCCCAGTGCCGACGCCCAGTCTCAGGGTTCCCAGATCAGACAAGCTGGTCCCCCAAAAAGATGGCACAGGAGAGGTCAGAGCAATGCTCCCCTTCGCTCACACTTGGGAGTTTGAGAACAGTTGGGGAGCATTCCCATCTACCGAGGACTACTAACGATGGTCACGTATCAAACACCCGCTGTGAATGGCACACATGGGTCTTGTTGCTCTTCATAACAGTTCTACCAGGAAGCACCACCCTTCTAATTCTTCAGACAAAGCCATCAAGACTCACAAAAGTTAGGTGACTTGCCCAAGGTCACACACAAGGAAACAGCAGAGCTAAGATGGCTGTCTGATACTTTTTTTTTTTTTTTTTCGAGAGGGAGTCTCACTCTGTTGCCCAGGCCCACCCCCTCCTGGGTTCAAGCGATTCTCCTGCCTCAGCCTCCCAAGTAGCAGGGATTACAGGCGTGCGCCACAACGCCTGGCTAATTTTTGTATTTTTAGTAGAGACGGGGTTTCGCCATGTTGTCCAGGCTGGTCTCAAACCCCTGACCTCAGGTGATCGACCCACCTTGGCCTCCCAAGGTGCTGGGATTACAGGCGTGAGCCATGGCACCCTGCCAGCTGCCTGGAGTTCTAAGACGTGTGCTCTCCCCCACCCCACCCTAACCCTGGTTCCACGTGAGTAAAGTGCGGATTCACCATCGTTCTGGGAAGAGAAAGCAGAGTTTGGTAACAGGCAGTGAGTACTGTCCCTTTCCTGTGGGAGAGAAAACGCTCTGGGCATTGACGCTCTGTCCAGGATCGAGACACGACGTGGTGAAGGTGGTGGCGCACACCCGCCGTCTCTTCTCTTAAACGTGTCCCAGCAGCGGCTGGGGAGCGGGTGTCCTTACGGGGCTACACATGGGCTTCTAAGGGGGCGTGGCAGATGAGAGAGACAGAGACCCTACCACTGAGTCCCGCGGGCCCAGGCTCCCAGGTTCTGCCTCTGAGACCCAGGCATGACATGGCGTGACTGTCGCTGTCCTAAGGGGAGTACCAGAAAGAGCAGGAACAGAGAGTAAGGACCTCTGGAATCTCTCAGGGACACGTCGTGACTCACCAGGTGGACAGGCTCAGAGCAGGCACGCCGAGCAGTAGGGCCAGCACACAGAAGGCCTGAGAGGAGGGATCAGTCATGTGATTTGGGTGCAAGCAACAGAAACGAACTCTGGCTGACTTTAGCTCAAAAGGGATGCCTTGGACAGATGTAGATAGGTTAGCTCTCACAGTGAAAGGGAGGGCCAAGAACTAGGCTTCAGGTAGCCCAGGAACTAGGGCAGCCCTGCGTGGGTGGCCTTTGCCTGGTGGGCCTGGCTTCTTCACCTTTTCGGAGGTGATGAGGAGCCACCGAGGGTCTGAACAGGAGTTTGTGCTCTTGGAGCATGGCTTGTGGGGAGCAAGAGGCCATTCTGGGAAACTATTACCATAACACCCAACAGAAGGGAAGAAAGCCTGACCTAGAACAGCACCGATAAAGAAGGAGATCATGGGGGGATGGGCTAGAAAAGATTGAGGAGGTAGAATGGACAGGGACTGGTAGCTGATTGGAAGAAGGGAATGGGGGCAGAGAGAAGAGCTGGGGGAGGTTCTGGGTGGGGGTACAGGTTCCAGGAGCAGGAGCAGCCTGGTGGAAGAGGGGAGGCCTTCTCTTTGGGGTATGTTGAGCATGTTGAGCTTGAGACACCAGCTGGACCTCTGGGTCTGGAACTCTGGGCAGAGATGTGGCCCAAGGTCCAGATTTGGGAGCCATCAGGGCAGGGTGACCAAGGAGACTGCATGAGAATCATCAGAAGTGCAGGAAGCCCAGAAGGAGGGGAGAAAAGCTGGGCCTGGGGCCACGCCCTCATCACTCCTTGCCCCTCGAGGCCCGGCACCTCCTCAGTCCTGACCCCTGAAGCTCACACTGTGGTCTGCACAGGCCTCTGGGCTCTGCTGGCACCTGGTGAATGCTCTACTGGAGCCTAAGTGACCTCTGCTTCTTTGCTCTTCCAGGGCATGCAGCCTAGCACTCAGCCTATAGTAGGTGCTCAGTGAATACCTGTACCTGGACTTAATTGGAGGGAGACAGCAGGGTGCAGTAGGTGCTATCTGTATGCCAGAACTCATGCATCTTCAGGGATGACCTGGAGGGTGGTGTCCACAGCTGGGCACGCTTTCTGCCTCCCAACCCTTTAAGGCAAACAACTATGTTTATTTGAACAAGAAACCTCGACTTGGCATATCCGTGAACAGAAAGGGAATATAGGCTGACACATCCCTTCCAGCTCTCAAATCCTATGTTCTTTTGAGAAATACAAACAAATCCACACATTTCAGTACAGGCCACCCACTCCCACCAAAGGAGGATTCCGAAGGGTGATGAGTACACAGTGTTCTGGCTGGGTTTGAGATCAAATTCTTGCCTTACAACCCCTCATTCACCGGCACCTTGTGCCTGCCATGATCCTAACTCAGCATCCTTTGATCCCAACACCCTTGTCAAGGGTGCCTTGGCCAGGCCTGCTTCTCACAGAATGATCTGGGGCTCTGGTCTCATCTACATGAAATCTCAGCTGGTTCGTAACACCAAGTGCCTTGCAATTTGTTTGTCTTCAAAATCTGCTGGCTACTATAAGTCACTCTGTTGGAGGCAGGGAATTTTCCCAAAGCGTTGTGTTAAAACAGGCAAAATGATTTATTTGCTGAGCACCCACTGCCAGCTTTGCACTTCTTGTGCAAACAAGGCTTCATCCTTGCCCACGGAGAGAGCTGTCGGTGGGGACCGCTAATGGCCTGTCACAGGCTAAATGTCACCCTTTTGTGAGTTCATAGTTGACAGACCAGGAAAGTGAGGCTGAAGAGGGCAAACCGGCTTATGACTCCCAGCTCTGTATTCTTGTATTCTTTCCTCCAAGGCAAAGAAAAGCCTGCGATGGCTTTTCACCAAAAACCAGAGAGCTGCTGCTTTTCCTGTCTCTGAGGCATAGATTGCATTTCCACCCCACTGAGTCACCTGGGTTTTTTCTAGGTGGAGATGGCAATTACCAACCATGGCAAACCCAGAGTTACTAGGCCCCTGGTGGAGGTGGTTCTGGGCTGCAAACAAGTCTCAATTTTAGAAAGCTTAAGTCCTTCTTATCCTAAGGAGTTTACAGGTTAGGCAAGTCAAGAAATATAAAACAGCGGGGTGCAGCAGCTCACGTCTGTAATCCCAGCGCTTTGGGAGGCTGAGGTGGAAGGATCACTTGAGGCCAGGAGTTTGATACCAGCCTGGCCAACATAGTGAAACCCTGTCTCTACTAAAAAATACAAAAAAAAATTAGCTGGGCGTGGTGGCGGCACCAGTAGTCTCAGTTACTCAGGAGGCTGAGGCATGAGAATCTCTTGAACCTGGGAGGCAGAGGTTGCAGTGAGCTGAGATCACGCCAGTCACTCAACAAACACTGAATTCAGAATGTGGTAATCTACATTCTTAGCCAGGTTCTGCCCAGATCTCCTGCATTCCCCACGTGCCTCTGTGCTGATTTGCTGAATGCCACAAGTGAGTCATTTACCTTGCTATGCCTCAGTTTCCAACTTAGTATGATCATACTGGTTAGAAACACTGTAAGAAAGACTAGATATCATCTGCAGAGTGTTACTGTCTTTGGGGGGTTGGGTGCCAGGCATGTCATGCTGGGTGCAAATGACAGTTAAGAAAAATAAAAACATTCCCTGCCTTTAGGAACGCCCAGGGTAGAACCTAGGGGTGGGGAGGGGGCAAGAGAATAATTAAAACAAAGGATGACAGAGCTAGACATGGGGACTCTTTGGGAGCATAGAGCACAGCATTGCACCCAGACTGGGGAACCTGAGCTGGGGGCTTCCTGGAGGAAGTGACAACTGAGCAGAGTTGAGAAAGATGGGTGAGGAGGGCGGGCCAGGCCTAGGAATGGGCCAAGGGCCTTTGTTGCAGCGGGAGCAGCTTGAGCAGAGGCAGAAGAGCTGAGAGGGGTGGGAGATGACTTTGAGGGGTGGAGCTGAGAGTTTATGGGGGCTGGAGGAGGCGGCTAAAGCAGTGGGTAGAGGCCAGATTCAGAAGGGCCTCAGGGACCAGGGGAGTGGGCACTGGCACCCGCATGGGCTGCTGCTGAATGAGGGTTGAGTCGGTTCCAACCTGGTAACGGGAGCATGGGGACAGGATAGAGGGAGCCGAGCTAAGGAGCAATCGCCGATGGTTTCAGACCTGCCTGCGGAAAACTGCAGGGATGCCGGATCCAGCGTGAGATCATCCACACTCTCAGTTGGATTCTGCCTAGAACTCCAGTGCCCACACGGCTCTGGTGTTTATTTGCTGGATACTACAATTGAGTCACTTGCCTTGCTTCATTCAGTCTCCCCCTTTGGGTGACCATCCTGGTTACCAACACTGTTGACAAGTGATATGGTTTGGATCTGTGTCCCCATCCAAATCTCATATTGAAATGTAATCCCCAATGCTGGAGGTGGGGCCTGGTGGGAGGTGACTAGATCATGGGGGCGGTTTCTAATGGCTTAGCACTATTCCCTAGTGCTGTCTCCTGATTGAGTTCTCAGGAGATCTAGTTGTTTAAAGTTGTGTAGCATCTCCCCCCACCCTTGCTCCTGCTCCAGGCATGTAAGACGGCCTGCTTCCCCTTTGCCTTCCACCATGACTGTAAGTTTCCTGAAGCCTCTCCAGAAGCAGAAGCCACTTTGCTTCCTTACAGCCTGCAGAATCGGTATCTCTTTATAGCAATGCGAGAATGGCCTCATACAACAAGGATGCTGTGGGAACTAGGCGATGCGTCTGCCGAGTGTTAGGGTGTTCAGGGGAGTGGGTGCAGACTTTTCCCCTGTCATTTATTGGTAGCTCTGGTGCTCATGAACTCCTCCCAGCCCCGCTGCTAAACTATGTGCAGTGTTTGTGGGTTGTCACACACATTAATTATCTGGTGAAGGTTATAAACGACCACTTGCTTTAGCTAGATAACTTTCAAGAAAAGGGCTTAATCACTGTCACAGTTAAATGCAATAGCATAAAGCTGGAGAAGATGAGAAGGAAAATTGCTCAAGCTAAAGAAAAAATGACATTTCAGAAGAAGCAGCAGAAGTAGAGATGAAGACCAATTGTAATTTAAAGTGACAACAAGCCAGATGACATAATTGCTGGCTTCTGGGTTGTTTCATGTTAGAAGGAGGCAGGTACACACCAAGCCAGACAAGAGAACCTAGGGCAGGGGAGAAAAGGTTTGACCCTAGGCAGTCTCTTAACCTTGCTGTGCCTCAGTTTTCTAATCTATAAAATGAAATAATAATAACATCTAATACGTAAGTGACAATGAGAGAATGTGAACTCACATGCCTGAGATCTAATAGGTGCTCAAAGACTGTAGTCATGATCATTGAGATTCATGGCAGAGGAAACAAAAAGTAGGCACAGAATTAATCGGTGCTTAGAATGAATTTCATTTTGCTGGTCTAAGGTGGAGCTTTGTTTTAAATGGCCCTGTCTTATTTGTTTCCAAATCATGACAGTGTCATCTTATCAAATGAGATGGCATGTGGACAGACAATGGTATGCTTATAAATTAACAACAGGCTCTTGGTGGGGGGGAATCCTGATTTATGGTGTTTGTCAGTTTCCATAGTGTAAATATTTCCACCATGACCAATTTCAGGCTATCAATGTGACATTACTGAATGCAGAGTTGGGAAGAAGGAGGCATAGTAGCTCATTATTACGCAGTTTTATTCCCACCATATAGATAACCATAGACAAGAGCATAGGTAAGAGTACTTGTAGTAAAATAATTAGGGAGTGCCGAATTGTAAATATTTTTTACCTTCTTTTTTTTTTTTTTTTTTTTGAGACAGAGTCTCTCTCCGTTGCCCAGGCCCAGGCTGGAGTGCAGTGGTGCAACCTCAGCTCACTGCAACCTCTGCCTCCTGCGTTCAAGAGATTCTCCTGCCTCAGCCTCCGAAGTAGTTGTGATTACAGGCACCCGCCACCATGCCCAGCTAATTTTTGTATTTTTGATAGAGATGGGGTTTCACCATGTTGGCCAGGCTGGTCTCAAACTCCTGACCTCAAGTGATCTGCCTGCCTCGGCCTCCCAAAGTGCTAGGATTACAGGCGTGAGCCACCATGCCTGGCCACCTTTGTTTTTAATAGAATTTATTGTTTAAAAATGTCGGTGTTTAACAGTCGGGTCTCATGAGTCACCATAGCTAGCTCCAACACTTACCGCTTCATGCAGAGTACCTGGTGTGGAGGGCGGTACACAGTAAGAGCTCAATGTATGTCCATCCCTTTTCTCCAGCTCTGACATCATCTCACCGGCTATGAGGTGGGAGAAAAAGAGAGAAGAGGGGAACGACAGTGGAAGAAAATGCAAGAGGAACCACGGTAAGATGGAGCATGAGCTCAGTCTGGAAGGTTCTGGACCCTTCAGAGATGGAGAATTTCTATAAAATGAACTAAAGTGTGGATCCATGGGGGATGCTTGTCTCTTGTGGCTGCCTTACACCAACCCTCTTCCACCAGTATGAGACTCCCAGGGAGCGGACAGGACTCTTCCTCCCACTATAGAAACCCAGCAAGGATTCTCCTGCTCTCTCCTGGCAGCCAGGGCGTGGAACTACACCAGCCGATTGAATGCACCTAGGTGGAAGTTTCATTCTTGAGCAGTGATAGGAAGACAAGATCACTGAAAGAAGAGATTCCTGGGCGGGCATGGTGACTCATGCCTGTAATCTCAGCACTTTGGGAGGCCGAGGCAGGCAGATCACTTGAGGTCAGGAATTCGAGACCAGTCTGACCAACATGATGAAACCCCGTCTCTACTAAAAATACAAAAATTAGCTGGGGGTGGTGGTGCATGGCCTGTAGTCCCTGCTACTCAGGAGGCTGAGGCAGGAGAATCGCTTGAACCTGGGAGGTGGAGGTTGCACATGCCTGTAGTCCCTGCTACTCGGGAGGCTGAGGCAGGAGAATCGCTTGAACCTGGGAAGTGGAGGTTGCAGTGAGCTGAGATCGCATCACTGCACTCCAGCCTGGGTGAAAGAGTGAGCCTCTGTCTCAAAAAAAAAAAAAAAAGACCAGATTCCAGGTGGTATATGTGGCAGGGCAGGGGTTCTTCTAGAAGGTCCCCAATCTCCTGCTCCTCAGTTTCCCTTTGACTCACTGAGTACCCCCTGGCATCCTTCTGTGGCAGATCCTCCTGGGTGCTTCCTTAATTTCATTCTCTCCAATTTTTTTTTCTAATTTGTGATTTGCTGGCTAAAAGACTTCATTTCCCATCCTCTCTTAAAGCTGGTGTGGCCGTGTGAGCGGCTTCCTGCTTAAGGAATGTATACAAGAGCATTAGGTAGAGCCTTCGGGAAAGTGCAATTTGGCTCCTCCTCCTTCTTCCTTCCTGCTGCATGGAACGTGGAAGCAATGGCCGGAGCTCTAGCAGCCATCCTAGATCTTGAGATGATCTTGAGAATGGAAGTCATGTTTGGTGGAGCAAAAGCACAGAGTCTGGGGCTCTGATACACTAATGGAGCCTCCAGATCAGTTCTCTTCTTTCTGCCTCTGGGTTTTGTGTGACAGAATTAACCCCTGTATTTTCCCTATTGTAGTTGGGACTCTTAACCACAGCTGAAGCTAATCCTACTGATACACCTTCCAGTAAACCTCTTCTTGGGTTGGTTTCTGTAGCTAGCAGCCTTACTGACTCACATTCCATTTGTTCTCTCCTCCACAATCTCAAGCCCCACATTCTGGCAGGCCAAGTCTGGCCTGCCTTGTTAATGACCCAGCCAAGCCTGCCCTCCTCCCCAAAGGACATGTCATCTCACACTCCTGTGTCTCTACACATGCTGTGCCTTCTGCCAGGGATGTCCTTCCCTGACCTTGTCTACTTTTAACACTCAATGCAAACATCACCTCTGCAGCAATATGGCTTGGATGGCTTTGTGTCATAATTCCCCACCAGCCTGTGAGCAACCTGGGGTTTAGCATGCTGTGCAGCGATTCCTGGGGCTCAACACATGTGGCTTGAATGAGGGAATGAACATTATAGTCATGCGAGGCGATCTCAAGTGTTATAACTAGATCCATCAATCTCTTGCCCAGGCCTGCTGCCTACCTGGCTGTTTTCACGCATGGAAGAGATTTCTGTGCGTCACTGTGGCTCATTTCCTGCCATGAGGCACTGCTGTCCCTCATCCATTCCAAACACTGGTTCGATTTTGAATGGATGATGTGAGGCTTGAAGGTGTTTGGGACATTAACAATGTCCCTAAAAGCAACAGAATAAAGTAATGGATTATTACTCAAAGCAAAATAAATAAGTATCCATCCCTACTGATATAAATGACTGAACAAATCAACAAATATGGGAGAAGACAAATCTCTTATGCAGAAGAATCCCAAATTATTTATGTGGATACCCCGCCCTCACGGTGGGGGAGCATCACTCTTCATTCGTGAAGTATGGCTGCACATAGTGGCTTCTTCCAAAAGTGTACAGTTTTCAAGGGAGGGTGAGGAGGGTCACTATAAGTTGGAGAAACCTGACAGACACTACTTAGTGAACTAGGTCAACACCAACAGTCACAATTCAGGTCGATAGTATGTGCCCTTGATAAGATATGAGAATAATGGCATTTACTTCGGTGGTCCTCCTCCTGATAACCTATAATTCCAGACTTTCAATGGAAAAAATCAGACAGATTCCAATGGTGGCTCATCCTACAATAACATCCAACCAGTAGTCCTTGACACTGTCAAAAAAAAAACAACAAGAAAATTCTGCTGGGTGCAGTAGCATGCACCTGTAGTCCTAGCTACTTGAGAGGCTGAAGTGAGTGGATCCCTTGAGCCCAGGATTTCAAGGCTAGCCTAGGCCAGTTGCAGTGGCTCACGCCTGTAATCCCAACACTTTGGGAGGCCAAAGCGGGCAGATCACCTGAGGTCAGGAGTTCCAGACCAGCCTGACTAACATGGTGAAACCCTATCTCTACTAAAATTAGAAAAATGAGTTGGGTGTGGTGGTGCACACCTGTAGCTACTCAGGAGGCTGAGGCATGAGAATCACTTGAACCCAAGAGGCGGAGGTTACAGTGAGCCAAGATCACACCACTGCACTCCAGCCTGGGTGACAGAGTGAGACTGTTTCAAAAAAAAAAAAAAAAAAAAAAAAGCTAGCTTAAGCAACATAGCAAGACCTCATCTCTCTCTCTCCTTTTTTTTTTTCTTTTTTTTTTGAGACAGAGTCTCATTCTTGCCCAGGTTGGAGTGCGGTAGTGAGATCTCGGCTCACTGCAACCTCCACCTCTCAGGTTCAAGCGATTCTCTTGCTTCAGCCTCCCGAGTAGCTAGAATTACAGGTGTGTGTCACCACGCCTAGCTAATTTTTGTATTTTTAGTAGAGATGGGGTTTCACTATGTTGCCCAGGCTGGTCTTGAACTCCTGACCTCAGGTGATCCACCTGCCTTGTCCTCCCAAAGTACTGGGATTACAGGTGTGAGCCACCGCACTGGGCCTCATCTCTTAAATAAATAAATAAATAAAACGAGGAAATTCTGAGAAGTGGTCAACGCCAAGAAGAGACTTAGGAGACATGATGATTGAATGTCATATGGTGTCCTGGATGGGATCCTGGGACCGAAAAAATACGTTCGGTAAAAATGAAGGAAATACGAATTAATTATCGACTTTTGTTAATAATAATGTATCAATATTTGTTAATTAATTGTAACAAATGTATTTTACTAATGTAAGATGTTAATAATAGGGGAAATTGGTGTGGAGTATATGGGATCTCTGTACCATCATCTTGATTTTTGTGTAAATCTAAAACTTTTCTGAAAAGGTCTATTAAAAAGAAAAAATAATGTTCTCAAGACACTTGGGAGAGAAACAACAATAATAACATCTATTATTAATTGGGGGGCCCATAACTTCATATATGTTGCCAATTATCCTTTTTTATTTTTATTTTTTTCATTTTAACTGTTGTACAATATTTACCTCAGTCAATGATCTGCAGCAACTGTATGGGTAGGTGTCTCTATCAGTCAGGGTCATTTGTTAGCAATACAGGTAAACTCTGGCCAATTCAAGATAACCAGAAAGCGGAGGACACAGCACAATCCTAGAACTGAGGGACAGCAGCCAGGCAGCCCGGCCAGCTCTGCAGGAGCCATGCTGGTTCTCATGCGGGAGCTTGGGAGCACTGTCTCATGGAAATGCCTCCGTTCTGGTTGCCTTTTCTCTCTGAGACTCCAGAGTGGCATTTCTGGGAGAAAGTCAATGGCCCAGGAAGCTGGGTACCAACCTTGCCAACATCTCAAGTTGGGCCCACCCTTAGCCACCCTACTGGGCCCATGAAATGTAGGTGAGGCGTGTTCCTCAGGGAAGAGCGGGGTTCTATTACCAGAATAATGAGGCGAGGAGGGGATCTCCAGTATCCCTTCTCTTTCTACTGGCAACAAGCCCCCTTCCACTTCATGTCCCTGTGTTTTGGGTTGACTCTACCTCCAGTTTCAGGCCAGGCATAGAACCCGAGCCCGGCCAATCAAAGCCAAGGAGACTTTGGCTTCAGTTGCTGGAAAAGGCGCAGGCTTTTCTATATGGGAGGGACAGGATGGAAACTGTGTGGAGGGGGGCATTTTGTCATCACAAGGGGAGAGCTATGTGAGACTTGAATGTAAGGCTAAGAGATGGAGTGAAAGTCCTCAACAGATATGCCTCGGTCAGCCTGACTCTGACTCTGAAGTTTCAAGAGTGAGTCAGTTCCCTTTTTTTTATTTTTTGTAAAAATGTATGATTCAACGATTTGTAGTATATTTAGAGTTATGCAACCATCACCATTATCTCATTTAGCATGATATTCACGTTGCACATGGCAGTTGAAGGATATTTTGAAACATTCAACCATTGTCTTTGGATTTGCATACTGTATATGCAAAAGTTGTGTATATTATATGCAGGTATACAGATTTTGTACATGCAAAAGTTGTGTACATTATATACAGGTAGAAGTAACATGTGAAGAATGACACCAATTCTTGACATTGCTGACTAGAAAAATATTAAATATGAGAATGCAAATAATTTTGTTAAAATTTAAGCAAGATTTAATTATAATTTTGACATAAAATTTAAAAATTTCAACTATATTTAAATTTGATATAAAATTAATATATTTTGATATAAAATTAATATATTCGATATTAATTAATTATAGTTTGTACTTTTCATTTAATAGAAGATTTGGAATAGAAATACAGCCATAGAAGCAAACAGTTGTTTTGTAAACATATATGAAAATATTAATTTTTTATTGTTCACGTTACTATTTTGGTGAAAGCATATTCAAATATGTACATTTTGAACAGAATCAAGTCTTTTTTATTTTTTATGTTTTTTTTGTGTGTGCGTGTGTGACAGAGTCTCGCTCTGTCACCCAGGCTGGAGTTCAGTGGCGCAACCTTGGCTCACTGCAAGCTCCGCCTCCCAGGTTCACGCCATTCTCCTGCCTCAGCCTCCCGAGTGGCTGGGACTACAGGCGCCCGCCACCACGCCCGGCTAATTTTTTGTATTTTTAGTACAGACTGGGTTTCACCGTGTTAGCCAGGATGGTCTCGATTGCCTGACCTTGTGATCCGCCCACCTCGGCCTCCCAAAGTGTTGGGATTACGGGCGTGAGCCGTCGCACCCAGCTATTTTTTACGTTTTTAACTTTTTTCTTGAGATACGGCCTCACTTTGTTGTCCAGGCTGGAGTGTGGTGGTGCAATCTTTGCTCACTGCAGCCTCAACCTCCTGGGCTCAAGCGATTCTCCCACCTCAGCCCCCCGAGGAGCTGAGACTACAGGCATGTGCCACTATGTCATGCTAATTTTTGTATTTTTTGTAGAGACAGGGTTTTGCCATGTTGCCCAGACTGGTCTGGAACTCCTGAGCTCAATCGATCCGCCCTCCTCGACCTCCCAAAGCGCTGAAGATTACAGGCGTGAGCCACTGCACCTGGCCCAAGTCTTTTGTTAATCTTTCATTTATTTATTTTTTATTATTTTTTGAGATGGAGTTTCCCTCTTGTTGCCCAGGCTGGAGTGCAATGGTGCGATCTCGGCTCACCACAACCTCCGCCTCCCGGATTCAAATGATTCTCCTGACTCAGCCTCCCAAGTAGCTGGGATTACAGGCATGTGCCAACATGCCCGCCTGGCTAATTTTGTATTTTTACTAGAGATGGGGTTTCTCCATATTGGTCAGACTGGTCTCGAACTCCCAACTTCAGGTGATCTGCCTGCCTTGGCCTCCCAAAGTGCTGGGATTCCAGGCATGAGCCACAGCCCCCGGCCTTGTTAATCTTTTGAATTAATGCTGCCCACAGTTTGTTGCATGGAACTACAGCTGCTCTGCACACTGTTATCAACTCACAGCGGGAGAAGTACAGAGATTAAGAGTTTTAGAAACTTTCAAAGCAATTTGACAGAGTTGTTTTGAATCTAATAACAAAAATTGGCTCATGCCTGAAATTCCAGTACTTTGGGAGGCCGAAGTGGGAGGATCACTTGAGCCCAGGAGTTTGAGACTAGCCTGGGCAACAGAGCAAGACTCCATCTCTACAAAAAACAGAAAAAAAATTGGCTGAGTGTGGTGGCACATGCTGGTGTCCCAGCTAATCAGGAGGCCAGGGCAAGAGGATTGCTTGAGCCCAGGAGGTCAAGGCTGCAGTGAGCCATGATCATACCATTGCATTGCAGCCTGGGAAACAGGGCGAGACCCTGTCTCAAAAAAAAAAAAAAATTTAGGCTTGTGTTTAGTATGTCTTTACTATTTATTTATTTATTTCTCTGAGACAGGGTCTCTCTCTGTCGCCCAGGCTGGAGTGCAGTGGCGTGATCCTGGCTCACTGCAACCTCTGCCTTCTGGGTTCAAGTGATTCTCCTGCCTCAGCCTCCTGAGTAGCTGGGACTACAGGTGCATGCCACCACGCCCAGCTAATTTTTGTATTTTTGGTAGAGATGGAATTTCGCCATATTGTCCAGGCTTGTCTCGAACTCCTGACCTCAGGTGATACACCCACCTTGGCCTCCCAAAGTGCTGGGATTACAGGCATGAGCCACTGCACCTGGCCAGTATTTACTTTTTTAATTCTTCATTTCTAATTTTTAATTACATTTTACAAGAGTATGAGTCCACACAACATGAAAAGAAAGAACTGCTCCACACTACAGACAGTTTGAGAAGCATTGCTTTAGATCATTGAGAATTAGTACAAGTTAGGTGGGGTCTGGTGGCTCACACCTGTAATCCCACCACCTGGAGAGGCCGAGGTGAGACGATGGCTTGCGCTCAAGAGTTCGAGACTAGCCTGGACAACATGGCAAAACCCCATCTCTACAAAAGATACAAACACACACCTGCAGCCCCAGCTACTCGGGAGGCTGAGGTGGGAGGATCACTTGAGCCCAGGAGGCAGAGGTTGCAGTGAGCTGAGATTGTGCCACTGCACTCCAGCCTGGATGACAGAGCGAGATCCCATCTCCAAAACAAACAAACAAACAACCCCGAAAATACAAAAATGGAGCTCAGAAAAAACAAACAAACAAAAAACAAAGCTGAGAAGAAGAAAGAAATGGGAACTCTTCTGAGTGGCAGTCTGTTTAAATTTTACAAACTGGAAACAATGGAAGCCTTCTGTTGAACATAATTCCAACACAATTTGCAAGATTTGCAAAGAGGACATTTCTTTAATGAGGAGTTAATACTAACCAAAACAATAAAAAAGATCAAGAAAGGGAATTTTAGGCTGGGCATGGTGGCTCACACCTGTAATCCTAGCACTTTGGGAGGCAGAGGCGGGCAGATCACCTTAAGTCAGGAGTTAGAGACCAGCCTGGACAACATGATGAGACCCCATCTCTACTAAAATAGTACAAAAATTAGCTGGGCATGGTCGTGCATGCCTGTAATCCCAGCTACTTGGGAGGCTGAGGAGGCATGAGAATCACTTGAACCCGGGAGGCAGAGGTTGCAATAGGCCAAAATTGCGCCCCTGCACTCCAGCCTGGGCAACAGAGCGAGACTCTGTCTCAAAAAAAAAAAAGAAAAAGAAAGGGAATTTTATCAGTTCCATGACTGGAATCGGTTTGATGGCATCCCTGCAACTTCATGGTCTTTATAAAGTGAAGAATTTATGGCAGGGAGAAGCCCTGTGGGCCTCACCTAGACTCTCTTCCTAGTAGCCCTCAGGGCAGGCACGAAGACACAAGCCTGTTCCAGCAGGTGCTGTGGTGCTGTGAGCACCGTTTCAGAGCCAGACAAGCTGGGTTTGAATCCTGACTCTGCCCCTTACTTGCTGGGTAGACTGGAGCTGGATAGCCATCACCTTGTGGACTCAATTTACCCATCTGTAAAACATGCTTAGTAATACTTATCTAAGGCAGTTGTGAAAAGTAAAGGAGATAATGAATGATTTGGGGCAGAATTCCCCAGAAAATGTGAACACTTTTTCCCTCTAAAGGCTGTTGTAGGGACAGTAGCAGGTACAGAGTACTCGTTAGCTCTGGATGAACTGTGACTGGAGCCTTTGCTACCAGATCCAGAACAAAGGTGTATCTCAGGTCAGGAGGGTGGGGGATTGTCCCTGGCCTAGACCTGCTGAGCCTTGTGGAGGGGAGGATTTTCCTTCACACACAGTATTTTGAAGGAGGGGATGTGGGGGTGGGAGTGGGCTTCAGGCCCAGGCCAGGGAGCAGTATCCCTGGGACAGATCCCCACGGTGAGGTCCTGCTCTAGGCAGCTCAGCCTCCAGACAGGGCTTGCTCACTTCCACTCGGGGGAACTTGTGGGCACTGAGTATGGGTGAGACCTAGAAGAGGCCCTGTTACTGCCTCTTGTGCCACAGAGCCCTGGAACACCCTGGTGGGGTAAAGTGGGGGAGATCTATGTGAGCAGGAGGGGCTGGGATGCTCCCCAACCTAGGAAGAGTTGTTCCCACTTCCTCACAGGAGATGGGCACCCACTGCGGGAGCCCTCTTCCCCCTATCTCTGCATTCCTACATTACGTGTCTATGGAAAGTGAAATTTCAACTTGTAGTAAAACCTGCATAGAGGCCAGGCGTGGTGGCTCACGCCTCTAATCCCAGCACTTTGGGAGGCTGAGGCGGGAGGATTATTTGAGGTCAGGAGTTCAAGACCAGCCTGGCCAACATAGTGAAACCCTATCTCTACTAAAACTACAAAAATTAGCCGGGCGTGGTGGCGGGCACATGTAATCCCAGCTACTTGAGAGGCTGAGGCATGAGAATCGCTTGAACCCAGGAGGCGGAGATTGCAGTGAGCTGAGATTGTGCCACTGCATACCAGCCTGGGCAATAGAATGAGACTCAGTCTCAAAAAAAAAAAAAACAAAAAACAAAAAACAAAAAACAAAAAACCTCCATAGCCTAATTATCTTGTGAGCCCAGAATGTTCCTGAATCGTGACCACGGATTTGTTTTGCTCACTCCTGGGCAAGCTGTAAGTGGTGACTCTGTGGCCTCGGCAGAGGGCAAGGGCCCATTTGACTTTATACGGGACAGAATTTGGAGGTGAGAATCTGTCTTCAGCCCCCTCCTCTACCCCTGCTTTCCTTCTGGATGTCTTCCCTAGGGGCATCCCCTGCCCCTGACTTCTGCTCTTCCACTTTACAGAGGAGGAAACTGAGACTCTGGGAGGTTGAGCAGCCTGCTTGGAGCCATGGGGTTGTCACGTGGGGAGCTGGGATTGGAGGCCAGGTCTGTCAGACCCTTTCTCCATTCCGCCACTCTCCATATTCTTGAGGCCCAGCATGCCCTGGCGATGTAAGAGGCCCATAGCTCCCAGAAGCACATCTTACTGGATCAAAAATTACCCCAGGCACCTGTCCCCTGGGTCTCACTTTCTCTCATCCCAGCTTCTCCAGACAGATCTGCAGGGTGGTCAGCTGTGATGTGGGCAGGAACCTGGGCTTCAGTGTCTCTTCAGTGATATCAGCTTCCACGCCCCCATGACTGTGCATCCACCCCTGGCCTTAATGTGTGTTTCTGCTTCTCCAGCGTGAGTGAGCCCCTCCTGGGAGGGAGCCCTTAGCCGACCAGGGAGGTGGGGGGCTTTTCAAGGGGGAACTGCTCCCAGGCTCACTGCAGCTGCTCTGCCAACACACAGGAAGCTCTTCCTGAAAGCTTCCCACGCAAGGTCAGCGCTCACCCCATCTGGTGCAGTGCAGGAAGGGGAGAAGCCAAATTGTGTTCTCTGTTTGGTTTTTTTTTTTTTTTTTGTATGGGATATGAGTGCATCAGAGACTGCGCTGGGGAGAGGAAGGAGCACAGGCTTTGCAGTTGGACAGATGCAGCCTTGAATTCCAGCCCTGCTATCTGACTCATTGCTGCTGCTACTTCTTCTTTTTTTTTTTTTTTTTTCTGAGCAGTAGTTTTCTTTTCCTTTTTTTTTTTTTTTTTTTTTTTGAGATGGAGTCTTGCTTCTTCACCCAGGCTGGAGTGCAATGGCCCAACCTCAGCTCACTGTAACCTCCGCCTCCTGGGTTCGAGCAATTCTCCTGCCTCAGCCTCCCAAGTAGCTGGGATTACAGGCACGTGCCAGCACACCCGGCTAATTTTTGTATTTTTAGTAGAGACAGGGTTTCACTGTGGTTGGCCAGGCTGGTATCGATCTCCTGACCTCAAGTGATCCGCCCGCCTCGGCCTCCCAAAGTGCTGGGATTATAGGCGTGAGACACTGCGCCCAGCTGTCTGAGCAGTAGTTTTCAAATTTATAAAATGGAGGTGCCGATAATAGCGTCTACATCACAGGGTTGCTATGAGGTCTGGAGACAGCGTATTCAGGTTCTGACCCACAGAGACTGAGAGAAGTCAGCCTTCCTTGACTCTGTGCTCTGGTGGTCCTTTGCATACCCCTCCATCATCATGCAAATTATTAGTAATCGATAAAGCAATGCTATAGTCGATCAATAACACTTATATATGCTAAGCACCCTGCTGTTTTATGAGAATGGTTTGTTTCCTCTACAACCTAATTTTTTTTTTTGAGATGGAGTCTTGCTCTGTCACCCAGGCTGGAGTGCAGTGGCGCCATCTCCACCCACTGCAAGCTCTGCCTCCCGGGTTCACGCCGTTCTCCTGCCTCAGCCTCCCGAATAGCCGGGACTACAGGCGCCCGCCACCACGCTGGCTAATTTTTTTGTATTTTTAGTAGAGACGGGGTTTCACCTTGTTAGCCAGGATGGTCTCAATCTCCTGACCTCATGATCCACCCGCCTTGGCCTCCCACAGTGCTGGGATTACAGGTGTGAGCCACCGTGCCCGGCCTCTCTACAGCCTAATTCTAATGTACATCCTTTAGAGCCTCCATTTCACAGATGAGAAATTGAGGCTCAGAGACATTATACAACCTTCACAGGTTTATTGGTGAATGGTTAAACTTAAGCCTGGGTCTGTGCCAATGTTCATCTTACTCCTAAACCTGAGTTCTCAGGCACCACAAAGTGTGCCCAAGAGGTAAGACAAGCCACTGTTTCCTAGGTTTGTCCCTTTTCCCGTTTGTATCTCTGTTTGCCCTTCTCCTTTGCATCACTTCTTCCCGCCGTTTTCTGATTTCTTCTTTTACTAAGCATAATAATAACCAAAGCTGCCCTTCAAGAACGTCAATTTCAAATGTATCGTGGCAGAGTCCAGGAAACAATATTGTGTAACACACTACCCTAAAACCTAAAGGCTTAAAACCACATGTATTTTATTGGCTCACAATTCTGTGGTTTGGCAATTTGGGTTGGATTCAGCTGGGCAGTTCTTCCATCAGTCTCTCCAGGTCTTATGTATGCTTCACAGGGGCTGGGTGGTCTAGTACAGCTCACTCACATGTCTGGAGGTGGCACCTTGTTGGCCAGGGTGCCTCAGTTCTCTTCCACACGGCCTCCTCGTGAGGCTAGCTTGGGCTTAAGGGGGGAAAATGAAAGCAGCATGGCCTCTTGAGGCCTAGGCTTGGAATTTGTACAATGTCACTTGTGACACATCCCATTGGTCAAAGCAAGTTACAAGATCCCATCCACATTCAAGGGGTGAATAAATTCCACCTCTTCTTGGGAAAAGTGTCAAAGAATTGATGGCCATTTTTAGTCTACTATGCTAAGTGCAGCCCCTTCCCCCAAAGTTATCCTTAATGCAGTCCCTTTGTGCCTCCACTCTCCTCTTTTAATTCCCATGCTTTTCTTATCCTTTTAATAATAAGCTCTCACTTCACATCACCCAAAGCTTCGTTCATTCACTTGACAAATACTTACTGTGTGCCAGGACCTATTAGTGAACAAAACAAAGCCCGTGCTCTAATGAATCTAAGATTCTAGTGGAGAGAGCGGACAATCAAGAAATAAACAAGAACACAGTGTTGGGCTATGGTGAACAATAGGTGCTTTGGAGAACAACAGAGCAGACTAAGTGCGGACTGTGTGTGAGGATAGCAGGGCAGTGGGTGGTTCCTATTATATGAAGTGGTCGGCTGTATCAATGAGGTGATATATAAGCAGGGTATTGAACGAAGTGAGGAGCAAGAAGTTCCAGGCAGAGCAAATAGCACGCGCAAAGGCCTGAGGCTGGCATGGAGAGGCAATTCCTTACAATTTCATATGTAGTAAAAAGTAACAAAACCCAGAAAAACACCAACCTTAATACATCTCATTAAAGAACAATACAACCCAAACATTTAAATATGGTAAAATCTTGATAAGCAAAAGCTTTTTATTTTACTTCATTTTTACTTTTATAAAAGCTCCTAATGCAATGACGTGTGTCACCTCTCTGGGCTTCAGGGTGTTCACCTTTCAAAAGGCCTCGGTGCCTGTCTGTCCTGCTTCCTGGCTTGTGGTTAGCATCAAAATGACACCATAAAAATGAAAGTTGCAGCCTTGAGGGTTCTTCTGGTTTCATTTCCGACCACAAGGTTGCCAGAGTGACTTTTTTTTTTTTTTAAATAACACAAATCAGTTATCACTTCCTGCTTAAAGCCCTCCAAAGGTTCCCTGTTGCCTAAAGAATAAACTCCAGGCACCTAAGCAAGCCCCACGCAGCCGTCTGCATTTTTCAATCCCTCCAACCTCGCCTTTTGCTATTTCCCCCACCCCACCTACGGCACGTTCCGGTCATAACCAACTAGCTCCTCGCTGAAACTGGCTCACACCGCGGAAGCCCGGGTCGGTGTCGGGGCGAGCCTTCCCTCCTTTTCCTGGAGCCCGTCTCAGGTCTGTAGCCCTCGGGAGGGATTGCAGGGCTCGTTCCCTGCTGGCGTTCATTTAGGTAACCTGTCTACCTCCAGTGGACTTCTAAGTCCCTTTCATGATTTTTCATCTTCCAAAATCAAATAATGGCCCAGCCCAACTTAGCTATAATGCCATGAAAAGAATCTCTGAGCCTCAGTTTCCTTGTCTGCAAAAAGGGCCCAGGAACCGCTCGTTAGGGTCGGTGTGGTGCCTGGAGAGTGCACTGCAAGGCCCGGGGCCCGCAGCGGGTGCCCGACAGCGGGCGTCCAACTCTGGGGGCGGGGCCGCAGGGCCGCTCAGGAGGGAGGTTCTCCAGAGGGGACCCCTTCGGGATTTGGGGGCAGGGAAGGAGATGGGGAGGACTTTCCCGAAGTCCGTCTAATCCCGCTGGCGGAGAGCGAGGCAGGTGGGACCCCAGGATGTCCGCTCGGCGGGGCGACCCCGGCCACCCCCGAGACCAGGGCTTTCCTCGTCCGGCCGCCACGCCCGCGCGCAGCCTCGGGCCACCCCGAAACCCCGGCGCGGTCACTACAGGACAAATTACGCGAGCAGAGCCTAGCGGCGCGCTGGGCATGCGCGGGGGCGGCGCGCATGCCCAGTCCCCCCGAGAGGCGGGAACTCCGGACTGAGACCGGGTCGGGCGTGCGCTGCCGAGAGAGGACGCGCGCCTCAGCCGGCTGCCGCGCACGCGCGCGGGCCCGCGCCGACGCAGCACGGCCTCGAGGGCGCGAGCCCGCGCCGCCGCCGCCGCCGCCGGTCCCGGACCACTGTGAGCCCGCGGCGTGAGGCGTGGGAGGAAGCGCGGCTGCTGTCGCCCAGCGCCGCCCCGTCGTCGTCTGCCTTCGCTTCACGGCGCCGAGCCGCGGTCCGAGTGAGTGCGGGGCGCCGGGCGCGGGGCGCGGGTCGGGGGCTGGGCGGGCTCCTTCTGTGCAGCGGTCGTGGGCTGGGCCGCGGCCCTGAGGGCGGAGGGGCAGAGCGGGGCCGCCCAACCAGTCCCGGGGCGGATGCGGCGGAGACCGGCCCCTCCCGCGCCCCCGGCCCGGGTTCTGGGAGGAGGGGAGGCCGGTGGCCGTGAGGAGGTTGGGGGCCCTCGCGGAGGCCGAGAGGCTTAAGGAGGTCAGGGGGCGCGCTGGGAGGCGGGGGTTCGGGGCGCTGGGTGGTCGGGAGGCTTGGGGAAGACTGGGAGGCTGAGGGACGTGGGGAGGCCGGGAGCTCGAGGAGGTCGGGGGTTTTGGGGGCGCGCGGGGAGGCCAAGGGGTTCGGGGAAGACAGAAAGGCTGGGGGACGTGGGGAGTCCGGGAGACGTGAGGAGGAAGGGGGGGGCGGCTTTCGAAAAGGCCGGGCGCGCGGAGAGGCCGAGGGGCCTGAGGAAGACGAGGAGGCCGGGGCTCTGGGGGCGCGCAGGGCGGACAGAGGCGCGGGGAGGACGGGCCGGCCTCCGCCGGAGCGGACCCAATGCCTGAAAAACAAAAGGGGAGAGGCAGGAGGAGGAAGAGGGAAATCGCAGGGACGTCGGCAGGGTTCGCCCGGACGCGAGAGGGAGGCTCGCGACGGCCCGACCTCCGTCCCCCGGGCGCGGCCTCGCGGGCAGCCAAGGGTGGGCTCCGAGCGGCCTGCCGGTGCCCGAGCCCCAAGCCCGCCGTGTCCCCGAACGCAAACCCTCAAGTTTGGTAGAGCCCCGTGGGCTTCTTGGCGGGAGCCCTGGAGCCCTCACTGAAGTCCTCACTGGAGTCATTGTGCTTCCCAAGTTTTCTCCTCTTCCCCGCCCCCAGCCCCCGACTCTGCCGCGGTGGCTTAGGCGCAACTGTTTGCCGAATTTCTCTCTGGGTTCCTTGTGTAGCGGCATCCTGTTCTTTCTTAGAAGAAGGGGTGTGTGTGTGTGTGTGTGTGTGTGTGTGTGTGTGTGTGAATTGGTTTCATTTAATTGCAGAATTTTGTAGCTAAATTCAGTGAGGGTAAAGTTTCTTTTTTTTTTTTTTTCCGAGTCATTTCAACAGTGTCTCATTCTTGCATAGTTAGCCTGCAGCTGGGTTTTTGGCAATGAGACTAAGATAATAGTAATATTGTAGTAATTATGGGAACTGGTTATACATTCAAGCTGAAAGCTGAAGGCAGTGCAAGAGTTTGGGGATTTGTATTTAAGACTTAACCATCGCTAGGATTTTTACTTAGAATGTAAACGTTTTCATGGCTGGAAAAACAGACCAGTACTATTTGAAATGAAATACCAGAGCCTCAACCTTAATATTTTATTTGGGAAACGGGTAATGAAAATGATGTCTTCGAGAGTTGAGCACTCCGTCCCATATTTGAAAACTTATGAGCAGTGCGATGCAAGCACACGGATGAACTAGTTACAAGACACATAAAAGTAAACTAGCATTCAACGTATTTTTGTTGGGGTACAGTATAGATAATATTTTCATCCAGTTATACTAGCCAATTAATTAGAAAAGCCCTATGATATTCAAACAAGGAACATTTTAAGGATGTTTGTGTCCCAATATCTTTGTGTTTTGTATTTGTGGTTATCCTTGGTGGGGAAAAACAGGCTGAACCTACCATCATTTTGAACCTTCTTGTTTATTAAACTGCAGAAACAACAAGATCAATATTACAAGGTTTTCCTTTAAAGAATTTCAGGTCACTATCAAATAATCTAGTTTAATAATGAACACAGGCACAGATTATTTAAAACACATGCTTCCTTTATAAGGGAGCCGACAATCACCTAAGACTTCAGTGTAGACGCTGATTAGAAGGACCCATACATCATTCAGTGGTGATGCATCAAGAAGCAAGTCATTGGTTAAATAAAGACATGGAAATCAAAACTCCATGTTTACGGTTTGGGGCAAAGAATACTGGGGCAAACTCTGAGAGGAGATGGGACTTAAAAAGCCTTATTATTTGAGGCTGGAAGCCCATTGAAAGTGAATAATGTTAGATTAGGAGTGAAGTTCCATGAATCCAGCAGTGAAATTGTGAGGAGGCAGTGAGGATCATTAAAACGTTTTATACTAAAATGTTTTCTGAAAAGCACCATGCTTCTTGATGGAAATTACATAACTTACTCCCTCAGTCCTCAAAATCATGTTCTCCAGCTAGTCAGATAACTGTTCTTTCTAGGGAGTTGGAGAAATTGTCTAAGAAAATAGTTTTTTTTTTTTTTTTTTTGAGACGGAGTCTCACCCTGTGGCCCAGGCTGGAGTGCAGTGGTGCGATCTCGGCTCACTGCAAGCTCCACTGCCCGGGTTCATGCCATTCTCCTGCTTCAGCCTCCCAAGTAGCTGGGACTACAGGCGCCCGCCACCACGCCCGGCTAATTTTTTGTATTTTTTAGTAGAGACGGGGTTTCGCCGTGTTAGCCAGGGTGGTCTCGATCTCCTGACCTCATGATCCGCCCACCTTGGCCTCCCAAAGTGCTGGGATTACAGGCGTGAGCCACTGCGCCTGGCCTGAAGATCCTGTTGTTTTAAAGGTAGCCTCTTTAAAAAAAAAAGATTAGGTCCTGTAGATGAAATTATTTATATTGTATTCTATAATGTAAAAAATAATTTTGAAAACTGTCCTTTCCTGAATGTTGATTTGAGTTAGAGAGGTAGGATCTTAGTTCATATCTCTAAAGGTTATGGAAACCTTTTTCCCCTTGTATTTTATGATGTCTTAATTTTTAGAAAATAATTAAAATTATCTTGAGTTACAAAAGATGCATTTCAAAGTGTTTATAAAGTTTCAGTTTTGAAATTTAACATTTTCAGTTTAGGCATTCTAAACTGATGTAGATTTAGACCTAGATCAATTCTTGTTTTAAATTTCAGTAACATTAAAAGTTATACTGTTTGTATCATATTTGAAGTGAATTTTTCTTTTTTGCTGGTGAAAAACATCTGAGAAGTTTAGTTCCTGTAGTATAGGCATATCTTGGTCTGTTTCTAGACCACTGCGATAAAATGAGTCACACAAATTGGTTTCCCAGTGCATATAAAAGTTAGGTTTACACTATAGTAAGTGTGCAGTAACATGTCTAAAAAAGCAATGTACATTTCTTTTTTTTGAGACAAGGTCTTGTTCTGTCACCCAGGCTGGAGTGCAGTGGTGCAATCATAGCTCACTGCAACCTGGTCCTCCTGGGCTCAAGTGATCCTCCCACCTCAGCCTCCTGAGTAGCTGGCACTATACGTGCATACCACTACTCCCAGCTAATTTTTACATTTTTCGTAGAGATGGGGTCTCCCTATGTTGCACAAGTTGGTCGTGAACTCCTGGGCTCAAGTGATCCTCCCACCTTGGCCTCCCAAAGTGCTGGGATTACAGGCATGAGTCACTGTGCCCAGCTAATGTACATGACGTAGTCAAATACTGTTGATCATCTGAGCCTTCAGCAAGTCATAATCTTTTTGCTGGTGGATGGTCTTCCCTCAGTGGTGATGGCTGCTGACAAATCAGGGTGGTGGTTGCTGAAGGCTGAGATGTCAGGCAGTTTCTTAAAATAAGACAACAATTAGGTTTGCCACATCAGTTGGCTCGTTCTTTCATTAAAGATTTCTCCAGAGTATGTGATGCTATTTGAAAGCATTTTATCCACAGTAGAACTTCTTTCAAAATTGGACTCAATACTCCTAAACACTGCCATTGCTTTATCAATCAGTGTATGCAATATTCTAGATCCTTTGTTGTCATTTCAACAATGTTCACAGCATCTTCACCAGGGGTAGATTCCATTTCAGGAAACCACTTTCTTTGCTCATCCCTAAGAAGGAACTCCTTATCCGTTCAAGTTTTATCATGAGATTGCAGCAATTCAGTCACATCATCAGGTTCCACTTCTAATTCTAGTTCTCTTGCTATTTCTACCATATCTGCATTTACTTTCTCTACTGAAGTCGTGAATCCCTCAGAGTTATCCATGACGGTTGGAAGCAAGTTCTTCCAAACTCCTGTTCATAATGCTATTTTCACCTCCTCCAATGTGTCATGAATGTTAATGGCATCTAGAATGGTGAATCCTTTCCAGCATGTTTTCTATGTACTTAGCCCAGATCTATCAGAGGAATCACTATCTATGGCAGCTATACCCTTATGAAATATATTTAAGACTTAAAAGTCAAAATGTCTTCTTAATCTATGGGCTGTAGAATGGATGTGGTGTTAACAAGCATGAAAACCTCATTGATCTCTTTGTACATCTCTCTCAGAGCTCTTGGACAACAGGTACTTGGCCAATGAACAGTAATATTTTGATAGGAATCTTTTTCTGAGCAGTAGATCTCAACAGTGGGCTTAAAATATTCAGTAAAACATGCTGTAAACAGATATGCTATCATCCAGGCTTTGTTATTCCATTTGTAGAGCACAGGCAGAGTAGAATTAGCATCGTTCTTAAGGACCCTGGGATTTTCAGAATGGGAAACGAGCATTGGCTTCAACTTGAGATCACCAGCTGCCTTAGCCCCTAACGAGAGTCAGCCCATCCTTTGAAGCTTTAAAGCCAGGCATTGGCTTCATCTCTCTGGCTATGAAAGTCCTAGATGGCATCTTCCAATAGAAGGTGGTTTCTTCATTTAAAATGTGTTTAGTGTAGCCACCTTCATCAGTGATCTTAGCTAGATCTTCTCGATAACTTGCTGCAGCTTCTCCACCAGCACTTGCTGCTTCATCTTGCACTTTTATGCTGTGGAGATGGCTTTTTTCCTTCCACCTCACGAACCAACCTCTGCTAGCTTCCAGCTTTTCTGTAGCTTCCTCACATCAATTTACAGAATTGAAGAGGAGGAGCTTTCTCTGAATTAGGCCTTGTTAGGCCTTGGGTCAAGGGAATGTTATGGCTGGCTTGATCTATCTGGACCACTAAAACTTTCTCCATATCAACAATAAGGCTGTTTTCTTTTCCTTTGTTTTGTTTTGTTTTGTTTTGTTTTAAGAGACACAGTCTCACTCTGTCACCCAGTGGCGCGATCTTGGCTGACTGCACCCTCCGCCTCACGGGTTGAAGTGGTTCTCGGGTGTCGGCCTACTGAGTAGCTGGGATTACAGGTGTGAGCCACTGCACCCGGCTAAGGCTGTTTTACTTTCTTATCATTTGCGTGTTCACTGAAGTAGCACTTTTAATTTCCTTCAATAACTTTTCCTTTGCATTCACAACTTGGCTGTTTGGCACAGGAGGCCTCGCTTTTGGCCTATCTTTTTTATTTTATTTTATTTTATTTATTTATTTTGAGACAGAGTCTCGCTTTGTGCCCCAGGCTGGAGTGCAGTGATGCAATGTTGGCTCACTGAAACCTTCTGCCTCCTGAGTAGCTGGGACTACAGGCATGCACCACCATGGCCAGCTACTTTTGTTTGTTTGTTTTTTTAGTAGAGACGGGGTTTTGCCGTGTTCCGCAGGCTGTTCTCAAACTCCTGAGCTCAGGCAATCCGCCCACCTTTTCCCAAAGTGCTAGGATTACAGGCATCACCACTGTGCCCGGCCCTATCTTGGTTTTTGACGTTTTTTCTCACTAAGCGTAATCATTTCTAGCTTTCGATTTAAAGTGAGATAGGCGGGACTCTTCCTTTCACTTGAACACTTTGAGGCCATTATAGAGTTTCTTTTCTTTTTTTTTTTTTTTTTTGAGACGGAGTCTTGCTCTGTCGCCAGGCTGGAGTGCAGTGGTGCGATCTCGGCTCACTGCAACCTCTGCCTCCCAGGTTCAAGCGATTCGCCTGCGTCAGCCTCTGGAGTAGCTGGGACTACAGGCACGTGCCACCATGCCTGGCTAATTTTTTGTATTTTTAGTTGAGACAGGGTTTCATCATCATGTTGGCCAGGATGGTCTTGATCTCCTTATCTTGTGATCCACCCACCTCGGCCTCCCAAAGTGCTGGGATTATAGGAGTGAGCCACGTGCCCGTCCTTTTTTTTTTTTTTTTGAGACAGAGTTTCACTCTTGTTGCCCAGGATGGAGTGCAATGGCGAGATCTCAGCTCACCACAGCCTTTGCCTCCCAGTTCAGGCGATTCTCCTGACTCAACCTCCTGAGTAGCTGGGATTACAGGCATGTACCACCACACCAGGCTAATTTTGTATTTTTAGTAGAGATGGGGTTTCTCCATGTTGGTCAGGTTGGTCTTGAACTCCTGACCTCAGATGATCCTCCCACTTCGGCCCATTATAGAATTAGTAATTGTTCTAATTGCAGTATTTTTGTATCTCAGGGAATAGCAGGCCACAGGAGAGGGAGGAGAGCAGAAGAGACAGGGGCCCAGTAAGTGGAATAGTGGGAATGCACATGTTTATAGAGTAAATGTGTATCTCATGTGGGTACAGGTCATGGTCCCCCCAAAACAACTACAGTAGTAACATCGAAGACCACTGATCATAGGCCAGGTGCAGTGGTTCACATCTGTAATCCATTGTTTTGGGAGGATTGCTTGAGGCCAGGAGTTCAAGATCAGCCTGGGCAACATAGTGAGACCCTGCCTCTAAAAATAAAAAGAGATCCCTGTTCACAGATCACCACAACAGATGTAATAATAATGAGAAAGTTTGAAATATTGTGAGAATTACCAAAATGTAGCACAGAGACTCAAAGTGAGCACATGCTGTTGAATAAATGGCACTGATGACTTGCTCGATGCAGGGTTGCTGCAAATCTTAAGTTTTTAAAAACTTTTTAGTAAATGCTGTTAATTGTAGCTTGATTTGCATAAATACTCTAATGAAATGGTTTGTAGACAAAAGCAGGAAATAGTTGTTTTTGCCTTAGTGGCACTGTCCTCCCCCTTAGCAGTTGGAAGCCTCAGAGAGACACTAGTAGCATCACTACAAAGTTTACATGTTTTTAAGAACATGAAAGTATTTCCTTACAATGTTTAATTAAATTTTATTTAATTGAAATCCTACCCGAATCTTACTGATATACATTTTCTTTACTATAAATTCACTTTTTTCAGAAACAGATAAATGACAAAAATCATACCTTTGGGTGGGGTGCGGTAACTCACACCTGTAATTCCACCACTTTGGGAAGCCGAGGTGGACAGATCGCTTGAGCCCAGGAGTTTGTGACCAGCCTGGGCAACATGGCAAAACTTGGTCTCTACAAGAGATGCAAAAATTAGATGAATGTGGTGGCGTGTGCCTGTAGTCCCAGCTACCTGGGAAGCTGAGGTGGGAGGATCACTTGAGTCTGGGAGGTCGAGGCTGCAGTGAGCTGAGATTGCACCATTGCACTCCAGCCTGGGCGACATAGTGAGACTCTGTCTCAAAAAAGAAAAAAAAGTCATGTTTGTGGGTTATCTGTGCCTAGGGTCTCTTTTTTGCCCTCATATTCTTATTAAAATTCCTGCATTTTGGGTTTGGATTCTGCTGTGAACTGTAGGTGCTTGTTGTGTCTGTGTCTCTCTTGACCAAAACACTATATGTTTGTCTTTGTTGGTCCAATGAAAGAGCTTAACAGTTTTATGTGTTACATATTTTGTAGTAAAATGTGTGTTGTCTTGTGAGAATGTAAGCTCCACGAGGGCATAAACTTTGTTTTATACATTATTGAATCACCAGTGTCTTACACAGTAATATTTATTGAATGAGTAAATGAAAGAACCCAGGTGTATTGATTATTGGAGAACTGTTACTTGCATCAGCCAGGTGTTTACTGTTTTGTTTGCCCTGGTAAAGAACGTCACTTAAAAATCACATAGGGGCCAGGCACGGTGGCGCATGCCTGTAATTCCAGCACTTTGGGAGGCAGAGGCCAGCGGATCATCTGAGCTCAGACTCACATAGGGCTTGATACCAGGGAAGAACTTGGAGTTATCTTTTTCACCTTTGTCTACTGTATTTAAAATTACTACTATCAGACTTGGGCCAGGAAAAAAATATTGCTCTGCTCTTTCATAATTTTGGAACTTTTTTTCTAGAAATCAATCTTGTAGGAATTGATTGGGACTCATCCTAAGTTCTGAAGACATGGAAAATTGTTTGAGGTGACACAAAATGATGGAAGTTTTTATTACTGATCCAGAAGCTCTAATGTACCTTTTGCTAATCAACTGGATTAATTGGATGCTTTACAAAGGTTTAACATTATGCCCCTAAACCATTTAAAAGAACAAACGTCTTCTTAATGTTGAAGTGTGAGTTATGCACTGTGCCGCTCATCCTTGACCTTGTTCAGAGTCTTTTGCTGCTGTGCTGCTGTTCAGATAAAACATTTTGAAAGTGACAGTTCAAAATACATTCACTCAGGTAATGGAAGTCAACATTTGGGTACAGAATCTCTCCCTGAGATTTTGCAGTTTGCCTCTCAGTGAATTCCACCATAGTCTTGCTATAGTGTGAGGGGGTAACTCATTCACACTGTTCACGCACACGTTCCAGTAAGCTCCAGGGGCTTTCAGTGGTTTTCAGAGTAGTGACGGAATTGTAGCATCACTATCATCTAGAAACTTGCTAGAAATGCAAGTGCTGAGGCCCTACCTCTGGCCTCTTGAATCAAACACTGAGGGTGGTGTTCAGCAAGCTTTTTTATTTTGTTTTGTTTTTGAGACGGAGTCTTGCTCTGTGGCACAGGCTGGAGTGCAGTGGCACTTTCTCAGCTCACTGCAACCTCTACCTCTAGGGTTCAAGCAATTCTCCTGCTTCTGCCTCCCAAGTAACTGGGACTACAGGGGTATGCCACCACGCCCAGCTAATTTTTGTATTTTTTTTTTTTTTTTTTTCCGAGATGAAGTCTCACTCTGTTGCCCAGGCTGGAGGGCAGTGGCGCAGTCTTGGCTCACTGCAACCTCTGCCTCTCGGGTTCAAGCAATTCTCCTGCCTCAGCCTCTTGAGTAGCTATGATTACAGGCGCACACCACCACACCCGGCCAATTTTTGTATTTTTGGTAGAGACGGGGTTTCACCATGTTGGCCAGGCTGGTCTCAAACTCCTGACCTCAGGTGATCTGCCCACCTCTGCCTCCCAAAGTGCTGAGATTATGGGCATGAGCCACTGTGCCTGGCCTGTTGTTTCATTTTTTTTTGTTTTGTTTTTCTTTGAGACCGGGTCTTGCTGGAGTGCGCGATCACAGCTCACTGCGGCTTCGACCTCCCAGCCTCAGGTGATCCTCCTGAGTAGCTGGGACTACAGGCGCATGCCACTACGCCTAGCTGATTTTTGCATACTTTGTAGAGACGGGTATTTACCATGTTGCCAGGGCTGGTCTTGAATTCCTGGGCTCAAGCAGTTCTCCCACCTTGGCCTTCTGAAGTGTTGGGGTTACAGGCATGAGCCACCATGCCTGGCCTCGCAAGGTTTTTAAACTTGCCATCTTGGTGCTTTGATGCATGCTAATGTTTGTGAACCACTGCTTTAGGGTGTTTTGAAAGAAATGCAAGTCATAGGAGGCAAAAATTAGTCTTAATTTGAGGTATGTGTATGTTGTCTTCTTGACCACTTAGATTTGCTAAGGAGATTGCCCTCACTTCAGGAATCTAAATATGTTTTTTAGGATTTTCAAAATCTTGGAAAGATCTCAAAACTGCTTTTGTTAGGGATTTTGAATGTTTTATGCTAATACTGATTAATTATTTTTAATCTTGGTTTGGAATTTGAATGAACAATTTTACATTGAAATAGCAGTTTGTATGGCTCCTGGACTTGTGGCTTTTGGCAAATATCAGGAGAGTGTGTGTACATGTTGGTGCTTAAGGCACAAGCTCCCTGGTGGTTTTGTTTTGGTGCTGAAAAATTGGCTAGCATATAATAACAGGGTCAGGGTGATTGCCAAGTCTTGGGGTAACTAATGAAGCTGTATTGTGTGAATTGATTTTTATTCCTGGTGTTGAATTATTGCCTAAATTCAATACATTCTTTTGCCTTTTGCTCTTTTCTCCTAAGAAAAGGGTAAATAAAAATTAGACAGTCCACAAGGATGAAGTTGGTGATGTCGCTTAAATCTGTTATATCTTATGCAGAATTAGACGCATAACTTGGCAGACAGAATGTTGTGAGCTCAGAGATGAGGATTCTGTATTATCTGTTAGGTATCTTTGAGTCCCCCACAGCTTGATCATAATATCATTATAGGTGGTCAGTAAATAATGTAAGGAGTGAAAAAGAGTCTCCCGTCCATTCTCTGGGTTTTCAGCATGTTGATAATTGAGGAATATAGATATGTGAAAGCCCCGTAAAGAGTTTCAGGAAAGATCAAATATCTGAAGGGAGGCAATTAGAAAGACTAAAATGACTTTATTGTATAGTCTTTGTTGTAAAGGGTATTTAAGTATATGAAAGTTAACAAGATAGAGAAGAAGAGTAGGGATAAACAAAATTAAAATAATGTAATCTAAAAACAATGAGAAGGATGTTTCCACATGAATTTCCTACTGTGATCTTTCACTCAACTGTGCAGCTCAATGAAAGCAAAAATAATAGAAATGAGATGGTGGGAAAATCGACCTGGAACAATTTCTTCTTGAGACAATTTGTTGGCCTGGCATGTTGACTCACGCCTGTAACCCCAGCACTTTGGGAGGCCAGGGTGGGAGGATCACTTGAGCCCAGGAGTTTGAGACTAGCCTGGTCAACATGGTGAGATCTTGTCTCTCCCAAAGAATATAATAATAATAATTAGCCAGGTGTGGTGGTACATGCCTATAGTCCCAGCTATTCAGGAGGATGAGGTGGGAGGACTGCTTGTGCCTGGGAGGTCAAGTCTACAGTGAGCCATGATCACACCACTACACTCCAACCTGGGTGACAGAGGGAGACCCTGTCTCAAAATAAAAAAAAAAAAAAATTGGTCAAGGAGAGTTAAAGTTATAACTTATAGTCAGTTATATTCTGCGATGACCATTAAATGTACTTTTAAGAGTGCTTGGCCTGTAGTAGCTTTTCAGGAAATGTTAGTAAATAAGTGATTCTTCTGTTACTTGTCACTAAAAGGTTAGGCTCCAATCATTGACCATTTTCTCTGGTTACTTCAGCACTGTTTCCTCTTCTCTGCTCTTATAACCTGTCTCCCCTCTGCACCCCTTTTGATGGTTTATATAGTGTACCGCCTTGTGGTTTTAAATACTCTTTTTCTGATTATAATGAGGTTGCTCTTTTTTTTTTTTTTTGAGACAAAGAGTTTTGCTCTTGTTGCCCAGACTGGAGTGCACTGGTGCAACCTCGGCTCACCGCAACCTCCGCCTCCTGGGTTCAAGCGATTCTCCTGCCTCAACCTCCTGAGTAGCTGGGATTACAGGCATGCACCATCACACCCGGCTAATTTTGTATTTTTAGTAGAGATGAGGTTTCTGTATGTTGGTCAGGTTGGTCCCGAATTCCTCTCCTTAGGTGATCCGCCCGCCTCGGCCTCCCAAAGTGCTGGGATTACAGGTGTGAGCCACCGTGCCCAGCCGAGGTTGCACTTTTTAAAATAAATTTGCTGGCCGTTTGCATTTACTGTTTTGCCAAGTGCCTGTATTTTTCTATTAGGTCTTCTTTTTTTTTTTTTAAATTCATTAATTTGTAGCTTCTGTATATATTCAGAATCCAAGTCCTTTGTTGGTTTATATATCTTGCCAGTGTCTCCTGCTTTGTGGCATGCGGTTTCACTGAGTCTCAGTAGTTTTTTTGTTTGTTTGTTTTTTTGAGATAGGGTCTTGCTTTGTTTCCCAGGCTGGAGTGCAGTGGTGCAGTCATAGCTCGCTGCAGCCTCCTACTCTTGGGCTCAAGCAATCCTCCTCCCTCAGCCTCCTGAGTAGCTGGGAATACAGGTGTATCACCCTGCTGGCTAATTTTAAATTTTTTTTTTTTTTTTTTTTTTTTTTTTAGAGACAGGGTCTTCCTATGTTGCCCAGGCTAGTCTCAAACTCCTGAGCTCAACCAGTCCTCCCGCCTTTGCTTCCCAAAGTGTTGGAATTACAAGTGTGAGCCGCTGTGCCCAGCCTCAAAAGTGTTTTTTGGATAAACAGAAGTTAAGTTTAATGTAGTCCAGTTTATCAGTCTTTTCCTTTATAGTTCCTCCTTTTTTTTGTCTTCCCCACCCTGAGGCTGTGAAGTAATTCCTCTGTTATTTTCTAAATGTTTAATAATTTTGCATTTTATCTTTAACTGTATAATTCACTTGGAATAGATTTTGGTGTATAGTATAAGGAAGGGATTAAATCAACTTCATTTTAATATGTGGACATCTAGTTATCCCAACACCATTTATTGAAAAGAGTATCTTTTTCCCTACTTCTCTGCAGCGCCACCTTTGTTGTAAATCACTTGTCCGTATACGTGTGTGTCTTTTTTTTTTTTTTTTTTTTTTTGGGATGGAGTCTTGCTCTGCAACCCAGGCTGGAGTGCAGTGGCACGATCTTGGCTCACTGCAGGCTCCGCCTCCCGGGTTCACGCCATTCTCCTGCCTCAGCCTCCCGAATAGCTGGGGCTACGGGCGCCCACCACCATGCCCTGCTATTTTTTTGTATTTTCAGTAGAGATGGAGTTTTACTGTGTTAGCCAGGATGGTCTCCATCTCCTGACCTTGTGATCCGCCTGCCTTGGCCTCCCAAAGTGCTGGGATTACAGGCATGAGCCACCATGCCCAGCCATGTGGGTGTCTTGTAGACTCTGTGTTTTTAGATTCTTTGATTCCACAAGCACTAAGCTGTCTAAGTTATTATAGCTTTATAATAAGTCTTATCTCATTGTGGAACCCTTCCTACTTGTCTCTTCTTCAAGAGTACCTTGGCTGTTCTTGACCTTTTGCAGATCAATATATGTTTTAGAATTACTTGTCAACTTCTAAAATAATTCTTCCAGATGTTGTTTGGGATTACATTGAAGGTCTACATCTATTCGTGGAGAACTGGATTATTATAGATCTCTGAATATTTTTGTACAAGGCTTTGTATGGGTGTAGACTTTCATATCTCTTGGGAATGGTTGGACTAGGACTGGAATGGCTGAATCATATGGTAGGTGTATGTTTAACTTTTTTTTTTTTTTTTTTTGAGACAGGGTCTCACTCTGTTGTCCAGGCTGGAGTGCAGTGGTGTGATCACTGCTCACTGCAGCCTCAACCTCCCAGGCTCAAGTGATCCTCTGACCTCAGTCGCTGGAGTAGCTGGAACTACAGGCACTCACCATCACACATGGCTAATTAAAAAAACATTTTTGTAGAGACGAGGTCTAGTCATGTTTCGCAGGCTGGTGTCAAACTCCTGTGCTCAAGCAATCCTCCAGTCTTGGCATTCCAAAGTGCTGGGGTCATAGGAGTGAGCCACGTCACCTGGCCTGTTGAAATTCTTAAAGTGCCAAACTATCTTCTAGATTTGTACCATTTTGCATTCCCACCAGCAGTGGATGAGAGTTCTGGTTGCTCTGCATCATTAGGGCAACACTCGTTATTGTCAGTCTTGTACATTTTAGCCATTTTAATTCAGTGTGTAATGGAATTTCATTGTGGTTTTAATTTGCGTTTCCCAAATGACTGATAGTGTTGAGCATCTTCTTATATGGTTATTTGCCATCCGCATATCTCTGTGTTTAAATCTTTTATGCATTTTAAAGTTGTTAGCTGGGCACCGTGGCTGATGCCTATAATCCCAGCACTTTGGGAGGCCGAGGCAGGTGGATCACTTAAGGTCAAGAGTTGGAGACCAGCCTGGCCAACATGACGAAAACCCATCTCTACTAAAAATACAAAAATTAGCTGGGCATGGTGGCGGACGCTTGTAATTCCAGCTACTCAGGAGGCTGAGACGGGAGAATTGCTTGAACCTGGGCGGCAGAGGTTGCAGTCAGCCGAGATTGTGTCACTGCACTCCAGCCTGGGAGACAGAATGAGACTCTGTCTTAGAAAATTTTAAAAAAAGGTGTTTTTTTCCTCCATTTTTTTGGGTTTTGAGAGTTCTCTATATGTTCTGGATATAAATTGTTTATCAGATACATACTATATTTTTCTCCCAGGTTATGGCTGGCTTTTTCATTTTCTTAACAGTGGCTTGAAGAGCATAAATTATACGTTTTGATGATGTCCCATTTATGAGTTTGTTGCTTTACGGGTTGTGTTTTTGTGTATGTGTCATATTTAAGAGTTGCCAAATCCTAGGCCACAAAGGTTTTTCTGATTTTTTTCTCCTAGAAGTTTTAGATTTTACTTTTAGGTTTATGATTTAATTTTCATTTATGGTATAAGATTTGGATCCAAATGATTTGTAGGATTCTTTTGAGGCCTGGAATGAGGGTCGCTTCCTCCAGAGAACACTTACTTTTGCGTCAGCCAGTGTGGGATCTCCTTAAACCGAATTCAAGGCTTGAGATTGTTTGGACCCCTCATAGCTCTAGTTCTGCTGGATAGTTGGTTCATTACTGGTTTACTCTCTGGAGGTGTGTAGCCTTTTGGGTTCTTGCTTACTGTAGTGGGGTTTTGGGTTATATGTTTTGGAGGACCCAGTCTTTTATTCCTGTCTCCCCCTCTCTGCACTGTCTTAAAAATGAAAGTTGAGACTTTTCAGAATTGGCAAGTGCACTGAGGGCAGAGGTAGTTTCTGTGCTTATCTCTTTGACTTCCTGGTTTCACTTCAATTTTTGCCTGTTATTTATTTCTTGTCTTGTCAGGTTGTGGTTGCTTTTAAGATTATAAAAATATTCTGTCCATATTTTCTTTTAGTCTTTTTCAGAAGGAGGGTTGGACCAAATAACATTGCTTGAAATTAAGAAGCCAAAACGCGTTCTTTTTTATTTCACTCCAGAGTCTAGACCTGAACCTGATGTTTGATATGGTAACTGCTAGCCACATGTGGCCAATTAAATTGAAATTAATTACAGTTAAGCGAAGTTGAAAGGCCCATTCCTCAGTTACACTAGTCCCATTTCAAGTGCTCATTAGCCACATGTGGCTAGTGGCTACTACATTGGGCAGCGCTGGTATAGAACATTTTCATCATTGCAGAAAGTTCTAGTGGATAGATATGGCTTGACTATCAAAACCTCATCAGGGACTTGCACTGGTACGTGGATCTGCATTTGAAAACCACTAATATGGGTATCCTTGCTGTTTAAAGTTTGAATTTTTTGGAATCTATATAGCTAGACAGATGATTGAGTTCCTTTAATAGACTTACTGTGAAATCTATCCCTAAGGTACAGTGTAGATTCTTAGACTGATTTAGGTGGTGAAATGTGAATCTGTGGCACACTGAGTAGATAACTATTAAGTATTGATATTTTAACTTACAAATATGTCAGTTTTAACTGAGAAATTTTGTGAAAGCATTTATTATATGTTGATCTGTGTCTTAGACCCAGTGTCTCCCATTGCACTTGCCCTGCCATCCCTGCCCTTAGGCAGTCATAGTGCTGTGCAAAGTTGCAGGGCACTGTGGGGTTCTGGCGGGGGTGTCACAGCACCCACTCTTGAGGGAACAATGGGAATTAGCCAGGTGGGGAGAGGAATTAGCCAAGTGGAGAGGGGAAGGATGGGGGAAAAGGTTCTAGGGAGAAGAAAAACATGGGCAAAAGCCTGGATGTTGATGAGAACCGTGTGGAGATTGGTTTGAAGCATCTTAAATTTGATTTCTAGTATCAAGAGAGGTAGCTGAAACCATAGATTTTTAAAAATGTCATGAGGCCAGGCACAGTGACTCAATGCCTGTAATTCGAGCACTTTGGGAGGCCTGGGCGGGAGGATCACTTGAGTCTAGGAGTTTGAGACCAGCCTGGGGATCATAGTGAGACCTTGTCCCTACAAAAATTTAACAAAATTAGTTGGGCATGGTGGTGCATACCTGTAGTCCCAGGTACTCAGGAGGCTGAGGTGGGAGTATTGCTTGAGCCCGGAAGGTTGAGGCTGCAGTGAGTTATGATCATGCCACTGCACTCTAGCCTGAGTGACAGACTGAAACCCGCATCTCACAAAAATAAAAAAATAAAAAAAGAAGATGAAAAGCTATGTCAGGATATTCTGTCCATTTGCACAGTATTTCCTATTAACTGGTAATATAATGTTATTACAGTTGTGTTGGGATCTCTCATTCTAGCTCACAGAGTACCAATCTTTTGATTATGTGTCCACAGTTGTTAGGGTCAGAGGACATGCCTGAAGTAGTCCCAGCTGTCCCTTTCTGCCAATTTAACCGTGCACTAGATTCATGCTTGGTAGTTCCTGGGCACATTTCAAGGAACTCGGGGGATGTTGAGTGGAGTCATTCCCTTATTGTCTATTACTCTAGGAGGAGGAAGGGTTCAGATAAGTCAGTAAGTTGAGCTGTGGTTTAGGCTCTGTACAAGAGGGGCGGTAAAGATGAAGGAGTGGGACTGAGGATGGGTGTGGAGGAAAGGTTAGGGCCACTTTTCATCGCCACCTGGGGTAGCTTGCCAGCACATGTTTACCTTTGGTTTGGGATCACAGCAAGCAGAAGAGATGAAAGCTCCCTTTAACCGTTCTAGGATATGTATTTGAATTGGAGAAACTACCTCAAAATAGAGTGTGTGCAGGCACTATATGAAGGCTTCTCAGCGTTTAAGTGCATACATGCCACCCAGGGATCTCGTTATATTTTAAGTTCCAATTCAGTCTGTCTGGGAAGGGCTCAGACTTGCATTTTTCCTAAGTTCCCAGGTGATGCCAGGGCTGGTGGTCTGTGGACCATACTTGGAGTAGCTAGGCATTGGTTTTCAAAGTGTGGGTTGCAAGGTGGCACTGAGTCTTAGTTTGAAAGTTGAATAACCACTGTTGATTGCGGTAGTTAAGGGCATGGAGTTGGGGTCAGAATCCTGGCTCTATGATCTTGGGCTTGTTTGTTAAGTTTTCTAATCTCTATTTCCTTGTGTGGCATGTGATTGTACTACATGATTATGTAATGCTTAGTCTTTTTTTTTTGTTTTTTTTTGAGACAGAGTCTTGCTGTGTCACCCAGGCTGCCAGGCTGGAGTGGAGTGGCATGATCTCGGCTGACTGCAACCTCTGCCTCCCAGGTTCAAGCAATTGCCCTGCCTCAGCCTCCCGAATAGCTGGGATTACAGGCACATGCCACCACACCCGGCTGATATTTGTATTTTTAGTAGAGACGGGGTTTTACCGTCTTGGCCAGGCTGGTCTTGAACTCCTGACTTCAGGTGATCCACCCACCTTGGCCTCCCAAAGTGTTGGGATTACAGGCCTGAGCCACCGTGCCCGGCAGTGCTTGGTCTTATTAAACGCTTTATGAAAGGTAACAGTTATTAAAAGTAAATGTTTACATTAAAAGTTTGCCAGTTTTCAAAGTGCTGAGTCTTCCCTGCATCTTTGCTCAGTTTGTAAAATTGCACCTCCCTCCCTCCCTCCCTTCTTCTCTCCCTCCCTCCTTCCCTCCTTCCTCCTTTCCTTCCTTCCTTCTTCCTTCCTTCCTTCCTTCACTTCCCTCTCTCTAGGACAGTGATGAACCAGCCTTCTTGTACTGGAGGAATACACCATCCGTCTTCATAAAGACTGGCAGGCACATGGACAAGTTTACCAGTTATAATGCTTTTCTTACACATTAAAGAAGTAGGTGTTTGTATTGGGGCTTCAACAAGGACTTGGAAAACTTTAAGATAATACAACTACATAGTATTCCTTTAGGTGAATATCGTTTCAGTTTCTCAGATCATTGATGAAAGCCTTAACAAAGATTTTTTTTTTTTTTTTTTTTTTGAGATGGAGTCTTACTCTGTTGCCCAGGCTGAAGTGCATGATCTTGGCTCACTGCAACCTTCACCTCCTGGGTTCAAGCAATTCTCCTGCCTCAGCCTTCCGAGTAGCTGGGATTACAGGCACCTGTCACCATGTGTGGCTAATTTTTGCATTTTTAGTAGAGACAGGGTTTTGCTCTGTTGGCCAGGCTGGTCTCAAACTCCTGACCTCAGAAGATCCGCCTGCCTTGGCCTCCCAAAGTGCTGGGATTGCAGGTGTGAGCCACCACACCCGGCCTAGATTTTAAAATAAGCATCTGTTTGTTTCTTTTTTTAGTTGCCACTAGTAAGGATGATGGAAAACTATATTTTGTACTAAGGATTTTGAAAGATAGAATTCTTTCAAGTGAGAATTCTGTGACTTTTCTGTTAAATGCGTATTTAATAACTAAAAATACAAAGCTTCAATGTGAAAACCTTGTAGAAGTTTTCAAACATATACAGAAACAATGTTGTAATGAATTCCCTGTTTATTCATTACCACTTTCAGCCATGGTTATTATTTAATAAGTATTGTTAACTCTTTAAAGGTACTGGTTCATACTTAAAAGTTGTGAAGTAACTTGCTTCTGAAAACGTACGCTAACATTGGACAACTCCTGCTAAAATGTGACATAATTCATGATGCATTTCTTTAAAAAAGATAGGGAAGGAATTGAATATAGCTCTGCTGCTTTTCTAAGGTTCTTCTGTGAGTGGGTGATGCAGCTGACTGTCCTGTGTCTTTCTTTCTTTCTTTTTTTTTGGAGATTGAGTCTTGCTCAGTTGCCCAGGCTGGAGTACAGTGGTGCTATCTCGGCTCACTGCAACCTCCGCCTCCCGGGTTCAAGCGATTCTCCTGCCTCAGTCTCCTGAGTAGCTGGGATTACAGGCACCCGCCACCATGTCTGGCTAATTTCTGTATTTTTAGTAGAGATGGGGTTTCACCATGTTGGTCAGGCTGGTCTCGAACTCCTGACCTTGTGATCTGCCCGCCTCAGCCTCCCAAAGTGTTGGGATTACAGGCGGGAGCCTCCGCACCCAGCCCCCGTATCTATCTTAATGATGCAGTGTGTATCTATCTTAATGATCCAATGTGTATCTTAATGATCCAGTGAGCTAAGCAAGGCGGTGGGGACTCTCCACAGACTTGGAGCCTTTAGTTGGAAGGTTCTTTTCTTAAAACTGTACTTGAATCAAAATAAACTGTAGCTTGCTATGCTTTGCTGTATTGGTTTAATGTTCCTGATAGCAGTACATGTCTGTTTTTAACTGAGTCATTTTTTTTTTTTTTTTTTTATTGAGTTGGTGAAGCGTGGAGCTTTAATAGAGCAATATTTATGAAAGAAATATGCTAATCTTTTTCAAAAAATGATTAAACTGAAGAAATACAAAAGAATATGTGTAAAATATAAGGTAGAGATAATCTCTACCTTCTTCAAGAATGCTCTGAGCTCTGAGAACCTGGAGGAAGGACACCCAAGTCAGCCTTGGTTAAGTCCCTAGTTATGCCCTAGGTCAGGGGCTAGCAGACTTTCTTCGTGAAGGGCTAGACAGTAAACATTCTAGGCTTTGCAGGCCACCTGTGACCTCTCACAAGTACTCAGCTCTGCTGTACAGTGCTACAGCATCCATGGGCTGTATGTAAAGGAATGAGCTGGCTGTGTCTAGTAAAACTTTAGACACTGAAATCTGAATTTTCTATAATTTTCACATGCCGTGAAACATTGTTTTAGTTTCTTTAACCATATACGATGTAAAACCATTTTTAGCTCACAGGTTGTACAAAAACAAGTGGGGCCACATTGGCCTGTGGGTCATAGTTTGCTGTTCTCGTGTAGAGGGTGATAACAAAGCAAACTCCTAGGTACCTCCTGCCCAGCTTCAACAGTGGGATTTTCCCATGCCCTTGAAAGGCCAGTGTGTGTTCCCTGATCACATACCCTTCCCTCCTGCCCCACAGGTTCTGTCCCATCCCACTCCCACCCCTCACACCGGTGCCACTCTGTAAGTGAAGCCTTAAGTCACCTCTCCTGAAGACATCCTTCCTTGGCCCCGCTCAGTGTTTCATTTCTTTTCAAGCCCTTTTCACCATCTGTTACTGTTTGTATTTTACTTACTTTTTAGTTTCTTTCTCTCTTGGTGGTGACATAAAGTCTGAGGGCAAAATGTTTCTCTGTTCCCTGTTGAATCCCTGACATTTAAAACAGTGGTCATTGAATGATATTGTTTTTTTCCATTTCTTTTTCTTTTCTTTTTTTTTTTTTCCAGAGCAGGAGTGGAAGTTTATTAAAAAGCTTTAGAGGCTGGGTGCGGTGGCTCATGCCTGTAATCCCAGCACTTTGGGAGGCCGAGGTGGGCGGATCACGAGGTGAAGAGTTCGAGACCAGCCTGGCTAACATAATGAAACCCCAGCTGTACTAAAGATACAAAAAAAAAAAAAAAATTAGCTGGCCATGGTGGCGGGCACCTGTAATCCTGGCTACTCAGGAGGCTGAGGCAGGAGAATCGTTTGAACCTGGGAGGTGGAGGTTGCAGTGAGCCAAGATTGCGCCACTGCACACCAACCCAGGCGACAGTGTGAGACTCTGTCTCAAAAAAAAAAAAAAAAGCTTTAGAGCCGGAAAGAGGAAAAGTAGACTTGGAAGAGTCCCAGGCAGGCGACTTGAAGGACAAGTACCTGTTTTTGCCATTTCTTCGTGTTTTGTCTGTTTTGAACTTTATTTTATTTTTTATATTTTTGAGATGAAGTCTCGCTCTGTCGCCCAGGCTGAAGTGCAGTGGCGTGACCTCAGCTCACTGCAACCTCCGCCTCCCGGGTTCACACCATTCTCTTGCCTCAGCCTCCTGAGTAGCTGGGACTACAGGCGCCCACCACCATGCCCGGCTAATTTTTTCTATTTTTAGTAGAGACGGGGTTTCACCATGTTAGCCAGGATGGTCTCGATCTCCTGACCTCGTGATCCAATCCGCCTGCTTCGGCCTCCCAAAGTGCTGGGATTACAGGCGTGAGCCACCGTGCCCGGCCGAACTTTATACTAAGGGTATCATGCTATATGTCTTTATATGACTTGATTTTCTTTTTTCCTCCCATCCTGCACTCTGATTTTAAAACTTAGGTGCTGTATGATAGTTTTCATTCATTTTCACTGTTGTGTAATCTAGCCTACAATTGATGGGCAGTTGGTTTGCTTGCAGTCTCTTGCTGTACTGCAAACACTGCCACACAAATGTGAACACTCTTATTGCTCATAGACATGGATGTGCATAGCCTATGTATCTAGGAGTGTGATTGCTGAGTTATAGGGCTGGCCAGTCTTCAACCTGACTAGTTACTGCCAAATTGCTTCCCAAAGTAGTTATACCAATTTATATCACCACTAATATAATGACTCCTTGTATTAGTTTGTTTTCACGCTACTGATAAAGACATATCCGAGACTGGGTAATTTAGAAAGGAAAGAGATTTAATTGACTTACATTCCACATGGCTGGGGAGGCCCCACAATCATGGTAGGAGGCAAGGAGGAGCAAAGTCACATTGTACATGGATGGCAGCAGTCAAGAGAGCTTGTATAAGGGAACTCCCCCTTATAAAACCATCAGATCTCATGAAACTTAGTATCACGAGAACATCACGGGAAAGAGCCCGCCTTATGATTCAGTTACCTCCCACCGGTCCCTGCCACAACACATAGGAATTGTGGGAGCTACAATTCAAGATGAGATTTGGGTGGGGACACAGCCAAACTGTATCACTCCTGTTGTTCCACATCCTTGTCTGTAGTTTATTTTGTCTGACTTTTTCAGTTTTGTCATTTTGGAGGTTGTGTCATATCTTATTGTGGCTTTAATTTGAACTTCCCTTATTAGTAATGATGTTGAGCCACTTTTAATATATTTGCTATCTGTTTTGTCTTCTGTGAAGGACCTATTAAGTTTCTGGCCTTTTTTTTTTTTTAATTGACTTGTAGCTGTTCTTTCTATGTGTGGATTGCAATCCTTTATCATTATGTGTTGTGAATATTTTCTTCCAGTTTGTGGTTTGTTTTTTTTACCTGTGAGGTGTCTTGGAGCTAAAGTTCTTTTTTTTTTTCTTTTTTTTAATACTTTAAGGTTTAGGGTACATGTGCACAACGTGCAGGTTTGTTACATATGTATACATGTGCCATGTTGGTGTGCTGCACCCATTAACTTGTCATTTAACATTAAGTATATCTCCTAATGCTATCCCTCCCCCCTCCCCCCACCCCACAACAGGCCCCGGTGTGTGATGTTCCCCTTCCTGTGTCCATGTGTTCTCATTGTTCAATTCCCACATATGAGTGAGAACATGGGGTGTTTGGTTTTTTTGTCCTTGCGATAGTTTGCTGAGAATGATGGTTTCCAGCTTCATCCATGTCCCTACAAAGGACATGAACTCATCCTTTTTTATGGCTGCATAGTATTCCATGGTGTATGTGTGCCACATTATCTTAATCCAGTCTATCACTGATGGACATTTGGGTTGGTTCCAAGTCTCTGCTGTTGTGAATAGTGCCGCAATAAACATGTGTGCATGTGTCTTTATAGCAGCATGATTTATAGTCCTTTGGGTATATACCCAGTAATGGGATGGCTGGGTCAAATGGTATTTCTGGTTCTAGATCCCTGAGGAATCACCACACTGACTTCCACAATGGTTGAACTAGTTTACAGTCCCACCAACAGTGTAAAAGTGTTCCTATTTCTCCACATCCTCTCCAGCACCTGTTGTTTCCTGACTTTTTAATGATTGCCATTCTAACTGGTGTGAGATGGTATCTCATTGTGGTTTTGATTTGCATTTCTCTGATGGCCAGTGATGATGAGCATTTTTTCATGTGTCTCTTGGCTGCATAAATGTCTTCTTTTGAGAAGTGTCTGTTCATATCCTTTGCCCACTTGTTGATGGGGTCATTTGATTTTTTTCTTGTAAATTTGTTTGAGTTCATTGTAGATTCTGGATATTAGCCCTTTGTCAGATGAGTAGATTGCAAAAATTTTCTCCCATTCTGTAGGTTGCCTGTTCACTCTGATGATAGTTTCTTTTGCTGTGCAGAAGCTCTTTAATTTAATTAGATCCCATTTGTCTGTTTTGGCTTTTGTTGCCATTGCTTTTGGTGTTTTAGACATGAAGTCCTTGCCCATGCCTATGTCCTGAATGGTATTGCCTAGGTTTTCTTCTAGGGTTTTTATGGTTTTAGGTCTAACATTTAAGTCTTTAATCCATGTTGAGTTAATTTTTGTATAAGGTGTAAGGAAGGGATCCAGATTCAGCTTTCTACATATGGCTAGCCAGTTTTCCCAGCACCATTTATTAAATAGGGAATCCTTTCCCCATTTCTTGTTTTTGTCAGATTTGTCAAAGATCAGATAGTTGTAGATATGCATGCGGCATTATTTCTGAGGGCTCTGTTCTGTTCCATTGATCTATATCTCTGATTTGGTACCAGTACCATGCTGTTTTGGTTACTGTAGGGAACTAAAGTTCTTAATTTTAATGTCATAAGCTTTATTTCTTTTTTCCTTTATGATGAGTACTTTTTATTGTTTTGATTTTTTTAAGGAATCTCTCTTTATCCAAGGGCTAAGTTTTGATGTGAAGTATTTTTATTTAGTTCATAAAGCATTTATTATTATTATTTTGAGGCAAAGTCTCATTCTGTCACTTAGGCTGGAGTCCAGTTGGACGATCACAGCTCACTGCAGTATTTTTTTTTTTTTGGACAGTCTTGCTCTGTCGCCCAGGCTGGAGGGGAGTGGTGCTGTCTCGTCTCACTGCAACCTCCGCCTCCTGGGTGCAAGCAGTTCTCCTGCCTCAGCCTCCTGAGTAGCTGGGACTACAGGTGTGCACCACCATGCCCAGCTATTTTTTGTATTTTTAGTAGAGATGGGGTTTCACCGTGTTGGCCAGGATGGTCTCGATCTCCTGACCTCGTGATCTGCCCACTTTGGCCTCCCAAAGTGCTGGGATTACAGACGTGAGCTACCGCGCCCATGCTGCACACTGCAGTCTTGACCTCCCAGGTTCAAGCGATCCTCCTGCTTCAGCCTTCTGAGTTTCTGGGACTAGCAGGTGTACACATTACCACACCTGGCTAATTTTTAAATTTTCTTTAGAGATAGGGTCCCACTATGTTGCCAAACTTGGTCTCTAGCTCCTGGGCTTAAGCAGTCTTCCCGCCTTGGCCTCCCAAAGTGCTGGATTTACAGGCAGGAGCCACCACACCTGGCCCATAAAGCATTTATTGTTCTATTTAATAAAGAAGTTTAATATTTAGACATATTTTGTAAATTCTACTGATTCCTTTGATGATTCATGATTTATTTTAAAGTGTTTGATAAATTACAAACAAATGAGCTTTTTTTCATTGTATCTTGTGACATTTCTAGAATTGGATTGTAGTCAGAAAATGTGTTCTGTATGTTACCAATTCTTTGAAATTAATGTTGTCTTAAATAGACCTATATTGTAGTAGAATTTGGCTAAAATCTTGGTCTCAACTCAGAAACTTTTAGGTACCTAGCCACTTAAACTCCAGCTATGCCTAAGTTATACCTTAGTTATGAAAAAAAGATTAGACTAACATTATTAGGCTTTTTAAAAAGTTAATAGAGTTTCTATTTTCTGCCTCTGGAAACACTTGTGTTGTTTTCTGGCTGAAGTTGAGGTGTTAATGTACATTATCAGCTTTTGGATTCTGTTCTACCCAAACTGAAGCTTAAAGACAAGTGACTGCCTCAACTGCCAGTTTGTTTTAGCTTAGCTGACAGGCAAGGAGTTCATGCTGTGACTGCAGCTGCTTTCCTTTCAGTGGCATTTGTTAATTAAGCTGTTTAATTTTGTGTTGCTTTCCCAAGGACTGATTCTTAAGGAAAAGAGAAAATTTTTAGCTTGTGGTTATTCTGGGACCTTTTAGCCTAGTGTTTATTTTGGGTGTCCATTTCATTTTTTTCTCCCCAGAAAGTAGCATTAACTTGAAAATTATCAGTTAAATAGTGGCTCAGAAATTAAATTTTATCTGTCTCCTGAATCTCAGGCATTAGTAATTGAAGTGTCTAGGTATTGTGATTTTTGTAGAGAGGTATTGTGTAAGTGTCTAGATATTGTAGTTGTGTAGTCTGTTTAAGAGAAAATGCATTTTATCTAAGAAACAAGACCCAACTTCAAATATTGGCTCTGCCTTTAGTCATGTGACTTTTGGCAAGTTAGTTTCTGTGCTTCTCAAGTCCTTATTTATAAAGTGTAGTTTTTATGGTCTTAGCCTTTGAGGTTATATGTGCAGTTACTGTGTAGAGTGGTATACAAATGTAAGGTGCTAATGTTGTTAATAGTATCTTTAACAGACGTAAGTAGTGTTTTACTACTAAAGGCACAGGTCCTTTCCATTTAATGTGATTTCACCAGTTCTTGAGCTGGTTCATTCAGTTAATTCATTTGTTCGCCATTTAAAAAATACTGTTTTGTGCCTGGTACGGTATTAAGCCCTGAAGGTATAGACTTGAGGGGGAGTGAGACTGTTATAGTTCCCTGGCATGCAGCATGATGTGTGCAGTTGTCTCTTAGCGTGCTCAGGCAATCTGGAGGGCAAGTCCCTTGTGATGCCCAACCTCAGGGGTCGGCAGACTTCCCCTCTTAAAGGCCGGAGAGTAGAAACTTCAGCCTTCGGGGGTCGCATATACACATACAGCCTATCGCATTTCCTCTAATTTTTTCTTCCTTTCTTCCCCCTCCCCCCTCTCCTCAACGCTTTAATAATGTAAAAATCATTCTTAGTCCAGGAACCATGTAAAAACTGGCTGTGGACTAGATGTGGTGACCTCTTTGTAAAGTATTTTTCAGCGGAAGATGGGAAGTGGATTCCACTCATGTGCAAAGGCATGGAGGTGTGAGAGGCTGGGGTTTTGTGGAACTGAATATTTTTATCACATGTGGAGAAATAGGTTGGGTCGGGTAGAGAAGGATATGCAGTCGATACTGGGCAGGATCAAAGCAGTTTGCACTTGATTCTGATATAAATTTTTTACATCCTAGGGCAGCAAGAACAGATTTAGATGGTAGGAGGATGACTGGACTAGAGGCACAAGATCAGTAAGGAAGGTAGTAATCCACATTAGAAGGGGAAAAGTCACCCAACCTTTGTCATTAAGGAAATGGCTCACCTGCTGTTATTTAGTAAAGTGAGAGGGATAAAGTTCAGAGGTCGAATTTAGTAACATACAGTCTATTTAATAATAGACTGTATGTTCTTTTAATTATGTTGTACATATAAATGAAGGACTTAAGGGCACAACTGAGGAAATGGAGAGTAGGGATTGATGTGAAGCCTGTTTCTGAGTTCATCTACAGGCGTGACTAAGTAAGTGAAATGGCAAGGCTGAGAGAGAAGGAATCCAGCGTAATTCCAGGATGGCTTCCAGATTTTTTCTTTGGTGATGAGTTCATGAAGATCTTTTTGCTCTTAATTTTTTTTTTCCTGGAATATCTTAGTGATTGCTTTGATGAGGGAACATTGTCTCTTAGGTCCATGAACCCCTGAAATTCTAAGCAGAATTGTGTGTGTATGTGAGCTGTTTTTCCCTGGGGAGAGAATTCTAGAGCTTTCATCACATTATCAGAAAGGAGTCCAACCAAAAGGAGGAATCACTTTTTGTTAGATTGTACACATCTGGTGTACTCTAAAGGTTTGTGTTGGCAAGGGAAACATCATCCCAATCACAGGATTTTTACTTTAAATGTAATGCATCTCAAACTGCCAAGTAAAATGCAAACACATGCAACTGTTTTCTAAGTTGAACTGTATCAACCAGCAATTGGAATGTTTTTCCCTAGTTTCTCCTCCTTTCCGAAAGACAGAATAAGACACATTTTTGGTACATAAAAAGCGAGCTGGAGACTGACGGGCATGGAATGCTTCAACATGCTATGAACATTAGAGAAAGCTAAAGTTTGTAGAGTATTAACGTATCTTAGTATTCATGTGGCTATGAGAGATGGTGTCACTTTTAGGTAGGATACACCAGTACCATAAATGAGTGTAGTTTCCTCAGTTGGATTAGAAATGTGTAAATAGTGAGTTGTAAGACAATCCCTAAATCGTGCTGTCATGATGAGCCCTTAGTTGAGCAAAGCAGGAGAAGCAGGGTGGCCGCCGAGCAGTTGTTGAGATATGAGCATCAGGCAGATTCGTATTGTGTTCTGGAGTCTGCACTGGATTGGTTCATACTTGATGTCAGCATTATTACATGTAATTTAGGGATTACAGACTACAGATAATAGCAGTCCCTGCAGAGATTTGATGAACTTGGTAAGCTGCTCCATATGGAGCAGAGAGAACTTAAGAGAGTGAAAATGGGGCAATCTGTAAGAAAGTTTCTTCTTTCCTGTTGAGAAAAATTGTGACTTCTATTAAAGGCAAAGTGTGATGGGGCAAAGATATAAGAAATGATGGAATCTAGCAGTGGCATAGAAGTCAAAAGTGAAAACCTAGACTGGTTAAGATATCACTCTCAGAATTTCACGCTGGGGCTAATTGTAATTCCAAGGTAGGAAAAAAGCTTTGAATCTACTTTGCCTAGGTCATGGCAAAGTTTAGGTGGCAAGTTTTGTTTTCTGTTTGGAAAAAATAGTATTGGATCCTAAGGAATTGCCTTGAGAAATCAGATAGCAGAAATAACTTAGTTTAAGTGCATGTTGTCAACATGTGGGTTAATTTTAAACAGTACATGGTTGATTATGTGGTTGGCAAAGAGCTGATGTCTTTGATTTACATCTATCCTATGAGTTTGCCTTTTTGACCATTTTATTGGAAAGCAAACTTTTCTGCTGCTTTTTTTTTTTACGTGTGTGTGTATGTGTGCCCCTTTTACTCTTTGCTTTACGTAATCTAGAATTTTAGGGGTATATCTAAATTTAGGATCCAAAGCTTTTACTTTAGAGATGAGTAAGTAAATAACCCAGAAAAGTCAAATGACCATTTGATGGAGAATCATAGGTGAGCTTACTCTCCAGCCCCATCCAAAGGTCAAGCCTGGTGTTTGCTGTGGGTCAGGGTCCCCAGGTAAACAAAGACAGCTTTATCGGACGAGCTTCCAAGAGCTTAAAGATTACCTCCCAGGATCTGGGCAAAGGGCCAAACTTTTCTTTGAGCAAGGCGGTTAATCCTTTACTGCATAAGCCCTAGCAAAGCAAATTATTATTTCTGTCATTACTAGGGAGTTCAAGAAATTATTATTGCTCCTAGATATAAGATATGTTGTAACCACATACAGTAACATTTACCACGAAACTGAAAAATTAGAATTTCTACACACAGGTGAGGATGTCTCCAGAAGTGTGTCATACTTGACATCTGTTCTAACATTTCTATCAGGGATTTGAATAAAGAACAGGAGTCACACTGGGAGACAGTTCATTTTTAGAATTTTAGATTTTTAAAATATTTTGACAGGTGGTAATGAAGTGGTAAAATCCATAGGGTGAAATTTGTCAGCAATAAATGTAAAATGGCAGACTTAGTTTAAAAGGAAAAGCAACTGAGAAAGCTAAAGCTGGACAAAACGTGTCTTAACTCTACCAGTGTGCGGAAGACCTGGGAATCTAGTTGACTAAAACAAGGATCGGTGAACTTTTTTGTAAAGGGGCAGATAGTGAATATTTTAGGTTTTGCAGATGAATAGGCAAAACAAGAATATTATGTAGGTATTTAAATAATGAGAGAAAACAAATTTCCACAAATTTTCATCGACTGAATTCAAAATATAAAAACAGTAATTGAGGCTGGGCACAGTGGCTCGTGCCTGTAATCCCAGCACTTTGGGAGGCGGAGGGAGGCAGATCACTTGAGGTCAGGAGTTAAAGACCAGCCTGGCCAACATGGTGAAACCCCGTTTCTGCTAAAAATACAGAAACTTGCCAGGCGTGGTGGCGTGCGCCTGTAGTTGCAGCTACTCGGGAGGCCGAGGCAGGTGAATCACTTGAACCTGGGAGGTGGAGGTTGCAGTGAGCCGAGATCATGCCACTGTACTCCAGCCTGGGTGACAGAATGAGACTCCATCTAAAAAAAATTAACAATTATTTATTAATTAAAATAATAAAAACAATTGAGCATAATTAAAAAAATACAGGTCTAATGAGAGGAATGGATTTTTTTTTAGGGGAGGAGGTGGATAACATTTGGCTAAATTAGAGTTTGAACTTAGTGTTTGCTATTATCAACATCAATTACAAGTGTTCATCTCTTAATGCTAATCTGCAAGGAGATTTTACATATTTTATCTTTGAAAAATGTCTTAATCCTGACAGGATACATCGAAATACTGATAGCAGTTCAGGAGCATATTCATTGCTTAGAAGGCATTTATAGAATTCTATTAGATTCTCCTTGATAATTGCCTTCTAGCATGTTATTGCATTGCAGATTAATCACTTCCTATTGGTGGTTAGATGGAAGCACCTCAATTGCACAGTTAAATGGATTTTGAAATATGTAAATTTTCTTTGTACTTGCATCGGAGTTTGAAAAATGCTACTGGAATGTAGTTTGAACCCAGAAAATATATCCACTGCAAATTTGCACAGAATTGAAATCTTGCTTTTTGTTTTAACTTTCACATACGAGAAGTATATAAAGAAGCTTAATGCAACTTGTGATTCAAATGTTAGCTGTCATTGAAATGACTTTACTACAGTATAAATTCCTCATATAAGTACTGTTTTCCTTTGTAAACTTAAATTGAATCCATTAAGAAACATCAAGTCTGTAGAAAAAATTGATTGCAGAGCTATTCAGTGTTTGGTAACAGTGTTAACTGAAGGAGGCTCTTTTAGAAAAATTTGAGTCTTGACTCTAAGGTCATAAAGTTAGAATAAAACCTACCACTGTCCATTTAACTGCTGTGTGGTAGGCCAAGTCAAGATACTCAGTTTCTATTTCTGACAAATTCAAGGAACTGACAATGGTTAAGTCTACAAGAGCTAATGAAGTTCACTGTGGATGCTACTGGTCCAATAACACCTGACAGATTTAAATACTTTCTACATAGTACTTGCTGATGAATAACCATAATACTTTCATAATTTTTGTAAATTTGTGCAGCAAATCATTTGTCTGCTCCCCATATATTTTTACTATCACCAGTTATTATCATGCATCTTAGTAGATTCCACTTCAGATTGTACTAAATTAGTGTTTTCTCAGCTTTGAAAATATTATTTGTAGTTCCACACAGACTATTCTTAGAGACTAATTTTTTAGTTACTTCAAGGTTGGCATTGACTCCTTGAATAAACAGTTGAGCAACGTCAACAACCAAGGAAAATCATTCAAAAATATTTGCCTTTTTTTGACTGACATTGATGTTGTTATCAGTATCCTCAACTCTTTGAGCAACTGTTCTTATTGAAAAGCTTATAGTCTTAAGCAAGTTTTTTGTTTTTTGGTTTTTTTTTTTGACATATTTCTTTGTCTGTTGTAGTCAGACATGTTGTAGTCAGACAACTTAACATGGTTAAGTTATCCACATAAGATGGAGAGCCATTTAGGGTTTTGAGCAGAGAAGTGATGACATCTGATTGAGATTTGACTTCATCTGCAATCAGATTGAGATTTGACTTCATCTGCAATGTTGAGGATAGGCACCAGAGCAGCAAGGTTAGAAGCAGGGGACCTGTCAGGTGGCTGTTGAGTTCATTTGAGTGAATGGTGATGATGGCACAAGTCGTGGTGATGGTGGAGGATGTGGAGCAAAGTGGACAGTTTCTTGGCAGATTTGCCAGGAAGAGCTGACATTATTTGCTGACAAGGTTGAACATGGAGTGTGAGGAATAAAAGAGACAAGGATGACATCCATTGTTTTTTGGCCTGGACAACTGGAAGGAGAGAGTTGCCAAGAACTGACATAGAGAAGAGTGTGTAAAGAAGGTTTGGAGGAGAAAGATCAATATCTGAGCTTTGAAATGTCTCTTGGACATTTTTATTCGCTTAACTGATGTTTCACTTCTCTGAGGATCTAGAAGCTGGTCCCCAGCATAGTGTATCCATGAGGAATTGTTCAGGAAAAGAGAAGCTGCTCTAGACACTTTTTTAAATACACAGGATTATAGTCCTTCACTACTGTTGGAAGGGTTGGAGAATTGAAGGTCCAGGAAGCAGCTGTTCACAGTGTGTACTTCCCAGGAGCTCATCTGAGATGGGCAGAGGTCTCAGAATTGAAGCCTCTGCTGCTGTGGTTGAAGTGGATGGTTCTTGGAGTTTCTCCGAAGCTGCTGGGAATTCCTAGTAGGAGCTGCTCTATCTAGGTCTTAGTTTCAGAAGTAGGTCAGTTATTTTTTTCTCCCAGCACATCAGCCTACAGCTGCCTCCAGAGGGTAGTGTGCTCTTTTATCTTACCAGTCTTGCACGAGTTGCCCTTATTAGTTGACTCTAACCCTGAGTTGTAGCAGGAAGGGGTTTGTAGGAAATGTAGTTCTGGCTTCCCTATGTCACACAGGTGAATATAGAAGGTGGTAATGATGCAGAATTGACAACAGTCTAGCACAACAACCAGGCAACTGGATTTTCAAGTTGGGATTTTGGAAGAAATCTGAGCTACAGTTAGCATAAAGGTAGCTTTTAAAGTGAGCTTGCCTAGGAGGTGAGCATAAATAAGAGAAAGGACAGAGTCTTGGGGAACTCTAGAATTGACAAGTTTGCAAGAAGAGGAAGAACAGCTGTAGAGACTGGAAAGAAACCACCTGTGAGGTAAGAAGAAAACCAGGAGAAGATGGTGTCCTGGAAAGCAAGAGAAGGGAAGCAGGAATAATTACCTGTCAGTTGCAGCTGACAGAGGAAGTAATATCTAAGTATTGACCATTGGATTTAGCAGTATTGAGGTCATTGGTAATCTTGGATAGAGAAGTTCTGGTGGAGAGGTGAGATAAAGGGAAGATAATTAGTGATAGCAAGTATATTGTGTGTGTGCTTGTTTATAGGATTATTTGTATAATAGCTGTTTTAAAGTCTTTGTGAGATAATTCTGACCTTTGTGTCATCTCAGTATTGGCTTGTCTTGATTTTCTTTTTCTATGGGAATTGAGGTTTTCCTGGTTCCTCCTGTGCAGAGTAAGTTTGGATTGTATCCCCGACTTTTTGGATGTTATGTTAGGAGGAGACTCTGGGTCTTGTTTAAATATGCTGATGTGGTGGTGGTTTGAATTCTATTCCTCCCTCATCCACCTGCTACTGTTTACTTTTCAGAGTCCTCAAATAGCTTCTGCAGTTACTCTGTTCAGGCTTTCTAGTTGCTTTCAAGAGGAGTGACAGGGTGCAATGTGCTTATTTTTCCTTATCTAAACCTGAAGCTGTTCACTTCGCAAACTGCTTCTGTTACTCAGGTAATGGTCACCAGTTTCAGCTGGGCCATGATGCTCAAATGATTTTGCGTCCCTGATCAGTTACCTCTTCCAGCCCCCATAGGAGTTGCTGCTCGAATTATTTCTTGAATTTGGCTTATAGATAGATCCTTTTTTTGGTGTCTGTTCCCATAGTTTCTTTTGGTGTTTTTCTCAGGTAGACAACATGGCCCTTACCATATATCATGATAGCCATTAGTTTTCTCAAGTATGATAGAAGAGTTGTCTTGTGTTGAATGTATTGACTATGCCTATTGATTAGTTTAAGTAGAATAATGTCTCTTTGACATTTTAAGCCTTTCACACAATATAATTTTGTGGGGATATTTTTTACAATGCAGAATAGAACAGCGGTGAAGAGCACAAGCTGTAGACAGATTTTTGCTTTGCATTCATATCTGATCCTTGCTCCCTGTATGATGTTGACCAAGCTCCTTAAACTCTCTAATCTGTTTTTTCTCTTCTGTTTAGTAGAGATTATTGTGAATTGTAACTCTTTTGTAAATGTGATATATAGTTCTTAGTGCTTGGCTAGTCATATAAATAATTAAAAACGATTTTTTTTTTGGGCAGGATCAACTCGATGTTCATAAGTACAGTTCCTAACAGTGTAGTTATTTCTACTGTGGGAATTTAAGGGCTAATCTTCATCATTCCCTGATTTATATTGATCTAAAAACTGGAAAACAGTTTATATTCGTCATTTGCTATGCATACAAAATGGGCAAGTTATTACTGTTAATATTGGTTTTTAAAATTCAATAATTTTACAGCCTCTTTTAGGGTATTGGTTTAGTCAGTAGCTTAGTACCAGTTAGATGGCAAACCGTGTACTAAGCATCAGTGCAGAGATAGTGAATGAGACACAGTATTCCCACCTTTGAGCAGTGCCAGTCTAGTATTAGAATATTTTTGGCTAAAAAATTATTTTGAAGCATAAAGAAGCTTTTGTTTGCTCTGGTGATTTTCATAACATATTCACATTCTTAATGTATTTTTGGTTTTTCAGAAAGTTACTTCTGGCCTGTGTTCTTTCAGAATATAGGTTGCAGCTTGTGTTAAGTGCAGGAACTATTGATAGACTGAGTTTAGAAGAAGGGAAAATTGGTATAAAGTGGTTGTGTATTTTGAACATTGGGGAGCTTCATAGATGAGTTAAATTGTTAGGATATGGATTAAGAAATGTTGGGTTAGGCCAGGCGCGGTGGCTCACGTCTGTAATCCCAGCACTTTGGGAGGCCGAGGCGGGCAGATCACGAGGTCAGGAGTTGGAGACCAGCCTGGCCAACATGGTGAAACCCTGTCTCTACTAAAAATACAAAATTAGCTGGGCGTGGTGGCAGGCCTCTGTAATCCTAGCCACTCGGGAGGCTGAGGCAGGAGAATTGCTTGAACCTGGGAGGTGGAGGTTGCAGTGAGCCGAGATTGCACCGCTGCACTCCAGCCTGCATGACAGAGAGAGACTCCGTCTCAAAAAAAAAAAAAAAAAGAAAGAAAGAAAGAAAGAAATACTGGGTTTGAGCCTTATTTAGCACTTAGCATCAAACAGACATTTTCTTTTCCAGGGGCTCATCCTACTTGTTTAATTCCAGCCAGATAACTTATAATTTGTCAATATGTCATATTGAACATTACTCAGCTGTGGTAAGAACTTTCTGTCATGCTTGCTTTGGAAAGCCCAGATCATGTTTATTGTTTTAACAATATTACGTGGTTAATTTGGGAAGCAAGAATAGCAGCATGATTTTGAGTGCTGATAAACCAGTATTTGAATTCCTGGTCTCTCCCTTCTTTGCTGTGTGACCCTGGAAAACTTAGTAACTTCTTTAAGTCTGTTTCCTTGTATGTAAAGTGGAAACAATTATAGTAACCAGTTAGGGCTGTGAGGAGTAATGAGCTAATATAGACACTCCACACACATGAAGCTGCTATTGTTATGATCAGGATTGTTATTTGGAGGTAGTGAGAAAAGAATGATAGAAGGCTGGCCAAGTTGGATTGTGCATTGAAATGAGAACATTGAAAGCAAGGTGGTGAAAGGAAATATTCTACGTGATAATGAAGCACAGATTTAGTGTGGTATGGAAAATTTTAGTTTGTAGGTTAAAAGGGAAAAGGGTTCAGAGCAGCCCAAGCATCTATTTATACCTATCTTAAAATACACTCATTCATGCACAAAGGGTAGGGAATATCCATCTTAAAATATCTTCAGAGTTGAGAATGTGGAGATAAACATGTATATCATTGTATAATAAGCCAACTTTAATTTTTCTTTATCCATCTGGAGAAAAAGAATTTAAGACTTTTAATTTTATAATTTGAGAAATAGCTACTTTATACTCTGAGCTAGTTCAGATTTTTATACTTATATTTTATCAGTTTCATAGTTACAAATAGATTTCTGTTCTTAGTAAAGATGGATTAAATCATGGAATAAGAAGAGTTAGGATTCAACATGCATTAAATTGCCTGTTGCTAAAACAGGATTCAACATGCATTAAGTTGCCTGTTGCTAAAACAGTAAGTGGGCAGTAAGCCTAGTCTTGATAGAATGGAGGCTTGTAACTTGCTTAAATTCTCCTTTAACTACATAGAATAAAACATAAAGCAAAAAGCGGTTATCAGAATGTGGCTGAGGTACTCAATGCCAGTGTATCCATTCATTTATTCATTAAGTCATTCATGCATCATATAAATGTTTATCGATAATCATGCGCTCTAGATGCTGTTTTAGATAATGGTGCATACTGTTGGGTATACAATGGTGAACAAAAAGTAGATGTGGGGAGTAACTGGGATGGTTTGTCTTCATATTTAATGAAGAGAAGAAAGCCAGTTCCAAGAGTGTCAGAATAATTCAACAAGTGATGTTTTTAGGTTTACACTCCTAATAGAAAGGCAGGAAAGGCAGAGTGCATGGAAAGAAGAAATGCTTCCAACTGCAACCAACTGGAGCTTTTCTGACCTTTACTTTGGTTTTAATTAATAGTGCTTAAGTTGTTTACCTGGTGTTTAGGTCCTGAGGCTGCAGAGCTGAAAGAGGTTGTCACTGTCCCTAGAATCTTTCTCTTTTTGAGATGGAGTCTTGCTCTGTCACCCAGGCTGGAGTGCAGTGGCGCGTTCTTGGCTCACTGCAACCCCTTCCTCCTGGATTCGAGTGATTCTCCTGTCTCAGCCTCCCAAGTAGCTGGGATTCCAGGTGTGTGCCACCATGCCTGGCTAATTTTTGTATTTTTAGTAGAGACGGGGTTTTGCCATGTTGGCCAGGCTGGTCTCGAACTCCTGATCTCAGGTGATCCACCTGCCCTAGCCTCCCAAAGTGCTGGAATTACAGGCGTGAGCCACCACGCCTGGCCTAGAATATTGTTGTTTACTTGGAGGAGGAAGAGACTGACAGAAAAGGCAAAATTTTAATGGCCTCTCTAGTAAGCTTCACCACAAGATTCCTTTGGGGTAGGGTCATGTCTCTGGTACCGTGCATGTCCAATACCTTGTGCAGTGCATGGCTTGTGTCTGTCACTGAATAACCTATATTGAGTGAAGAAATGCTGTGGAGTGCAGGAGAGGGGCATCTAACCTGGGGTGAGACAGAACAGCCCCTACCACATGTACATCAAGTTAAGCAATGGGAAGAAGATCTAGGTAGAAGGAGCAGCAGATGGCATAGAGATGTGAGAGAAAGTACAAGTTGCTCTGTAAACTGACAATAGTTTAGTTTTGCCAGAGTGTAGGATTCATAAGAGACAGTGCTGAGAGACTTTAGACTAGAGAGTTAGACTTGGCTTGACAAGTAAGGGTCATAATAAAGAGTTTGGATTTTGTTTTCTTTAAAAGTAATAGTGTTTTTTTCTAAACAATAGAAATCAGGTTTCCTAATGCCCAGGCCGACACTCTTCATATTACATGATGCATGCAATGTCAAAAAAGGATTATTAGGTCTTAGTTTCCATATCCGTTCATGATAGCAGGACCATCAAAATTCTGTAAAGCCATTGGTGAATGTTCTGTCTTTTGGAGAGAAAGAGGATATAGGATAAATACCTTTTTTCTTGGGAGCAAAGAATATGTAGTTGAAACTCATTAAGGGCAAGCAAGGTCTGAGTGTCTTTGAATTTTTGTTCCTGGAATGATGCCAGGAATGTATAGCAGATCTCTGTACATGAATAAATGAAAAAACCTTTCTTTGCATTTGCATATACTGTTGCTAGCATTATACTTGGTTCTGAAAAGTAATAGTTAAATGAGAAATGGTCTCAGTGGCACATGCCTGTGATCCTAGCACTTTGGGAGGCGGAGAGAGGCCAAGACGGGTGGATCTCTTGAGTCCAGGAGTTTGAGACCAGCCTGGGTAATATAGTGAGACTCCCCTCTCTACCAAAAAAAAAAAAAAAAAAAAAAAAAAATTACCTGGGGCTGGGGGTGGTGCCCACCTGTGGTCCCAACTACTTGGGAGACCGATGTAGGAGAATCGCATGAGCCTGGGAGGTTGAGACTGCAGTGAGCTTGATCGCATTGCCACAATCCAGCCTGGATGACAGAGTGAGACCCTATCTCCAGAAAAAAAAAAAGAAATTAGCTGGCGCGTGATGGTGTGGCTGAGGGAGGCTCAGGTGGGAGGATTGCTTGAGCTCAGGTGTCTGAGACTACAGTGAGCTAGGCTCTCCTCACTGCACTCCAGCCTGGAAGATAGAGCAAGACCCTGTCTCTTAAAAAACAGGCAAATTATTGATTATAGTTCAGTGGGCTAAATCCTGTGGTAGAAACATTCATGCATAGGGTGGTGCATCCACATCAGTCTTAGGTGGGAGGAGGGTCATGGAAGGCAGATTTTTGGTTGCACTTGAACTGAACTTTGAAGGATGATTAGGAGTAAGCTGGGTGGGGGAAGGGAAGAACCTACCAGGCAGAAGGACTGGCATAAGTAAAGGCTTGTTTGTAAGAAGTAGCATGGCACATTAAGGGAAGTTGAGGTTGTTCAGTATGACCCTACCGTAGAAAAGGAATGAGCAAGTGATGGAAAATGAGATAGGAAGCTAGTGGTTTGGTTCTGTTCTTTCTCTCCTTCTCCCTCTTAACCCCCTAACCCCCCTCAAGTTCTCCTCTTCCCTGTTCCCCCTGGAATATTCTATTTGGAATGGGATGATGAGAAATATTTTGAGGAGGAAGAGGTAAAGGCTTAGAAGGTATGCTTTGATGCCCCAGATAAATGTCAGCAGAATAGGGAACACAGTTGGAAAATTGCTTTTCAAAGCAAAGAATTTCTAATATCCCTCAAAGTAATGAGAGCTGTTGAAGACTTTTGAGCGGTTGACATAATTTGTTTTAGGAAAGGTCACTCAGGTAGGTACTGGTGAAGAAGTTGAATTGAAGGGGGCACTGTAATAAAGAAAGTAGATCAGTTAGGAGGTTTTGTTTTGTTTTTGTTTTTGCAACACTGTAACTTGAATTAAATGGATGGCCATAGAATTGGAGAGCAGGGATCTTAGGGGTGAGAGATAAGTGAGGTGAAAGAGTTAGATTGGGCAACTGGTCATGGTTAAGGGCAGGATTTTTGGGGTCAGACACCTGAATTTGATTCTTAGCTTGGCTTTTTATTATTATGTGACTTTGGAAAATTAGATAACCTTCTAAATCTGAACTTCCGGAAATGTGTAACAGGAATAATTCCTTGAGAGGTTATTTTGAGGACTGAGTACTCCTAAGACTCTTAGCACAGAGTATAGCTCGTGGAAAGAATTAGTTAAGAGGAGATGCTATTATAAGCTGTTCATTGTTATAGGGTATATATTTATAGGAGGAAGAACATATATAGGCTGTATTAGAGGGAGAGGCAAGGCCTTAAGGTTCGTGCGTGTTGGTATCAGTGGTCTGTTACAGGGCTGAGGAAACTATAGCACGTGGGCCAAATCTGCTTTTGTAAATATGTATTTATTGGGATGCATTCAAATTGTTTATATATTGTCTATGGCTGCTTTTGCACTGCAAAGGGAATGTACTTAACACAAAGAATAGGGTCCCCAGGAGAGCACTTAAAGGGCAAGCAGAGGAAGCCTAGGTAGGTTGGGTTGGGGGGGGGGACCTACAAGGGCCAGGAAGTTTGTAGGATTGCCATGAGTGAGGAGTGTCACTAATGCTGGGAAAGGAGGGTGGACATTCTGTGGTTTTTTTTTTTGAGGGAGTCTCGCTCTGTCACCCAGGCTGGGGTGCAGTGGCGTGATCTCAGCTCACTGCAAGCTCCGCCTCCCCGATTCACGCCATTCTCTGCCTCAGCCTCCCGAGTAGCTGGGATTAGCCACCACGCCCGGCTAATTTTTTGTATTTTTAGTAGGTTTCACTGTGTTAGCCAGGATGGTCTCGATCTCCTCACCTCATGATCTACACGCCTCGGCCTCCCACAGTGCTGGGATTACAGGTGTGATGACTGTAGAGTATGCTCGAGCTGTGTGTCCTATACAGGAGGCCCCTCAGGCCCCTCACAGAGTATGTGTGTTTGTAGTAGGCATAGTATACTGATAGAGCTTTTGGCATTGCTGGATGCTTGTACACAGTTTTCTTTAGCTCTTTACTATGGGACTGCTGTCTTCATTGCCACACAAAACAGCAAGAATTTGTTGAAATGAGTAAAAATAACCACATAATTTTTTTCCCTCCCTCCCTCCCTTCCTCCCTCCCTTCCTCCCTCCCTTCTTCCCTTCCTCCCTTCCTTTCTTCCTTCCTTTTTTTTTTTTTTTAAATTTTGAGACAGAGTCTTGCTCTGTTGCCCAGGCAGTGGTGTGATCTCAGCTCACTACAACCTCCACCTCCCGGATTCAAGCGATTCCCCTGTCTCAGCCTCCTGAGTAGCTCCTGGCTAATTTTTGTATTTTTTTTAGTAGAGACGGGGTTTTGCCATGTTGGCCAGGCTGGTCTTGAACTCCTGGCCTCATGTGATCCACCTGTCTCTGCCTGGGATTACAGGCATGAGCCACCACACCAGGCCCAGATATTTTTGAGTTTAAAGATACTAACTCAATAAATTGCAAAAGAGGAGGCAGTTTTCCTAAAACACCACCACTCCAGTTGGGTTGTATGGTTGAAGGGATAAACCTCTAAATGAAATCTTTAAAAGAATTAAACCTATAAAAGAAACCTTTGCTTTCTTTTATCTAAAATTTCCTTACCAGGCTTAAATCATTGCCTTTTAAAAAATGTGTACTATAAGTACTTTTTGTTAGGTGAGCTCTCTAGTATTAACTTGGTGAGACTGATTTGTAGTACCAAATCTTTTTTTTTTTTTCTTTTTTCTTTTTGAGATGGAGTCTCGCTGTGTCGCTCAGGCTGGAGACCAGTGGCGCGACCTTGGCTCACTGCAACCTCCACCTCCCAGGTTCACGCCATTCTCCTGCCTCAGCCTCCCAAGTAGCTGGGACTACAGGTGCCCGCCACCACGCCCGGCTAATTTTTTTGTATTTTTAGTAGAGACAGGGTTTCACTGTGTTAGCCAGGACGGTCTCGATCTCCTGACCTTGTGATCCACTCTCCTTGGCCTCCAAAAGTGCTGGGATTACAGGTGTGAGCCACCACGCTCGGCCTGTAGTACCAAATCTTAAAGGAAACTTTGCATTTGGAATTTGAAGTTTATCTGGAGATTTGGTATGGTTGCTGAGTTATTTTTAGGATTAGATACATTTCTTGGAAATAGCAAATGTAATAACAAATTGTGTGGCTATATAGTTGGCTGTTTGATACCATCCATAAGCTTAGCAAAGTGTGGTGTAGTTATTTGCCTGTCTTCGAGGGAAATAAATGTAAAAGGCATGTATAACTTGCTCACAGTGCCCAAACTTGCTCTAGTGATAGAACTAGGACTGGAATTCAGGTTTCTTGAATTTGATTTCAGATGTCTTTTCTATATATCTGCTGCTTTTCTGACTTTAAAGTACATTTCCAAGGAAAAGTGCTCTTTATCTATAAAGTACTTTTTTATTTTTGAGACAGAGTTTCGCTCTTGTTGCCTAGGCTGGATTGCAGTGGTGTGATCTTGGCTCACTGCAACCTCCGCCTCCCAGGTTCAAGTGATTCTCCTGCCTCAGCCTCCCGAGTGGCTGGGATTACAGGCATGCGCCACCACGCCTGGCTAATTTTGTGTTTTTAGTAGTGACAGAGTTTTACCATGTTGGTCGGGTTGGTCTTAACTCCTGACCTCAGGTGATCTGCCCGCCTTGGCCTCCGAAAGTGCTGGGATTACAAGAGTGAGCCACCGCGCCCAGCCTATATGATACGTTAAATACAAGATTTGTGAAGTGTTGATTCTGTATGTGGCAATGAACAATTTTGGTAGTTCACCTGATAAGTCATTCAGTATGAGATCATGCTTTCTTTACAGCCTGGTGTAAAACCATTGATGGATTCATCCTAGTTTATCTTGCCTTGATTACTTATTCTTTTTTTAAGGGTTAAAATGGGCCAGCCGCGGTGGCTCATACCTGTAATCCCAACACTGGGAGGCCGAGGTGGGCGTATCATTTGAGGTCAGGAATTTGAGACCAGCCTGGCCAACATGGTGAAACCCCGTCTCTACTAAAAATACAAAAATTAGCTGGATGTGGTGGTGCATGCCTGTAATCATGTAGCGCATGCCAGCTACTTGGGAGGCTGAGCAGGAGAATTGCTTGAACCTGGGAGGTGGAGGTTGCAGTGAGCCGAGATCGTGCCATTGCGCTCCAGCCTGGGTGACAGAGTGAGACTCCGTCTCAAAAAAAAAAAAAAAAAAAAAAAAAAAAAGTTTAAAATTGCATTTACAATGTGTTTTTTTCCTTCTAATACAATATATGTTCATTGTAGAACATTTAAAAAAATACTGTATACAAAAAATAATTGCTGGTGAATTGTATCTCTCAGGGATAACCACAGGTAGGTTTTTTTTGTTGTTGTTGGATTTTTTTTTTTTTCTTTTTGAGACAGAGTCTCACTGTTTGCCCAGTGTGGAGTGCAGTGGTGTGACCAGGCTCATTGCAGCCTTGACCTCACAGGCTCAAGCAGATCCTCCCACCTCAGCCTTTCAAGTAGCGAGGACCAAAGGCATGTGCCACCATGCCCAGCTAATTTATTTTTTGTTGGAAAAGGAGGGTGGTGGGGGGCAGGCAAGGGGGAGTCTCTCTGTGTTGCCCAGGCTGGTCTTGAACTCCTGGGCTCAGGCTGTCCTCCAACCTTGGCCTCCCAAAGTGCTAGAATTACAGGCATGAGCTGCTATACGTGGGCCACAGGTAAGATTGTAAAAGATCCATTTAGGCCTTCTTTATCCCTTGGTGATACTCATATATCTTTTTGAAAATCAAAAACGTAGATATAAGTATATAGATTATATATAAAAGTCCACCATTTCTGAGGGGAACGGATCACTCTTACACTACTTTTTTTTTTTTTTTTTTTTGAGACAGAGTCTTGCTGTGTCGCCCAGGCTGGAGTGCAGTGTCGTGATCTCCGCTCACTGCAAGCTCCGCCTCCTGGGTTCACGCCATTCTCTTACCTCAGCCTCCCAAGTGGCTGGGACTACAGGCACCCGCCACCATGCGTGGCTAATTTTTTTTTTTTTTTGTATTTTTAGTAGAGACGGGGTTTCACTGTGTTAGCCAGGATGGTCTCAATCTCCTGACCTCATGATCCGCCCTCCTTGGCCTCCCAAAGTGCTGGGATTACAGGCGTGAGCCACTGCGCCCGGCCTACTTTTGTTTAAAAAATATATGTGTGTGTAACCACATTCAGGTAAAAAATTATTGCCAGCCTTTTACTCCCTTTTCCATCATCTTGACTTCTGTGACAGTCATTTCCATTAAAAAAAAAATTTTACTCCCTATTATGTGTCTTTAAACATTAGGATTAGCTTTTGTATAGTTTTAAACTTTATAGGAATAGAATTATACTGTATATATTCTTTTGTGACAATTGATCTGTGACAAATTGACATTGTAGAGCAACGGGGAAGAGACACTTTTTCAATAAATGGTGCTGGGTCATTTGAGTATCCATATAGGGAAAAATAATAATTTGCTTCACACAATAAAAAATAATTTCAAGTGGATTTATAGATATGAAAAGATTAAATAAAACTGGTATAACGGTGTTTAATAGAAATATATTGTGAGCCACATGTGATTTTAAATTTTTCTAGAAGCTAAATTTAGGAAAAACAGATAAATTAATATTTTGTATTTAACCCAGTAATGCTCAAATACATTTTAATGTGCAAGTAATTTAAACATTATTAGTATATTTTATTTTGGGGGGCAAGGATACTATAGTTTTAGCAATTCAGTGTGTATTTTACACTTACGTCTCAGTGTGGCCTAGTTACATTTCAAGTGCTCCTTAGCACGTGACTAGTGGGTACTGTGTTGGAGAGCATAGTTTTGGAGGATTATGATGGATAACATCTTATTATCTCTGGACACAAAAAGCAACCATAAAAGAAAAATCGATGAGTTATGCTACATTAAAGTTAGGACATCATATTCCTCAAAAGACATTATTAGGCTTGGCATGGTGGCTTCTGTAATCCCAGCACTTTGGGAGGCCACAGCAGGAGGATTGCTTGAGTCTAGGAGTTCAAGACCAGCCTGGGTAACATAGTGGGACCCTGTCTCTACAAAAAATTAAAAAAAAGAAATTAGCTGGGTATGGTGGCACAGACCTGTTAGTCCCAGCTACTCAGGAGGCTGAGACAGGAGGATTGCTTGAGCCCAGTAGGTTGGTGCTGCAGTGAGGCATGATCACACCACTGTACTCTGGCCTGGGTGACAGAGTGAGACACTATCTCAAAAACAAAAAATTAGTAGGAGAGTGAAAGGCAAATTACAGAGTGGGAGAAGATATTGGTAAATCATAGTTCTAACAGTTTGCATAAAAAATATGTAACATGTCAAGAAAAAGGTAGTTAACTCATTAGCAGGATGGACAAGAGACTTTGCTATTTCATGAGAGATAAATGAAATAAAATCTATCACTGTGGATTTGTCTTTTTCTTTTTGTAATTCTGTTTTTGATTTTTATATATGAGTTGCTTAACGACAGGAAATGCATTAGGTGATTTCATTGTACAAATGTCATAGAGTGTACTCAGCAAATTTAGATGGTAGCCTACTGCATGCCTGGGCTATATAGTATAGCCTATTGCTCCTAGACTGCAAAATTGTACAGCATGTTACTGTACAGAATATTGTAGGCAGTTGTAACACAGTGGTAAGTGTGTGTGTATCTAAACATAGAAAAGGTACAATAAGAATATGATATAAAAGATTAAAAAATATACCTGTATAGGGCACTTACATGCATGAATGGAATGGAGCTTGCAGGACTGAACGCTGCTCTGGGTGAGTCAGTGAGTGTGTGGTGAGTGAATGTGAAGGCCTAAATTATCACTGTACGCTACTGTAGATTTTATAAATACTGTACACTTAGGCTGTACACTAAGTTTATAAAAAATATTTTTCTTCAGTAATAACCGTAGCTTACTATAACTTTATAAACTTTTAAATGTTTTTAAACTTATGACTATTTTGTAATAACACTTAGCTTACAACAGAGGCACATTGTACAGCAGTACAATGTGAGCCCCTTCCCGGGCTCAAGTGATCCTCCCACCTCAGCTTCCCAAGTAGCTGAGACTACATGCGTGTGCCACCATGCCCAGCTAATTTTTTCTGTAGAGATAGGGTTTCACCATGTTGCCCAGGCTGGTCTCAAACTTCTAGACTCAAGCAATCCATCTGCCTCGGCCTCCCAAAGTGCCAAGATGATAGAAGCGAGGCACTGCACCTAGCCAATATTTTCTTTATATCCATATTCTATGAGCTTTTCTGTATTTTTTTAAAATTTTAATTTATCATTTCATTTGTTTGTTTGTTTGTTTTTGTGATGGAGTTTTGCTCTTGTTGCCCAGGCTGGAGTGCAATGGCATCATCTCGGCTCACTGCAACCTCTGCCTCCTGGGTTCAAGTGATTCTCCTGCCTCAGCCTCTCAAGTAGCTGGGACTACAGGCATGTGTCACCATGCCCGGCTAATTTTATATTTTTAGTAGAGACAGGGTTTCTCCATGTTGGTCAGGCTGGCCTTGAACTTCTGACCTCAGGTGATCCACCCACAGCCTCCCAAAGTGCTGGGATTACAGGTGTGAGCCACGGTGCCCAGCCTAATTTAAGGTTTTTAAACTTTTTTGTTAAAATGAAGACACAAATACACACATTAGGGTAGACCCACACAAGGTCAGGATCATCAATATCAATATCTTCCACCTTTGTATCTTGTCCCACTGGAAAGTCTTTAGGGGCAATAACACACATGGAGCTGTTATCGCCTAGGTTAACAGTGCCTTCTGGAATACCTCCCAAAGGACCTGCCTGAGCTGTTTTACAGTTGTCCTTTTTAAATAAGTAGAAGGCGTGTACTCTACAATGATAATTAAAAGTGCACAATAAATAAGCCAGTAACATAATTGTTTATCAAGTGTTAGGTACTGTACATAATCGTATGTGCTAGACTTTTATACGACTGGCAGCACAGTAGGTCTGTTTTCCCCAGCTTCACTAAAACGCGTGAGTAATGTATTATTTCCCCCAAGTGGCTTTTTTATTCCTTCCCCGCTTCCCCACCCTCCCGTGTTGTTCTCTGTCTTTTGTGTTACAGAATTTTCTCACATGTCTGGTATTAATTTCCTTGTGGTGAATAAAAAATTCTTTGGAAGCTTTAGCAAGTGGGTTCAGCCTTTTGACTCTGACTTTTGCATCAGGATATTCTGGATGGCCCATTTGTTGGGAAATCCCCAGCATTGGTATCTTTAGATCTTTCTTCTTAGACGTATCAGGTTCCTGCAGGGTAAAGACCTGACTATCTGAAGTTTGAGAGGAAAGTGCATAGGGCGTAGTGGAGGAGCTGAAATGTGTGTTCAGTGACTAGATCGACCTCTGTTTTGTACAGTTGGGCAGGGTGACTTCTGTCTAAGGATGCTCTCCTTTTCCAGAGAGCCCCCAGTCTTCTGTCATGGTTGGGGAGTCCCACGAAGGCATGGTGTTGAGGCTTTAGCTGCATCGTAGATAGTCTTCACCTAACCTCCATCATCCTTTATGCCTCCACCTTCTTTACCCCTTGTTCTGTCTGCATTTAGTGCTGCCAGTTCTGAACCTTCTTCCGACATGGCTGTGGAAATGGAATTGGTTCTTAGTGTTTTTGGCTGCTGGCTTGGTCTGGCTGCATTGGGCCTGCTGAGTCATTTGCTATGCTTCCGATCTTTTATCGTTCATTTCCCCCAAGTTTTTCTGTTTTCCTGTTTGTTCGGTTTCTATCTTCAGTGTTAGAGGCTTTTCTTATAGCTTCAAAAATTCAGTTACTTTTTCTTTCATTTCTCCCTGTCCTGTGGGTTTGGTTTTTAAATTTATCTTTTTAATATGTCTGTATTAGTTTGTTCTCACACTGCTAATAAAGACATACTTGGGACTGGGTAATTTATAAAGGAAAGAGGTTCAATTGACTTCACAGTCCCACATGGCTGGGGAGACCTTACAATCATGGCAGAAAGCGAAGGGGAAGCAAGACATATCTTACACACGGCAGCAGGCAAGAGAGAGTGTGTGCAGGGGAACTCCCCTATATAAAACCCTCAGATCTTGTGAGACTTATTTGCTATCATGAGAAGAACACGGGAAAGACCTGCCCCCATGATTCAGTTACCTCCCAGCAGGTCCCTCCCACAACACATGGGAATTATGGGAGCTACAATTCAAGATTTGAGTGGGGACACAGCCAAACCATATCTGTGTCTTTTGTATAATTTTAGTGGAAGTGAAATAGATGTGTATATTCTGTTTGCCATCTTCCTCTGAATTTGTTAGCTAACTTTGTGTCAGATTAATTATGCCTGTTGATGTTTTAATGGTTCTTAGTTATTTCATGTATATTTCCTTCAACTAAAATACGGGTTTGAAGACAGGCCTTTTCCAAATTTGTTATTCTTCATTCAAGGTCCAGTACAGTAAGTATGGTAAGCAGTGAAGAAGCTAACTGTAAGGTGGACAGTACAATAAAGCCTTGAAAAAAACTAGTGAAATAATGGTGGTTATATATATATATAGTCTTTCAGGTTCTCTCTGACTGCAATGGAAAGAGGAAAGAGAAATTAGAAGTATTTTTTTAAATTGTCATTTGATTTCTTCAGAGTTATTGTGGGCTTCTGAACTGTGAGTATAATTCTCTTGCTATACTTGTGTCTTGAGATTTTTGGTTTTGTTTTTTCTTTCACCTGTCTTAGTGTCTCTTTGATGTACAATAGAAATAAACAAAAGGTAGTTGATTTTGCAGAGTGGGTGAGGGAAGAAATATAAATTGTTTAGTGCCTATTATGTGTAGATACTTTATATATTTTTTTCTGAGACAGGTAGTATAATAATGGTTAATAACGTGCTTAGAATACTGTCTGGTACATTATAAACACTCTGAGTTACAATTACTAATTGAATCCTCACAATAACTTTATAAGCAAGGTTTACTGTTCTTCCCTATTTCACATTTGCATAAACCAAAATACAGAGAGGTTAAAGGATACTAAGTTACGGCCGGACACAGTGGCTCATGCTTGTAATCCCAGCACTTTGGGAGGCCGAGACAGGAGGATTGCTTGAGTTCAGGAGTTTGAGACCAAGTGGCTGGGTGCGGTGGCTCATGCCTGTAATCACAGCACTTTGTGGGGTTGAGGCAGGCAGATCACTTGAGGTCAGGAGTTCGAGACCAGCCTGGCCAACATGGCAAAACCCCATCTCTGCTAAACAGACAAAAATTAGCCAGACGTGATGTTGCATCCAGCTGTTGTAATCCCAGCTACTCGGGAGGCTGAGGCAGGAGAATTCCTTGAACCTCCACAGGAGGAGGTGGAGGTTACAGTGAGCCGAGATCGTGCCACTGCACTCCAGCCTGGGTGACAGAGCAAGACCCTGTTTCAAAAAAAAAAAAAAATTCAGACCAGCCTGGGTAACAACAAGACCTTGTCTCTGAAAATAAAACAAAAAACAAAAATTGTCAGGTGTGGTAATGCATGCCTGGATCACGGGAATTTGAGGCTGCAGTGAGCCAGGATCGTTCCACTGTACTCCAGCCTGAGTGACAGAGCAAGAGTCCATCTCAAAAAAAAGATTACTAAATTAGTAGATGGCAAAGCTGGGATTCAGATTCATTCTGGCTTCACAGTGTTGTGCTCTTGACTGGTAGAGCAGCTCCCTCCCCCCAGTCTGTGGTTTTGCTTTTTGTAGGTTCAGTTACCCAATGTTAGCTGCAGTCCAGAAATACTAAATAGAAGATTCCAGAAGTAAACAATTTATAAGTTTTAAATTGTGCGGCATTCTGAGTAGCCTGATGAAATCTCATGCACCCTGATCTGTCCCGCCCTATCCCACCTGGGATGTGAATTGTCCCTTTGTCCAGCATATCCACCACACTGTGTATGCTGCCCGCCTGTTAGTCACTTAGTAGCCATCTGAGTTAGGTCAGCTGTCAAGGAATGACAGTGCTTGTGTTCAAGTAACCCTTAGTTTATTTCATCATGGCCCCCAAACGGAGGGGTAGTAGTGATGCTGGCATATTGTTATAATTGTTCTATTTTATTATGTTATTCTTGTTAATGTCTTACAGTCCCTAATTTATAAATTAAACCTTATTGTAGGTATGTATGTATAGGAAAAACATAGTATATATAGCGCCAAGTACTGTCCCTAGTTTCAGGCATCTACTGGGGGGGACTAGGAGCATATCCCCTGCAGATAAGTGGGAATAGCTGTATCTTATTCTCATGGGTTCTAGATTCAGATATTGGTTTAGCTAGGTATTATATTTCCTAACTCCTTAATTTTAATCAAATTATTTAACCTATTGAAAGTCAATTTTTTTTAATCTGACAAAGGGGATTATTATAGAATCTCCCTTATGGGGTTATTGCGAAGATGCTGTGAGATATGCGTAAGGTGTTCACTCAAAATTGTTAGCAATGATTATTTGGTGCCATTTTTCTCATTTTAATTAGCAGAAAACGGAGCCCTAGAGAGATTATATTACTTGTAATTTGTCAGTTTGTAACTTGTAGATCTTGGTGCATGTTTCACAGTTTAGAAATCGTACAATTGAGGGTAATCCTACTTTGTCTTGTTTCCAAAGATTGCTCTTTCTTCTAAGTCTGGTGGTAAATGGAGGACAGATAGGTTCATAGAGTATTTATAAATCTCTTTTGTGGGCATTTTGTTTATGTTGTTACAGTACATATCTCATAAACTTGGACTTCATGGAGTCAGAATTCATGATAATTTATAGCTGTATTGAATTTGACTTTCGCAAGTGTTTTTGGAGTATGGGCCTAGGATTATTTTTTAATTTCCACATGAGTGTCAGTTCACATCTTTCTTTGTTCTCTTTTCTCCCCCAAATCTATTTCTAGGTGTTAGTGAAGGGAAATTATGTCATACAGTTTCCATTTCTTTGCAAGGCCTAGAAGTCTGGGTCCTGTGTCCCCCTGTCCTTCATAGGCTAAGGGAGAGGAGCCTATTCTGTCCCTTGTGCTGTGCCAGATGTGATTGTTACAGTGTGAGAAGGTCACAGCCCCTCTATTTGTGTTCCCCTATTTCCTTCCCCCGTCCATATTGTACCTTTCTTCCTATAACAGTGCATTCTGTTTATTTGGGTGTGAGTCTGTGTGTGAGGGCAGTTTTGTTATTTCATCTCTGCTTAACCCGCAGTTAACTTGCACTAAATGCTGAATTAGGACTGTTTAACGCCTGTCACAAAATAAGTTCTCTTTTCTTAGTAGATCTGAGCAAAAGAAAGAATACCAACTGTAACTTTTCAGCAACATTAGCTGTAAAAATATTTCCTCTTGGTATAGCACAAGACAGTTCCATAGCAGAAATACAAAACTTACATTCTTAGTGTAATGTGCTGGGAAACGAAAGTCTAAAGAGAGGTGAGATGACAAACCAGCTATTTGTGACCCAAGAGCCATCTCATTGGCTCATTGGAACTTAAAAAAAAAAATTTTTTTTTTTTTAATTTTTCTTTGCAGATAGAGTCTTGCTCCATCACCCAGGCTGGAGTGCAGTGGTATGATCATAGCTCACTGTAGCTTCTGAACTCCTGGGCTCAAATGATGCGCCCATTTCAGTCTCCCAAGTAGCTGGAACTATAGGCACATGCTACCATGCGTGGCTAATTAAAAAAATTTTTTTGTAGAGATGAATCTTCCTTTGTTTCCCAAGCTGGTCTCAAACTCCTGGCTTCAAATGATTCTCCCACCTCAGCCTTCCAGAATGCTGGGATTATAGGCATAAGCCACTGCTCCTGGCCTCATTGGAACTTTTTAGCTATAGGACAAAATCTACCCATCTTGGTTTGTCCTTTTAAAATCATTTGAAAATATATAAACCCAGGAAAATAACCTCATAACCAGTGTTCCTGTAATTCCCCCCCACCGCAAATTCTGGACAGATGGTCAGTCCATATGTGTAAGTCTGGCTTCCAATCCATTGAATTTCATGATGTAATGCTGAGATATAGGTCCCTTATTTCACAGAGTTCCCCTTCGTAAGTCCGTTGGGCCATTTGAGCTCCTGCAGTATGGATCTGGTTGCGAAGCAGCTAGCTTTGGCGGAGTTGGTTCTTGGTCCTTGCCTTGTTTTTAAGTGACACATTGGAAGACAGAAATTTGGGAAGGAAGTATTTTAGAACCAGAACTCTAGGCAAGCAAAGGAAAGTTTGGGAGGAATTGAGTTGCTGGGATATATATGGAGATAATTTTCAGGGTTAATGTGGCATGGGAAGGTGATGGACAGAAAGGAAGGCCTCCCTGAGACCCTTCTGCAAAATCTCGTATTTGTGAATACAAGCATCTTTTATAGCATATGGGCAGATGAGCACAGCTGAGATAGATTGGACTCTGAGGTTCTGGGAGTGTTGACTTAAAAAAATATATATATTATTTATATTATTAGGTACCTCCTAATATGTAGTGATCCCTCCATATCTGTGGGGGATTGGTTCCAGGATTCCCCCAAGATACCAAAATCTATGGAGCCTGTCTCTTATATAAAATAGTGCAATATTTGCATATAACCTATGTATGTCCTCTCATATACAGTTAACCCCTGAACAGTGCGGGGGTGAGGGGTGCCCATCCCCTTTGCAGTTGAAAATTTGTGTATAACTTTTGACTCCCCAAAACCTAACTACTAATAGTGTCACAGGATCTTTGGGATGCCGCTTCACCAGCCAGAAATCACGGTGGCTGGTGGCACCTTCTGCCTGAGTATTGCCCATGCCCACTGGGCTTGTTCGCCTACTCGGCTTGGCATGCTGTGCTTGGCTCACACTACAAGCCTGGATCCCACACCTGCCAAGGGCGAGCCAGGCGCAGAGCTGTGAGGGGTGTGTGGGTGTGTGAGCATGTGGTCCAGCCACCTTGCACAGCCAGCTGCTGTAGCGGGGTGGGCAGCTCCAGGCACTGGCACAGGTGCCAGTTCTGTGCAAGGCTGCAGCTGGACCAGATGTACTGCATGCAGCCTCTGCTGTGGAAACCCGCATCTGGATGAGGGGAACGAGGTGGCGCCCAGAAGAGTGGAGATGCCAGGAACTGCAAAGCCCCAAAGAGGGTGTCATAGCCCTGGCTCGGGGATTCTCCTCTGCTCGTTGCTCACAACATGGCAAGCAGGAGGCCGTGTTTTAGTCCTGTTTGTGTTATAGCTCTTTCAGTCCCTGCATTTGGCAGGTCTCGAGTTCTTATCCAGTGTCCAGGAAGAATGAGGTACATGGACAACTGGAGGATGAGCAAGGTGGAGAGGGGCTTCATTGAGCAGCAGAACAGCTCTCAGGAGACCCAAAGTGGGTAGCTCCTTTCCACAGGCAGGTTGTCCTGGTGAGTTGAAGAGACCCAAAGTGGGTAGCTCCTTCCTGCAGCTGGTAGTGCTAACATCTCTCTGAGTCTGGGGTTTTTATGGGCTCAGAAGGGAGGAAGTGCGTACTGATTGGGCCATGGGCAGGCCCGGAAAAAGCACCATAAGTTCTCACTCCAGGCTGTAGACTCCACCCGTAACTGGTGGCCTGGCTCCCGGGCTTCAAGGCTGTCCCTGGCTTGAAGGTGGAATTTCATGGGGGACCTGCCCCTTTCTATCCAGGAGCCTTTCTGCCTTCTCCCACCATCAACAAGCCATCCATGGCACCTAGGCTGTTCATGACGAGGTGTGCCTGCAGGCCCACACTGAGCCACCCTCAGCTCCCCCTTGGCCTCCCTCCCGTGCTTGTCAGTGCCCAAAGTCTGGAGTGGGCCAGGGCGGCAGGGGGCTGGTGTGTCAGCGCTGCCTCGAGCATGTGCATACTCGGCCAGGTTGTGACAGACTCAGGCTCAGCCACAACTTTGCTCTGCCCTGGAGTGGGCTGGGGAGAGGCCAGGAGCCTGTGAGGGCGGGGGGGCTTCCCGGACCCCTAAGAACGCAGGGATGCCCAGCTCCGGAGCCGAGGCTAGGAGGCTGCAGCTGTACCTGGGAATGTGGGGCTCCTGCCCCGCCAACTCAGTAGGGGGTTGGGATTTCCACCTGTTCCCACCTCCTGCCAGCCCCACTGCAGCCTGTGTCTTGGCAGCAGCCCCTCCAGACTGGCTTCCACTGCTATCAGTACTGTAGACTGGAAGCCTTATTGAGAATATAAACAGTTGATTAACACGTTTTGTATATGTATTATATACTGTATTTTTACAACAGAGTAAACTAGAGAAAAAATATTAAGAAGATCATAAGAAATATTAAGAAATATAGAAATATTAAGAAATATTAAGAAAATATACTTATTAAATGGAAGTGGATCTTCATAAACATCTTCATTCTCATTGTCTTCATGTTGAGTAGGCTGAGGAGGAGGAGGAGGAAGAAGAGGGGTTGGTCTTGCTGTCTCGGGTGGCAAAAGTGGAAGGGGAGGCAGGAGAGGCAGGCACACTCAGTGTAACTATTATTGAAAAAAAATCCCCCTATACGTGGACCTGTACCATTCAAATCCATGTTGTTCAAGGGTCAACTGTACTTTAAATCATCTCTAGATTGCTTATATTGCCGAATACAATGTAAATCCTTTGCAAATAGTTGTTATACTGTATTATTTGGGGGATAATGACAAGAAAAGCATCAGTACATGCTTGGTATAGATGCAGTCATTCATTTTTTTCCTCAAATATTTTAGATCCATGGTTGGTTGAATCTGGATGTGGAACCCGCTGACGTGGATGGCTGACTGTATTGTATGTTAAACTTTATCATTTGTGACTTCTCTGTTTTAAATGACCTGTTGATTTTCTGATTTGGGATATAAAGGTTTAGCTTATTTATGTTATTCCCCATATCTCTTCCTGCATTACTTATTGTTAAATAGTTGATATGTGTATTTTTCTTTTAGAAGTCTTCTGTTGTAATTTTACCAATATCTTTCCTTTGCTTGGGTTATTGATTCATGTCAATATCTTGATTCCTTTTAAGATAAAGATAGTATTGCCCTAAATATTGACCCTTCCCCCCAGTTCCAGCATGTCTCCCTGTTCTGCCTCATATTTTGTTTTTGTTATTTCTTTTATGTTGGGATTTTTACATTTGTATTTTATCTGCAACTACAAGTGTTCTGGGGACTGCTCATGGGTTGAACTCTAAAACTAGTTTATTATTTTTAATTTTAAGTTTTCTTGAGCTTTCCCAGCTTAGCTTTCTTTCAAGGCCAGTTTTTCTCTTTGTTTTCTCCGGTATTTGTTTCTTTTTCATGAAGGTGGTATTCCCTGTATGTCTGATGATCCTTTATTGTCTGTAAGTGTATAGGGAAGCAGGACTAGCTACTTTTCGGAGTTAGATTTAGCCCCTGGTAGGAATTCAGAACTGAAGTACTTTGCTTCAGCATGCTTTTAGTCTGTGGGCCCCTAAATAACAAAATAAAGGAGAGTTTTACTGTAAGGTTGTTAACACCTATACCAGAAACCTTTGCTTTATTTTCTAGAGAAATAGCCCCTTGGGATTTTTAAAAAATTATTATTATTATTATTTTTTGTCCGAGGGTAAATGCTGAGTTAGCCTGGGCACAACTAGTCAGTTAAACCCTGTTTTCACCCCTGGCTATTAACATCAGCCCTCCCCAATACCTCATGGCCAGGCCCAAAGCCTCATCAAGATTCACTTGAGTTTTGTCTCTGTTTTACACATCACTGTGCGTGTAGCTCCTCTTTAATAGCTAGATATTTGTTGAATTCTCATCTTTTGGTGGCTCTTCCCTTCCTCTTATTTACCTTTAAAAAAAAAAACTTGCATACTTCAGTTTCATTGAAGTCTTCACAGGAATAAAACTCATTACTCTACCACCTTGAAGTTGAAACCACTGAGGATTTTAGGAGGTGGGGTGGCATGTTGATCTGTAGGGTGAGGATTTTAAGTGGTGGAGTGATATGTTGGTTTGCTGTGTGGCTAGTTTTAGAGTTAGATGAGCTCGAGTTCAGACTTTGGTGCTGCCACTTTTAGCTGTGGAACTTTGGTCAAAACATTTTATTTTTCTTATCCTCAGTTTCCTCATTTATTGAACAAATATTTATTGAGACATTGTTTGTAGCATGATGATGTGGGGATAGTTGAGGTAGTTCTTTTATAATGCCTTCTGTATTTCTCTAAAGTAGGATTTGAAGTCATCTCCTAAGAAGGAGTGGAAAAAGCAATGCTGGGGTTGGAGATTTGATGATAGTGGAGGAGGTTTGAAATAGGGATAGTGAGGACAGAGCCAAGCAGGGGTGGAGAAGGCTTGCCTAGGAGTGTTGTGGTTCAACTGAGATTGGTGACAGTTAAATTAGAATGTACGAATTTTTTTAGTTAATGATGTTTTGTCTGGTGCTGGCTCTCAGCAGTCCAGGTGTAGTCTGGTATAAGTTGTCCTAATATTTGTATTGAATCATGAAATGGACTTTTTTCCAGGCTTGTTTATTGGAAGGACAGTGGGAGTTAGTAATATTGGTCAAAGATTGGTTTGAACTATGACTTTACAATTCAGGAAATGTTTGTTGAACTTTTACTAAGTGCTTGGCATGGTTCTAATTGCTTTAGATAGATGTATCAGTAGACCAAACAGAGTCTGTATAGTGTAGGGAAGCAGATAATAAAAAAATAATAAGCAAATGAGTACATTATGTAATGTACTGGAAGGTGGGACGTGGGATGAGAAAAAAGTAATGCCATAGTATGAGTGAATTTGAGGTCTAAATAGGGTAGTCATAATAAGCCTCACTGCAAAAGTGAGATTTGAGCTAAATACAAAGGAGATGGGTGTATTCATGCGGGAAACCACAGGCTCCTGTCCGGTCTTCCATCTGCTTCCCAGAAGCAACGGAAATAATCTGTTTTAGGTGTTGATTTTAGCTTTTACATTCTTGTTTCCTAATAGTATTTGTTTACTAGTCATTGCTCCATCAATTTTAGAAAAAGTTATATACTGAACTCCTATCATGGTAGGTAGGGATTTTCTCTCTCTTACGTGGTCTTTCCTCTCCCCCATCTTCCTCGTGTAGTTCTAGAACAGTTTTTGTTTAGATCCGTATTTTCGTTTTTAATTATTTTGACTTTTAAACATAACTCAGTATTGAGCCAATTGAAGTAGTATGGTTGCATTTCTTGTTCAGCTTTGTTTTTCTTGTTTTCTTGGACTGAAAATTGCAGTTGTCCCTCTTGTTTGCTTAATATTCTTAGGTCTGGCTAAGGTTTCCTACTCTGACAGCTCTGTAAGTAGGGCCTCTCAATTAGTTTCCATGCAGTCAAGTGTATTCATTTTGTCTTCACCCCCTAGACACACCCCTCCTGGAGCTTTCCTTCTCCTTTTCCCTGCTTCAGTCTAGAGAGGTTGCTCTCTAGACCTGCTGTAAATGGTACCAGGGTGGAGAAACCTGTGGTACCAGCAAAAATAAGGCGAGAACAGGTAAGACAGGTGAGTAGAAAATACTGATTGAAAAAACTGATGGGAAGGACAGAGGAGGAATGGAGATGATGTCTTCTTGGGGAATTGTGTTAAGGAGAAACTAGAGTTGAGGAAGAGCATTCTAGGTAGTGAAAATGGTGCCAGAAAAAGCATGGAGATGGAAGTGATCTTTTATTTTTTGGTGACTTGAAAAGCCTGTGTTGTGTTACCTTCTTAGATTATATGTATATTAACTTATTGACTTTGCCCTGAAGAGCTTTTAAAAAAGTTTAAATGGGAATTGTGACAATCAGGCCCTGAGGAGCTTTAAAAAAGTTTAAATGGGAATTGTGACAATCAGAATGTTAAACATTGATATATTTTTTGTTTTGTTTTTTTTTGAGAAATAAAGGTCTCATTTTGTCACCCAGGCTGTAGTACAGTGAGTGGCATGTTCATAGCTTACTGTAACCTTAAACTCCTGGGTTCAAATGATCCTCCTGCCTCAACCTCCCAAGTAGCTGAGACCACAGGTGCACACCACTGTGCCTGGCTAATTTTTAAAATTTTTTGTGGAGGAAGGCTCTCACTATGCTGCCCAGGCTAATCTCAAACTCCTGGGCTCAAGTGATCCTCCTGCCTTGGCATCCCAGAGTGCTGGGATTACAGGCATGAGCCATAGTGTCCAGCCTTGATGGTAAATTATTAATGTCCTAAAACCTGAACATAGGATATATCAGGAACACTTGAATTCAAGTGATAACCTTAAACTGTTGATTTTATATATTGATTTACGGAAAAATCTTTACGCATTGGTTACAAAAACTTAATAATCTTGGCATCTAACTATCCAAGCCAATTCATCAGTGCAGGAATGAGTGCTGTAGTACCACTTCAGTTTTCAGGCAAGAACAAGATGAACGACAACAGGAAATTTAAGAAGCTGCTCCGTGTTTGGCCAAATTGGAGAGAGGGCAAGCAGGGAAGTTGGAAAAATGTCATTGAGGCATGTAAGCACAACTTTCGTCTATATGGCGTAGCTATATAGAGAAAATTAAGCCAACAATAATGAGATACTGAAAAACCAAGAGATGAGTACCTTTCTAAAAGAAGCATTGCTCAGTTTGAAATGCTGAAGCAAAATGCTAAGAAATAAGGTTCACAAGTGGTCTTCATGATTGCAAACTCTAGAGTACTTTTTGTGTAAATGCATGGGACTTCTCATGGATGGTCAGGCCGTTATGTTCAGTGGGTGCGCTGTACACAAATATTACTTGCCGGCTGAAGCTTTGACTTTTTACTCAGTTTTGTGAAGAGCACATCCTTCTGGTCTTTATTTGCACTGTGATTCAGGAGTCGCGGCTGAAGGAAATAGTCATAAATCGTAATCGCTGTCATGTGTCAGTCATTGTGTTAATTCAAATCTTAATTCTTTACAGCAGCTCAGTAAGGTTTTGATTACTATTCTCATTTTACAGATGAGAAACTGGGCTTAGAGAAGTTAAGAAGACAGTCCAAGATTCCTCGTGGCAGTATCAAGTTCTCCATTTCCTTACAGTAAAGCTTAGGCCTTAAGGTTAACCACAGTGCACAATTGGGAGTCATACATTTAACAGAGAGAAGAATAGTGCCACCTACTGAATTGCCAGTGACCCTTTCCCCTCTAGTATTGTACTTCCTTTTAAAATGTATCAGTCGTGTTAAAATGCAGTATTTCTGCAAAGCCTTGCAAATTTCTTAATCATCTGTGTTGCTGGCTTATACTGAGGGAAGAGTGTAGTTTCATAAAATACTCGTCAAAACAGGGAAAATTTTGATTTCCTGATTCTGAAAGTGGGCAGGCAACTTTGCATAGGATCTTACCTTCAGAGAAAGGAAGAGACGGGGATGAGTGTTTTTTCTTTCAATCCGTCTTTGCATATCATAGTGTTGTGAGTTGGGGTGGCAAGTAGGCAGTTTAGATTTTTACCCAGTACTCATGAATTCCAAATGGTTTAACAAAATATACAAACACTTCAGCATTTTTTCTTTGATAAACTGTCTGATTAAAAAAGATAGGTGTCTCAATAAAAATTTCAATGAAAAAGTGGCCAAAAGATTTGGACAGACATTTCATCCATTTCATATGAATGAGAGTAAGCACACAAAAAGATGTTCCACATTAGTAGTCGTTAGGAAATGTAAATTACAACCACACGAGATATCATTGCAACCCTATTAGAATGGCTGATGTTAAAAACCAAAAAGAAGGTGACAGTGCCACATGACAAGAATGTGAGACAGTTAGTACTCTCCTGCTTTGCTGGTGGAAGTGCAAAATGTTATGATTGCTAAAGAAATCAGTTTGGCACTTTCTTATGAAGTTGAACATAGACTTGTCACCCAACCCAGCAGTCCTACTTCTAAATATTTACTCAAGAGAAATGAAAACATTTTCTTACAATGACCTCTATGTGAACATTTATAGCAGCTTTATTCGTAATCACTGGAGACAGCTCAAATATCCATCAGTTGGTAAATGGATAAACAGATTTTGGTACACCTATACAATGGAATCCTATACAGCAATAAAAAGGAACTAACTGCTGACGCACCTAACAAAATGGGCAGATCTTCAAAGCAGTCTACTAAGTGAAAACACTAAACTCCATATAACTGTGATTTCATTTATATAACATTTTGGTAAGTCAAATCTGTAAGAACAGAAATAAAATCAGTGGTTGCCTGGGGCGGAAGAGAGAATTGAGTATAAAAGAGCATGGGGGCACTTCTTGGGGTGATGGAAATAGTCTGTGTCTTCAGCGTGGTGGTGGTTACACAGACCCACTTGTATTAGGCTGTTCTTGCGTTGGTATAAAGAAATACCCAAGACTGGGTAATTTGTAAAGAAAAGAGGTTTAATCGGCTCACTGTTCTGCGGGCTGTACAGGAAACATGGCACCGGCTTCCAGGGAGGCGTCGGAGAGCTTTTACTCATGATGGAAGGTGAAGTGGGAGCAGATGCGTCACATGGCAAGAGAGAACAAGAGAGAGAGTGGGAGGTGCCATACACTTTTAAACAACCAGATCTCACATGAACTCGCTTGTCACCAAGGGAATGGCACTAAGCCATTCATGAGGAATACGCCCCCGTGATCCAAACACCTCCTACCAGGCTGCACTTCCAACACTGGGGACTACATTTCAACATGAGATTTGGCTGGGAAACAGATCCAGTCCTTATCACCATCCACCTGATGTTTTTATTGTGCACGTTATGCCTCAAGAAATAAAACTTTAAAGAGAAGAAAAAGTGACTTATATGCAAACAGATATTATCCATATACTCTTGCACACATATATGCGCGCACACACACACACACACACGCACGCACTCATTAGAGCTCAAATTTTCTTTCCAGCTGGATCAACATTTATTTGTCTGGATTAGGTACCACCAAAGTTGAAGTGAAGTAGATTTCAGTGTAGACACTGCTTTTGAAAACAGTCTTGAAGTCCTTGATTCATTTATGTAATCTGATTTATTTGTGGCCTAAAGGCTTTATATTTGTCTTTGTATAATGAGATTGTATATTATAAAGGTCATATAATTAGCAGAAATAAAAGATGTTTAAAAGTTATTTTAGTATTTGTTGCTCAAGTTCTTGTAGCTCTGGAGAAAAATAGTTTTATCAGCGTTATAAATAAAAATGCTATTTCTTATATTGATGAAACTATGCAGTCTTCAGCTCCATCTTTTAGTTAATAGTTAATGAGCTATAATGGTAGGGTACATTTATGTTTTAAACTGCTAGAATTAAGAATGTACATAGTAAGTCTAGGTGCAGAGGTTCATGCCTGTAATCCCAACCCTTTGGGAGGCTGAGGTGGGAGGATCGCTTGAGCCCAGGAGTTTGAACAACATGGCAACACCTCATCTCTACAAAAAATTTTAAAATTAGCCAGGTGTGGTGGCACATGCCTGTGGTCCCAGCTACTCGGGAGGCTGAGGCGGGAGAATTGCTTGAACCTGGGGGTGGTCAAGCTGCAGTGAGCTATGTTCACCCCACTGCACTGCAGCCTGGACGACAGAGCAAGTCCCTCTCTCAATAAAACAAACAAACAAACAAACAAACAAAAAGTTAGCTGGGCGTGGTGGTGCGTGCCTGTAGTCCCAGGTACTTGGGAGACTGAGGTGGGAGGATCGCCTGAGCCTGAGGGGTCGAGGCTGCATTGAGCTGAGATCATGCCACTGCATCCCAGCGTAGGTGACAAAAGTGAGACCCTGTCTCCAAAAAAAAAATAGAGTTGCTCATTACTACTTTGTGGTACTTGTTGATGTCCTGTGGAGCAGCCATTTAGCATTTTTTTTCCCAATAAACTCTTGGTTAAAAAGCCACAACAGTGAGTAGGAGTGGAATCAAAGTAGAAAGTTGTATGTTCTAATTTTCGTTTAAAAATCAGTTTATTTTAAATGATGAGCTCATCATTTTACGATCTTCAGGATATACTATAATGTGTGGCACTAATAGAATCAGTGATAGAATAAGGTGCATTACAGTAGGGCTTCCTAAGTTGCTTTTTGTTTATTTAATGCATATGCTCTTCTGTGTCTTGAGACACTGTCTCCAGCAGATGAGACCTGTTTATTACAGCCTCTGCAGAGAACTATTTGTGTGTTGATCACACAGTAAATATCTAATGGTAGCCTCTTTGACATTTGGTGTTTGGGAACAGGAGGGAGATTGCTGATTGTTCTGCTTTTTATATTTTATTGTCTCACTCCATCCCTGTATTTTTCTCTGGGAATGTCTTCATTAACTTAACCCTGGTTTTGAAGGCTTAAAAGTGTGCTGGTACGCTTTTTAGAATTGGTGACAGTTCCGGTTGGTGTAGCCCAGGTGGCAGTCATTCATGGTTCACTTGTCATTGCATGAACTTGGGATAGCTGTTCATATTGTGTTCATTTCAGTTGAATTTATGTGTGTGATTGTTGTATTACACATGTTGAATTTATTTTTTTTTAATTAAAAAAATTTTTTTTGAGATGGAGTTTCGCTCTTGTCACCCAGGCTGGAATGCAATGGTGTGGTCTCAGCTCACTGCAACCACTGCCTCCTGGGTTCAAGCAATTCTCCTGCCTCAGCCTCCCAAGTAGCGCAGGTACTCACCACCATGCCCGGCTAATTTTTGTATTTTTAGTAGAGACAGGGTTTTACCATGTTGTCCAGGCTGGTCTTGAACTCCTGATCTCAGGTGATCTGCCTGCCTCAGCCTCCCAAAGTGCTGGGATTACAGGCGTGAGCCACTGTGCCCGGCCATGTTCATATTAAAAAAACAATTTTATTTTAAGCCTACAGCACCCAGTATTTTCAGGCAGCCTCCCAATCCCAATACTACTAACCAGGCCCCACGCTGCTTAGCTTTTGAGATTGGATGGCATGGCTGTAGACCATGGTCATATTTTGGCAAGTGATGTCCCTTATAGCAGTTCTTACCCTTGATACAGGATCCTGTCTGGAATCACTTGTAATATATAGTCATGACTCTTTAGTCTTTTTTTTTTGAGACAGAGTCTCGCTTTGTCACCCAGACTGGAGTGCAGTGGCACTATCTCATCTCACTGCAAGCTCCGTTTCCCGGGTTCAGGCCTGCCTGAGTCTCTCAAGTGGCGCCATCCACACCTGGCCAATTTTTTTGTTTCACTATTTTGGCCAGGCTGGTCTCGAACTCCTGGCTTCAGGTGATCCACCCGCCTCGGCCTCCCAAATGCAAAGTAGTGTTTCTTTCCTGATGTACAGGATGTTGTGTTTTTCATCATGAACATAACTGTTAATCCCAAGTTCTTCAAGCAAAAGTCTGTATTTATTACTTGCCCATCCTATCAGGGATATGTTAGGATATGTCAATACGAACAGTAAGTGTAGCTGGAGCTAGTGATGAGTGAATGTGAATCAAGAAAAGTAAATGGATTTATTCTTTCATTCGACACAGTTGAGTGCCTTCCGTGGGCCAGGCCCCGTGCTCTACTCTGTTCTTCTGTTCATTTTTCCCCACTCATCTTTCAGATGATTCCTTGGTGATTTGGAGTTGTTTTTGGCACTTCGCCTAGATTTTGATGTAAATTTTAGTAACTCAGTCTCTCCCTTTTAAAAGGTATCTTTCTTTCTTAATTTGTGACATCGAGATTATCACTAATAAATAGTTAATGCCAGAGCAGGACAAATATCAAAATAATTTTTCATTGTATAAGCCTTTTGCGAAATGATTTACCATAAAGTGAATAAATGTGTACATACTACCTAGTTTTTATCTCCTAGTGACAACAGCTTTGAAATAAAAAAAATCCTGGTAGAATAATGGTGTTTGGGTATATGTATGACATAGGTGACCTAGAATGAGGGACTAGATGTGACTTCTAGGCCACATGGCCAGAATGGTATGTAATATTTGACTGTGGAAGATTTGTGCAACCCCAAATGATAATTTTATTCTGGGCCTGTAGGGTTGATGAAGGCTACCTGTTGGATTTGTGTGGAAACTGGATCCTAAATCTATCATCTTTTGATGGACTAGGGGCAGATGAGACTTGATCATTGTTAGAGCTGAACTTGCAGTATATAGAGCTGAACTTGTATAGTACACATATCAATAGCAGTGATAGATGTGGGAAAACTTTGATCACTTATGTATGCTTGTCATTAATTTTTTTGCAATTTCTTGAATGAAAAATTTTGAACTAGTAAACATTTAAAAATAAAATGTATAGTTTTTTCGAATCTGGCTTTAAATGTTTAGAATAAGTCTCTGGATTTAAAGGTTAGGATATACTTTTATTCATTAGATGATAAAGTTTATTGTGTATGCATCTGGAAGATTGTTCAGACTGTTGAAGAAGATGTATCCTTTGTTTGCCCCCAGCCCTTTCCTTTTCTTCCCCAACCCTACTTTTATTCACGTAAGAAGATGGAAGAGGGGAGGAAAGCAGGGTGTGACTTTTTATGCAAAAATATTCTTTTTTCAAAAAAAAAAATACTGAGAATGGGGTCTTACTGTATTGCCCAGTCTGGATTTGAACTCTTGGGCTCAAGCGATCCTCCTGCCTTAGCCTCCTGAGTAGTTGACATTACAGGCATGCACCACCACACCTAGGTAAAATATTTTGATTATGAAAACGAGTCAGTTTATAAGTGGATTTTATTGAGAAGAAGAGGATAACAAAGCTTGGTCAAATGTTTGCATGGCATTTGTACAGTAATCATGATGGCTGTTTTTATTTTAGGACATACTGTGGCTGCTGCCAGACATTTACCCAAGGGGTGGTGCGGAGTTGTTTCCTCAGCTGAAGCTCTTTGTTTTGTACCACTGAGCTGAGGCTGGAGTTGCCCCCAAAGCAGTGGCAGGGCAGTTCCCACAAGGGAGTGCTCCAGATTATCCTGAGATGGGGCTGGTTGGGATTCTAAAGAAAGAAGTACTAAACACCAGGGTGATCAGTCTAGAGCATTTATTGGGGAAACTTACAGAGGATTGCGACAATCCTTGTGACAGACAGCAAAAAGGAGTGGGGCGGTGTTCTCTCTAGGTATGTCTGCAGCAAGGGGATTAAGGTGTGGAGTTTTTATGAGAGTTTGAGGAATTTGTCTCAGGTCTAGGGCTAGTTTCTTTTAGTGTTTTGTGCAGCAACTTAGATACCTTTATCAATGCCTGGGAATGTTTAAGGCTCCATACTGAGTTCAAGCTTGCTAGGGAAAACCTGCACGTGGCTGGGTCACAGAGCGGTCAAAGCACTCTGGTATTTGGTCAGGACATAGAATGAAAGCACAGGGAACAGGACAGCCCTACACTAGTGGACTTAGTGATGGACGCCTTCTATTTGCATCGTCTCTCTTTGCATGAGGGGAGACAAAGATACTCTCGATTTTGTACTGTGAATTGTGTTAGATGTGAAGAGGAGGTTGTGTTGTCTTCTTAGATAACTGTTAGAATAATGTAGAGATCAACTAAGTTTGAGGATACAAAAAGTGAGATTGTACTGAGTATATTTTTCAACAGAAGAAATAATTTTGGTCATGTTCTTTTTGTTTTATTTGTAAGAGATGGGGTGTTGCTATGTTGCCTGGGCTGGACTCAAACTCCTGGACTCTGGTGATCCTCCTGCCTCAGCCTCCCAAGTAGCTGGGACTACAGACGTGCAGCCACTGCCACTATGTCCAACTGAATCATATTCTATATGGAAAGATTACATTGTAGTAAATATGTGTTGTACTTTTGTGGTCACATTAAAAATATGTAAATGTATTTGATGTATTTTGGGACTAGGAATATGCAGTTACATTAAACCCTGTATGTAGTAATGCCATTATTTTTGTTTTCTTTCCAATTTTTGTTAGATTAAATCAGATTTGTTTTTTTGTGTTTTTTTTTTTTTTATTGTTTACTTAAAGATGGCATTTGATTTCCTTAAACTTGGGAGATACATACTAGCAAATGCCTGTAGTCAAAGGTGGTTCCTGGGTAATTCAAGGGTGCCAATTAGAGTATACTTTAAGCCACGTGTAATTATGTCCAGGCTTTATATATACTTAGAGCATAAAAATAAACTTTCATTCTCTCATATTTAAGTCCATTTTATATAGACAAATTCATGGCATAACTTTATTTTCAGAAAAATCAGGTGTGGAAATACTTAAAACCACAGCTGAAGTAAATTATAATTTCCTCAGGAAGTAAGTATAAAAGTATGCAATAACGATTATAAAAAGAAAATTTAAATTCTTTAACATATTTTTTGCAGTTTCTTGCCCTCCATCACTTATTTTAAAAAATGGATGTTCTTAAAAATGTGCAAATTAGGTGTATATTTTAATGACACCTGTACTACAGGAGATCCATGTTTCTGTATTACATTAATATAAATCTTATTTGTCTAGGATCAGAAATCAAATGCTTTTAGTTGTTGCTGTTAATTATCTTTACATCTGTTTTTGATGTTTAGCTTTCCTGTTTGTGAGTAAACTACTTTATTAGCTATTAAGATGCATGGAAAGGCCGTATCCCAAAAGAGCAGTAGTCATTATAATAGCTTTATGTAATTAACTGAAAGCAGTATTTTTCTCTAAAAGGTTATCATCTTAGAAAGTTAAAAAAAAAAGATGTTCTCTAGAATATCCTTTGTCCTATTGGACTGATGAGCTGCAGATAATGGTAATTTTTATATTTAAAACTATTGTGGGACTTAAGTTTAAAATTTTATGTAGTATTTCAAGTTGTAACTTTGCCATGCTTAAAAATCATAGCAACCAAAGTGTCTGATGTGATGTGTGCTGTGACACATTCGGAGATGGCTCTTTAATTTGCTGGTGGAGGTGTGAAGGTTAAGGAGGTCCAGTTTTTGAATTGGTTACAGATTGTTTCTGAGGTAGATCAAGATCTGATCTTTTTTTTTTTTAGGGCAACTAAAGATGCCCCTGAAACATAACAACAGCATTGGTCGGGTGCAGTGAGTCAGGAAGGCCCCCATATTTGCATCCCAGGTAGAAAATGGGCCTAACAAGTTGTTCTTTTTGCTTTTAGTTGAAGTGTCTTTTATTATAGTGGCCCCTCCTCCTGTGTTTTACCTTATACCTTGTTGTAGACTTCGTGAGCGCTCAGTACATTGCTGAGAATTTAGGATGACGTTGATTTATCTATACAGTACATGTTTGTCTTCTCTTGACCTCTTTAGGTGATGTAGATGTGTAAAATTTACAGTGTTCATTGATCCTGCTTCTTGTTTTCCCACAATTGATTTTATTAGTTAAAAAGATTGAATTCACAAAACTAGAAGGTTCTGACCTACTTAATTTTTTTAATTTTAGAGACAGAGTTTTACTCCAGCTCAGGCTGGAGGGCAATAGCACTATCATAGCTCACTTGTAGCCAAGCAATCCTCCTGTCTCAGCCTCCTGAGTAGCCGGGACTACAGATGCATGCCACCATGCCTGGCTTATTTTTAAAAATTTTCCTTTTGGAGAGATGGGGTTTCACTTTGTTGCCTAGGCTCTGATCTACTCTTAAAAGATGAGGACAGGCCGGGTGTGGTGGCTTACACCTGTAATCCCAGCACTTTGGGAGGTTGAGGCGGGTGGATCACAAGGTCAACACGGTGAAACCCTGTGTCTCCTAAAAATACAAAAAATTAGCCAGGTGTGGTGGCGGATGCCTGTAGTCCCAGCTACTCAGGAGCCTGAGGCAGGAGAGTGGCATGAACCCAGGAGGAGCTTGCAGTGAGCCGAGGCAAAGAGCGAGACTCTGTCTCAAAAAAAAAAAAAAAGATGAGGACATACTGAGCATTGAGATTACATGAACAGCGCATTAGGAAAAAAACTTTCATTTTATTGGTTTCAAATAACAGAGTGAATCTCAGATAGAGGTCTTTGCAAGCCAGTTTGGCATTGGACTCAGCTTTGAACCCCTCCCCGTCTTCCCTTGTCTCTAGTATAGGATAACCCCGTTTATATTCAGGCGAGGTACTAATAACTTTCTTCTGGGAGGACCTGTCTACAGTTGATGGGTCCTGAGGCCAGAGAACCATGGATACATCGCAGCCTAGGTGTTATTTATGCTCTCTAAGAATCTGTCAGGATAAGTCACTCTGAGGCATAGGTGCTTACCTCTGGACCTGGGGTGCTTGCCTTCAGTGAATTGTAATCCTGATTCTTGATTCCTTCTTGAGTTGTTGATATGAATCATTTTTTCTTTTCCACAGTAGCTCCTGCTATAATATGCTCTGGGGCCCTGGGACATTTCATGGGTGTAAAGTAGCTTTTTTCCTTCTGTTTGGTTCTATCGTTTATGGACAGTTTGTCTAATAGATATAAAATAAACATTTATATGTTGTTGAAAAGTTGTTCCTATCTCCCCCTTTCTTTAATGCTCTCATAGTTCTAATTAGCTATACACATTTAACAATTGTGATAATACTTTTAACCTCTGATTGACAACTTACTTAAGATCATGTGTCACTTGTTAATGTTGTAATTGCAGTGCTGATTCAAACTTCAAAATGGAGTTTTTTATGTCCTCCTTTTCTGCATAAACACAGTAACAGTCTAATCTCTCTAACTCCATTTTGATATCTCTTTCTTTTCCCTACAGAAAAGAAAACATCTTGCTAGAGAGAGATCAATAGAGAGTTGTTTTCAGAAGTGAACTTTATATGCAGAAAATAGGAATAAGTCTATAACAACAGATGGTCAGAAAATTTCATCACTGTCATAGCAGAGGCTTAGCAGAATATAACTTGATAAACACTACTTGTTTAAAACTTTTGAGGCCGTTTAGCAGGAACATTGGGGAGGTGTTATTTCTCATGGGTGGTTTAGATCTCTTAGAGCGTTCTGGGCCATTGTGAGGTCTTGTGCATTTGTTCTGAGTCAGATGGGAAGCCACTGGAGGATCTTGAGCAGAGGCGTGACGTAAATTTTAAGAAACTTGTTGGGATGGTTGTGTTCTAAAGTTAAGGAATCAAGGATGATGTCAAGGTATTTTCATTAGCAGCTAGGAGAATGGAGTTGCTAATTTCAAAAAAAAAATTTATTTTTTTATTTTTTAGAGACAAAGTCTCCTTATGTTGCTCAGGATGCTAGAGTGCAGTGGCTATTCACAGGTGTGATCATGGTATGCTGACAGCCTCAGACTCCTGTCCTTAAGCTGTCCTCCTGCCTCAGCCTCCTGAGTAGCTGGGACTACAGGCGCATGACACTGACCCCAGTGCTATTTACTGATTTGGGGAAATCTGTTTCAGGATTAGGTTTTGAGGGGAAAGCCAAGGGTTTATCTTCAATTTCTTATAATTGTAAACAAGATTTTAGACCAATGATTTATTAGATATATGATTTCTTTTCTGTAATGTTTATAGTTCATTTAGGAATTTTAGTTATTTATTTGTGTTTCTTTTTCTTTCTTGGTTGATCTTCTAGAACTTGTTGTTTCTGAATACCAACTGGTGGCTTTTATTTGTTAAAGGTATTTTTTTTTGTCCTTTAGCTCTATGTCATTTATTTTATATTTATCGGCTCCTTTTCCTTATCTTCCTCGTGTGTGGCACTTTAATCTTTGTCTTGTAAGACTTGAAAATCTCTACTCACTGCCTTTAGAGGCTTTGTGTCTTTTTTTTTAAATTGACGTATAATTCTCATACTATACAATGAGTACAATCACCACCATCAATTTTAGAAATTTCCCTCACCCCAAAAGAAAACCCCATACCCACCAGGAGTCACTCTTTATTCCTTATCTTCAGCCCAAGGAAACCACTAACCTACTTTCTTATAGATTTGCCTATTCTGGACATTTTATATAAAAGGAATCAGGCTGTATGTGGTCTCTTGTGGCTTCTAACACTTGGCATAATGTTTTCAAGGTTCATCCATGTTGTAGCATGTATCAGTACTTCATTCCTTTTCATTGCAGAATAATATTTGACAATAAATACACCTTTATACAGTAAGAATACTAATGCTCTAGGATTTAGCGTTCCAAAACCTTGCCTGATTTTTCTGTCTTCTGGCAGCAGTTTTCTGTGAATGCACAGCCTAGATTCTCCACCTGCTTCTTCTTCTCAGAATTGGTAAATACATACCAAAGGTAAAAGTAAATGCAAAAGATCAGCTGAACTTCTGTGGTTTTGAAGTTTTTTAGCCCCTCCTGTTCTTGCTGTCTTCAAACAGATGATTTTTATATTTTATGCAGTTCTTCTGTTTTTTTCTAAAGGAAATGCTCTTCTATTGCCAGCTGTTGCATCTGTCTTGGATTTAGAAATCTCAAGTCTTTTTTTTTTTTTTCATTACTGTTGTTAGAGATCCTGGTTTTAAAAAGTCAGGGGGCCATGTGCGGTGGCTCACACCTATAATCCCAGCACTTTGGAAGGCTGAGGTGGTTAGATCATCGGAGGTCAGGAGTTCAAGACCAGCCTGGCCAACATGGTGAAACCCCATCTCTACTGAAAATACAAAATTAGCCGGGTGTGGTGGCACACACCTGTAATCCCAGCTACTTGGGAGGCTGAGGCAGGAGAATCACTTGAACCCAGGAAGCAGAGGTTACAGTGAGCCGAGATTGCCCCACTGCACTCTAGCCTGGGCGACAGAGCAAGACTTCATCTCAAAAAAAGGGGAAGGAAGACTCTTAGTAAGCTAGCTGTATACAAACCCCCGTCTTGTTTGTCTTCTGTTGTACCCTGATGAGGCAGTTGATTTTAGTCTCTGCTGCTGTTAGTCAGGATCCTTGGACAGAAAAAGAGTGAATGAATACATTATTTCTGCTGTATCATAGAAGATGCAAATATCCATAATTTATTGATTTTGCTAACAAGTTTTTATATGGCATGCTTCCTTTGAAATTCAGACATTTTATGAATTCAAGAGTTTGCTGGTCCAGTGTAAAAATTACATTGTAATTATTTCAATTAAACTAGATATGGCTTTGACAGTTTTGCTTACTGTAGTTCTGGTCCCTGAAAAAAGAAATGGTGGCTCACATCTGTAATCCCAGCACTTTGGGAGGCTGATGCGGGTGGATCACTGGAGGTCAGGAGTTCGAGACTGGCCTGGCCAAGATGGTGAAACCCCCTCTCTACTAAAAAATACAAAAATAAACTGGGTGTGGTGGTGGGCGCCTGTGATCCCAGCTACTTGGGAGGCTGAGACATGAGAATTGCTTGAACCTGGGAGGTGGTGGTTGCAGTGAGCCAAGATTGCACTACTGCACTCCAGCCTGGGCAACAGACTTTATCTCAAAAAAAGAAAAAAAAGAAATGTTAAATATCTTTATTCTTAGAGTGAAACTTTAAAAATTGCGTGATTATGTTTAACATGCATTGAGCAGAAACATTTCTAGTTTCACAAACCCCTGAGAGTCATGTGGTTGAGGAGAATGGGGTCAGTGGGGGAAAGAGTAGAATGTGGAAATGGATCTTTGGACAGTGCCAGCAGGACTAGGCTGAGGCATTTGTCTTGACATAATATCTAAAGAGTCACCAAAACCCTCAGTAATTAAGATAAACAATAATTTAATGCAGCTTTTTTTTTTTTTTTTTTTTTTTTTTGAGACTGGGTCTCTGTCGCCCAGGCTGGAGTGCAGTGGCCCAATCATGGCTCATTATAGCCTCCACCTTCTGGGCTCAAACAGCCCTCCCACCTCAGCCTCCCAGGCTGGGACTATAGGTGTGTGCCACCACAACCAGCTATTTTAAAATTTTTTTGTAGAGATGGGGGTCTCACTATGTTGCCTAGGCTGGTCTCGAACTCCTGGGCTCAAGTGATCCTCCTGCCTTGGCCTCCCAAAGTGCTGGGTTTACAGGCATGAGTCATCACGCCTGGCCTACAGTATTTTTAAGAATCAAAAATTTATGCAAGAAAATCTATAGTGAACAATATACTTTTATTTTTATTTAAAAATTTTTTTTAAAACCACAAGGTCTTGTTCTGTCACCTAGGCTGATGTGCATTGGCACAATCATGGCTCATTGCAGCCTCAGCCTCCTCCGTCTCAAGCAATCCTCCCACCTCAGCCTCCTGAGCAGCTGGGACTACAGGCAGGCACCACCATGCCCAGCTAATTGTTTGGTATTTTTTTATAGAGTTGGGGTTTCATCTTGTTGCCTAGGCTGAAGATATATTTTAAAGTAAGTTTTAAGAAGGTATAGAAGAGTATGTAGAACACATTATATTGGTGTAATGCAAAAGAAACTGTATTTGCATATGTGCATTCTTGTATATGCATGGAACACCTCCAGAAGGTTACACAAACAATTAGGAACAGTGATTCTATCTAGAGAGAATGTGATGGAAAGAAAATAGGGTGAAGGGGGGGTGATGTTTATGGTTCATTGCATATCCATGTGAATTTTGTACCATGTATTTAATAATTTTCTCTTTTTCTTTTTCTTTTTTTTTTTTTTTTTGAGACAGAGTCTCGCTCTGCCGCGCAGGCTGGAGTGCAGTGGTGTGATCTCGGCTTACTGCAACCTTTGCCTTCTGGGTTCAAGCAATTGTGCCTCAGCCTCCTGAGTAGCTGGAGTTACAGGTGTATGCCACCACACCCTGCTAATTTTTGTATTTTTGGTAGAAGTGGGGTTTCACCATGTTACTCAGGCTGGTCTTGAACTTCTGGCCTCAAGTGATCTGCCCACCTCAGCCTCTCAAAGTGCTGGGATTACAGATGTGAGTCACTGCTCCTGGCCTGTATTTTCTTTTTTTCCAATTAATCTTACAGCAAATATACCATGCAGGTGTGTTTTCTGATCAAAAGAATAAATGTAAAAAGCAAATATTTTAAAGAAACAATATCCAGTAAAGTCCTCAGTACTTAGAAATGAAATACCTTTCTAAATAATACATGAGTCTAAAATCAAAAGAGAAATTAGAAAATGTTTCAAAATTAGAAAGTTATTTGAAACAGAATAGTAAAAATATAACATCAGTCTTTATTATGCAGCTTGAAAGAGTACATAAGAGGGAACTTTATAACTTTAAGTGCTTATATAACTGAAAGGAAAAAAGCATCAGTTGTCTATGTTTTTACCTTAAGAAGCTACAAAAACCAAAAATAATGAGAAGTAAAGAGAGATCAGGAGAGTGTGGCACATTGGAACATAGGACAGAAGATAAAGGAGTTTTAAAGTATCTATTTATCTTGAAATCCTTGCAATTTAGGACTGGGAGCTGCCTTATTTTTTTGATATGTTTCTGTTTTTGTTGTTAATGAGTATTTTCCAATGTCAGTGAAAAATTTTCAGACACAACATTTAAAAATAGTCATTCATTTTGGTGTTCCGAGGTTTATTTATTCATTCCCCTTCTATCAAACATGTAGGCTGTTAACAGTGTTTCAGTATTACAAATAAACATATTATAAGCCTCAAACTGCCTTAAAACTGAGAGGAGATTTATTGGAGGTTTAGTAGACCAGTCTACCAGAAGTTAGACTTCTGGGTACTCAGATTTGTTTGCTTGTCTTCTGATGGTCTGTCAACTCCTTATGGGATGGGACTCTGTCCAATTATTTTGGGATCCCTACTGCTTAATTTATTGCCTATGCACAGAAGAGGCAGACAGTAATGATGCACTTACAGTGACATGGAGCCTTTGTTATGGGCGCTCTCAAAGCCCTTTATGCTTGTAATGTTTAATTATCATAACTGAAAAATACATACCATTTTAAACTTTATTTAACCGACGAGAAACTAAGTTATGGAGAGAAAGTTAAAAAAAAAAAGTGCCAGGGTCACATATCTAATACCATGTGGCAGAGTTTAAGTTTTAGGATACTTGAAATAAACTGAATGGACCTTTAAATTTAGGGTGATGGAAAAGATGATTTGGGCTTTGGAGTTGCATGCGGCTTTGACATTTTACTTTTACAGTCTAATTGTATCACAAGTCCTTACTTGTGTATGTGAGCCTCAGTTTTCTTTTTCTTGAAAATGATGATATTAGTAATTACCTCCAAGTTTATTAGGGGGACACATTTTAAAACACACACACATAAAGCCACCTTGTACAGGGCTGGAACAATATAAGCCCTTAGTCAGTGATTGGTTATTGTCTCTTTTTCCTGTCTCTTTCGCTTTAGACTTGTTCTTAAACTCTCAAAGCTTTTCTCTTCATTTATAAAAGTAAACATAATTATATTTGCAGATTTGTTGTAAAATATAAATGAGATTTACTCTTTAAAAATGGTTTTAACATTTTTTAAGTTAAAAAATTGTGGCCGGGCGCGGTGGCTCACGCCTGTAATCCCAGCACTTTGGGAGGCCGAGGCGGGCGGATCACGAGGTCAGGAGATCGAGACCATCCCGGCTAAAATGGTGAAACCCCGTCTCTACTAAAAATACAAAAAATTAGCCGGGCGTAGTGGCGGGCGCCTGTAGTCCCAGCTACTTGGGAGGCTGAGGCAGGAGAATGGCGTGAACCCGGGAGGCGGAGCTTGCAGTGAGCCGAGATCCCGCCACTGCACTCCAGCCTGGGCGACAGAGCGAGACTCCGTCTCAAAAAAAAAAAAAAAAAAAAAAAAAATTGTGATAAAAATAAATTTTAAAAAATGTGAAATTTGACATTTACCAGTTTTTAAGTGTACTTACTGTTCCAGTAGTATTAAGTATATTACATTTTTGTGAAACAGATCTCTAGAATTTTTTTCATCTTGAAACTATGAAGCTCTATGCCCATAAAGCAGCTTCTCTCCTTCCAGCCTCATCCTCTGGAAACCACCATTCTACTACCTACTTCCATAAATTTGACTACATTCGATATGTTATATAAGTGTAATCATGTTATTTATTCTTTTGTGACTGGCTTATTTCACTTAGCATAATGTCCTCAAGGTTCAGCATGTGTTAGAATTTCTTTCCTTTTCAAGGCTGAATAATATTTCATTGAATTTATATACCACATGTTGTTTATTTGTGGATGAACACCTGGGTTACTTCTACCTTTTGGCTATTGTGAATAATGCTGCTATGAATATGGGTGTTTGAATATCTCTTGCAGAACCTGATTTCAGTTCCTTGGTTTATACCCAGAAGTGGGATTATTGAATCTTTATGGTGGTCCTAGTTTTAATATTTTTAGGACCACCCATGTTGTTTTCCATAGCAGTTGTACCATTTTACATTCCCACCAACAATACACAAGGGTTTCGATTTCTTCATATCCTTGCCAAACCTTATTTTCTATTTTTTAAAAAAGTAGCAGCTATTATAATGGGTGTTAGGTTGGTTTTAACATTTTTTAATGATACAAATTTTTAGATAGAATTAGCAAAGTGACTCCTGAAATTTCTTGGTAAGCTGGAATAACAACCATTCATGCCAGCATGACAAAACCAAAAGCATACGGGAGGGAAATTGACAAAAAAGGCCAACTACTATGTAGCTCCGTTTGGAAAGAAGAAAAGCTGTCTTATTTATGTCTGTTGCTTGGAATATAGATATGATGAGGGATAGATCCACACTAGCTGCTACTGATATTATATATATACATATATATATATATATATTTTTTTTTTTTTTTTTTCTTTTTTTTTTTTTTTTTCTTTTTGAGATGGAGTTTTGCTCTTGTTGCCCAGGCTGGACAATCTCGGCTCATTGCAACCAGGTTCAAGCGATTCTCCTGCCTCAGCCTCCCAAGTAGCTGGGATTACAAGCATGTGCCACCACGCGCGGCCAATTTTTTGTATTTAGTACAGATGGGGTTTTACCATGTTGGTCGGGGTGGTCTTGAACTCCTGATCTCAGGTCATCCACCTGCCTTGGCCTCCCAAAGTGTTGGGATTACAGGCATGAGCCACCTCGCCTGGCCTGATACAGAGTATGGAGTCTGTAGTAATGGTTAGCTTTTTCAGGCCATCATGAGGGATAAATTTAAAATGTATATTGTTGATTTTTCACTTTTAGCTGAGAAATGCAGGTTGTAGAAGGGATTTACATTCACCACAAGGGGTCCTCCTGACACCATCAGACCCCCAGGCCAGTATTAATATGTCTGTGACTGCAAAGCCCAATTTCTGACAAGTAACCCAGAGCCTTTACAGCCTGATCAGTGGTTTTCTCTGTTTCAGTTAGCTTGGAAAGTTAACCTAACTTGGAAAGACACAATAGCTTGACACTGTTGCTATTTGTTAAATAAGGTGAGCAGTCAAACTGTGGATAAATTGCATTTATAGGGTAAAAAAAATTGATGGTGATGAAATAAGTTGCATGTGTGTATATACATTTTCCATAAAATAAAAGTTCTATGTTTGTTTTGGGCAATGTTAGCGTTAAGTAACTACTGGATTGCCTTTTGATGTTTGCATTATTATGGTCAGTATAAGCAATAAAAAAAACTCTGTTTTATAACATATATGGATAGATTGAACACTTTGAACTTCTTCTTCTGTCCTGTGTTGTCATGCTTCTACCACTGCATCTGAAAAACTAATGCAGCATCTTACAGATTTCAGGAGCCTTTAAGAAAAAAGCAATTACAGCAGTTAACCTCTCAGCAGTTTCTAAATCTGGAATTTAGCTTTGATCTCTGTATATATGTCAAAACAGAAATAAGAAATTATCATTAATTAGAGTCCGTAAAAATACTACTTAGATTAATAAGGTCAGGGTTTTGTTGTCTTTGCCTTTTTAGATAATGAAATAGTTTTTATGCCATTAATTTTAGAGGTACTTGAGAATACACATTTTATTGTCTTATCCAATTGGCAGAAATATTAAATAAGATTTTCATGGTAAGAGTTGCATTTTCCCATCTATTTTTTGTATTTCACTGTTGCTTAATTTAGTGGTTATAGTTATTTTCTGGTGACTTTGATACATCTGTCAAGTACCAGCCACGTGTCTAGCAGGTAGTGTGATGACTTTTATCTGAATTCATATTGGGGCAGGATTACTGACACTAGAGGACTATCACATGAGCCTCATGATTTGGTGAATTAGGGTGTTGCATGGGGATAAGAGCAGCTTATTTGTCCCATATTCTTTGCTGTGTTTCTTCTCTTCCTTTCTTTGTCCCATTGGTCCTCACTGTGATTCATTTACCCTTTGTAGGCCTGTTTCCAGACTCTTCTCTGGAAACCTTTGTAGCATCTGGAGGTAGGTGATACTATAGGTGGTGGTTTAACTGTGTCATCTGGCTGGTGTCCAAGTGCCTGATGCATATCCCAGCTCTGCACCTGACCAGTTAGTTTTAATATTAGATATGTTACTTAATTTCTCTGTTCCTCAGTTTGTTCATGTGTCATACATGGATTGTAATATCATCTATGTTATTGGTTATTTAAAGTATTAATTGAGAAAATAGATGTAAAGCACTGCAGCAAATTGGTGAAGTACATGGACTCTGTAGCCAGACTGCATGAGTTTGATTTCCAGCTTTGCAATTCAGAAGTTCTGCGATATTGTGAATTTAAGTTACCTGGCCTCTCTGTGCTTCGATTTCTTCATTGGTAAAATGGGGATAACAGTATCTACCCCATGGGTAGTTTGTTGTGATAGGTAGATGAGTCATCATTTTTAAAGTACTTGGAAGAAGGCTTGGCACAGAGTTAGCATCTACCTGGTATCATCATGTCAAAATTATATTTTCATTATTATTAGCATTGCTATTACGCTATTTCATGACTGGCAAGTAGTACTCAGTAAGTGATAGGTATTGTTATTGTTACTGTCCTCATTTTGCTGATGAAGAAACTGAAGTTCAGGATTTTGAAATGATTTTCTTTGTCTCACAGGCAGAACTGGGGCTCCCTTGCATCTTCCAGTTACAAATTCAGTGCCTTCTGCAGTTTCCCCAGAGCTCCTCAAGAATAACGGAAGGGAGGTATAGTAATGGTTAAGAAACTTTGCAAAGAAAGTGAATAATGCCAGTACTGTCACCTTTTGGAACTTGTTGGTATTTCCTGTTGTCTGTCTTTGGAAGGTGATTAGATTTATTATGACTAATATTTCTTTGATTTTAACCAAGTCATAATTTTTGTGGATAGACTAAAATTTTTGAAAAATTGTTTTCGTGGTGGAAACAGCAAGACAAAATGACAGGAATGGTAATTAGTAATCTTACTGGAAATGAGCGCAGTATGAGATACCTGACATTCTAAAGTTAGGATATATTGTAATTATCAAGTGCTAATTGGAGGAACCATATTGTAAAACTGTCGAAGTTATTTAAATCTGTAACTCCCTGATTAATGCAAACATAAAAGAGTTGAAAGATGATATATTTAGAAGTATGCATGTATAATATGAATAATAATTTTTTTTTACATTCCTCCTGTTGACTGGCATAAAAGCATTTATTAGTGCTTTACTTTGCCAAGTAGTGCTGCCTTGGTGTTTGGTATTCCTTAAGAGAGACAAAATTATGACAATTATATGAGAAATGTGAAAGTTAGGCTGGTATTTTGTGAACTGCTTTTGGTGACATTTACAAGTAGTACATTTCCTAATAGTTCATTCCCAGGGACCTTCTCATATATGGCCAGGGTTTTGTAGCTAAGTCAGATTGGACAAAATTGTACATCATATGAAGGGGTTTAGAGTTCTCTCTTATGCTTACTGATCTTGCTTATAACATTTTTTGCAACCCTAATGATTTTATCTAATCTCACACACTATTTTCATTTGTGCTCTATTAAAATTTGCGGTGAAAGTTTTAATAGTATCAGTACTAAAATTATGTGATTTATTTTTTTATGTGGGGTGGGAAGAAGCAGTTTACATGATTTTCCTAGACTTTATGTCCATTTTTCTCTTCTCATATTCTTGAGAAAGCAAAGTTTTCATAATGTTTAGTTCACTTATTCATTCAATAAGTATGTACTAAGCCTTCATACTGTACTGAGATCTGGAAGTGAAGCAGTGCCCAGACAGCCATACTGTCACTGACGTCCAGCATATACATATACCTTCTCTGTGACCATAGCCTTGAAAAGAAAACAAATTCTCTTTGCCGTCTTCTCATTACTTAGAGGTGATAGGAGGGTGGTGGAATATGGCCTACACTTCAGTAAGGCCCTGGAGACAATATGTACAGAACAGACAGAATTTCCTTCTGTCACGGAGCTTGCATTGTAGTGGGGGTAGCCAAACAATAAACTGAATGTTGAAGTAAATCATGAGGTGTTTTAGAAGGTATAAGTGCTGTGGGAATAAAATGAAGCAGGGAGAGCAGATGGGCCATGCAGTTTCAGACAGGGTGGTCTGGATAGGCCTTGTTGAGTAGGCGACATTTGAGCATAGATGTGGCAGGGGAAAGGGAGCAAGCCATGTGGATAACGCGGGGGCAAGAGTGTCCCACATAGAGGGACAGGCAGTGCAGAGTCCCTGACGTGGGCAGGGAGTGGCAAGGAGGTCAGTGTGGTTGTGCCAAGGAAACTAGGGGATCCTTGGCGATAGAGGGGAGCCATATCACGCACGGCCTTACAGACTGTGCTAAGTATGTAGGTGCTGAATCTGGGAAAGTTGGAGAACTGTTGATGAGTTTTAAGCAGAGGAGTAAAATTGTGTGATTGATGTTTTGGAAGGATCAGTGCACAACTCAGAAGGGTTGTGAATAGAGTGTAGGGCGGTGAGAGCTGGAGCAGAGAGACCAGGTAGGAGGCCTATGGCTGTAATCCAGGCAGCCTGGGCCGGGGTGAGGCCAGGAGATGTGGTGAGAAATACATGTATTCTGGTTATATCTGGAAGGTAAAGATAAGAGTTTACTTTTCAAGTAGGATTTACCAGAATTGCTTTAAAATATGCCAGTACTAAAAGAGGTTGGTGTAAAGGTCACAGAACTTTTAAATAAGTGGTTGGCTTTTATATTAGTATGTAGAATTCATAAATAAGGGAATATAGAGGACTGCTTACGCTTTTTCACTTATGTTGCCATTAACTGTAGTCTGTTTCTGTTCTTTTCAAGATGTCACTGGATTAGGAATTTAAAAGCATAGTTTGTCTTTAATATTTAGCAGGAAGAAAATAATAAAACTCTGTATCACCAAACTAGCCAGTACTTGCCTCATTTTGCAGCTCTTTGACCTTGGGCAAGTTGCTTGGCCTCTCTGAACTTCATTTTCATCTTCTATGAAAATAGGGAAGTAGCTGCTTCACTGAGATTGTGTTATGGGTTAAATGCAGTTATTTTATATACAGCTATAGTTGCTTGATAAAAGGTATAGGTTATTATTAGCAGTATCACCTGTATCCTCTTCAGCTCTTCTCTGTGGCATGAGTTGGTTCCTAACATTTCCATAGCTGCTGTTTCAATCTGGTCTCTACTTAGTCACCTTGGTCTCTGGCCTGGAGAATTTATGCTCTTTCATATCTTAACATCTTCCTATACTCTCAAGATCTTGCACATTAGGAGATGATATTTGGATATTGAAATAAATTATGAAGTAGTTGCAGGGGTAGGAGAGAAAGCCCCCATCTACTGGTCACTTTAAAGTCACAGAAACCAGGTTCATCCCTCTCCCTCATTCTCTCCATCACTTTTCTTGTTTGTCCTCTCATCCTCTCTGTCACTGCGACTGCATTAGCTCCAGTCACCACCACCCTGTGCTTACACCACTCTCTCTCCTGCTCACCTGGTCCTGTGGCAGGTGTTCAGTCTGACTAAAAAATCCTTCCTGTGGTAGGGTGGTGTGCTGTGGTGTGAAGACCCTGGCATCGTAGATGACCGAGTGGGCTTGGTAACTCCTGTACCTCTTCCTAGTCTATGACCCTGTCTTTAGTCTTAGTGCTCTCATTTTTAAAAGAATTGTAATACCAAGTTTGTTTAAAAGATGTGAAAATTAGTTGTAATCAGTACTTAGTGTGTAGAATATAATTGTAGGTTACTAATGAAGGTAGCTTTTATTTTGTAACTTTTGAGAGCCGTAAGTTCCAAGATGGACTCAGTGTGCTTGGATTATTTGTACAGTCCATTAGTCGATGGCTCAGATTAAACTCCAGTCCGTTCTCACAGGAGTGTGTCAGATATGCTTGCTGGTGGATGTGCTCTTATCCTTCCCATCATGACAGTGGTCCTTTACAGTCTTGGTCTCTTAGTATAATGGTGGAGGCTGGGGATATTTTTTCATGTATTCTAGTTGATCTAGTTGCTTGTTTCCTCTGTTCTTTTCCTAGCTTGCTCATGTTTTTCTGGAGCCCCTTTCTTCCCAGTGTTCCCTGGGGTCAGAGTTCATGCTGGTGAATGATATGTTTTCAGTGGAGCATAGAAGAGGTCACTTGAACTCTGGCTACTATTAGGAGCCTGAAAGTAAACCTAGAGACAAAGCCATCATCAAGAGTAGCATGTTAGAAATGAAACAACTGTCCTGGGGCATCACTGGACACAAATAAGCCTCTTGTTCTCCTCAGCCTTTGTTAAGCTATTGTTTTCAGAAGTTAGTGACTTCATAAACAAAGCCTCGGTCATTTTCACTGTTAAGTAAAATACTTGATTTTTGATTGGTTTATACAAATGTACTACTAACAAAATTACCCACATTTAGGAAAGCTAGAACTGTAGAGTCTCAGTGTGTCTTATGTACATTCGGAGAACAAAGGCACCAGGAGCCTAGTTACTAATTATCTTACTGCTAAAGTGGAATGTGTTCAGACAGCTAAATTTTTGAGATGACCTTGACTGTCTCACAGTTTGAATGGAAAAACTAAGTAGCTCTGCATTTTAAAAAGTTGCTAGTACAGATTGTAAGGGTGTTTTCTGTCTGTCTTCTTTAGTATGAGTTTATTACTCACTTATGTTTTGAAACGAAGAAAGGAAATCATGCCTCTTGGATACCTCAATATTCCCTAAGCTAATGTTAAAGAATGTGGCTACCTCAAATTCTTGATTTTATGTTTTCGAGAGAGTTTTTAAAATTTATACACTTACTATGACAGTACCAACCAGGAAAAATATTTTACAGCAAAAATATTTGGGTACCTATAGACATAGAGACATAGATAGATCAGGAATTTTTTTCCAGAAAGGATTTTTATTTCATCAAAGTAATTATTTTAACTCTAAGGTCATAAAGAATTAGGTTAGTAAAATGACAAAGGCATGACTTTGAAAACAAAAAAGGTTTGAGAAGCCATCTACAGACATGATCTGGGTCAGACTTGATTTGCAGCTTACTCAATTTTAGAATCGGTTGTCAGTTTTGTAAACAGAAGACTGCTGGATGAATTGAACAGAAGGGTGAGATTAGCATATTAATAAGTTACTGGCTACTGGCCTTCTTTTTCTCCTCCCTCTTTTCCCTCCCTCTTTCTCCTTCCCTGAATGAATCTAGGAACACAGAGCCATGGGGTCACATTACTAAGCTGGTTTCATTCTGTTCAGTAGCTTGATCTAGCCAGGATGGTCTGTGTTTCAGATTGCGGAAGCATGAGAAGATTCTGTAACTGAGAGGCATTCTTCAAGCTGCTGGAAAATATTACAGAAGGAACACCTTCCAAATTTTGCTTCAAGCTCTGAAAAAAGGAGCACACAGGGGAACCTTAGTCTTGCTTGTGGATCGAAGCAAATACTATCACAGCGAGGAACTGGGACTTTGTGTGCAGACTCCTGGCTTGATCTTTATAGGATTGGGTGTATGTTGTTGGAACTGGCAGGCCAAGAGGCCCTGAAACCAGCAGGTGCCATCTATATGGAGAAAAGCGGATGTAGTCCATTTCCAGTGTGTTGGGCTAAAGGTATAAATAACTTAAAAATATGTTCCGTTTTATTTGAATTCATGCTTTTGCACCGAAAAGGTAGATAAATGTTTTTCAGAATTTATTTCAATATATTTACAGTTAAATTTAAGGAAAAATGGAAATAGATTTGGTATGGGTTTACAGCTATTACATAAAACCAATTAGATAGCTTTTCAAATAGCAAATGAAAATATTTTTTATGGAAATGAATTTTAAGTGCATTAAGCTATCTTTTAATGCTCTGTCCTATGTCTCAATAGTTTTATTTTTTTCTTTTAAGACATCTGTATTCTGTAATATGGAAGTTTTTAAGGAATAAAGAGGAATTTTAACTTAAACAGGGTTGTAGGAAATAAGAGTAACATGTATTTTCTTATTTTAAAAATTAGTTTTCTTTACTCACTGTAAAGATTGTATATTCAATTTGAAACTCGGTATTATTGTAAGGTGGGCTTAGGAATACCATACATAAACAATTTTCTTCTTTAATGTTGTTAGGGTTTTTGTTCACATAAAAATGTAAATATAAAATAATAGCATTTTCATTGTAACATTCAAGACAGTATTTGGGAAACATATTTAGAAGTTAAAAATGCTATGTAATTGGTGCTTGACTAAAAGCAAATCAGCTGTTTTGCTTAGAGTAGTAGAAATATTTAAGTTAGGAAATAAAGTTCTTAATGAAGAATATAATAAATATTTTTTGTTATTATTTCTAATATATTTAAATGTCATGTTACTCCCTTAGGAAAGATTTTTAAAAGGAGGAAGCTGCACTGTTGTAAAAGGCTGCAGTTTTATGAGTAGAGGTATAGACTGATTGATTTTAGTTTTCAGGGTAAAAATTTTAGTACCACTGGGTACTAAACCAAGTTAGCACCAAACTACAGTTTCACCATTAAAATCGCTTTTATTTAGTTGTTGCTGACATCTATTGATTCTTTCCTAGGCTTTTAAACATTTACAAAACGTGATATTAGAACTATTTTAGTATTCATTTTGTTCACTTGATTATGTAATTAGATACTCAGAGTAAATATTTTGCTGAGTTAAATTTACACTCTTGGATTTTAAAGGGCTTTGGGAATGGGAACTTTTTAAAATTTTAGTTTCTGAGCATCAGAAATGTATAGTATAAGTGAGTGTGACTAATAGTGTTCAGAGCCAAAGAATTCTATACTTCTTGAAAATTTTGGTCTTTTCCTGGATTTGCTGGGGTTCGTTTGCATATTGCCACCTCCATTGTATGATAACATTGTGTTAGCACTGATGATTAACACTAAGGCTCTGATTTCCTTCACAAAGCCTAAGCTGTATTCAAGATCTACACATCCAGTACCAACAGAATATTAAATTATCAGCTACTGGATTTCTTTTTATTCAGTGTGACTTTAAAACCGTGAACTTTGGAAGAAAAGAGATTATAGTGTTTTTGCTCACCCCAAAGTGATTGATGGAAACAACTTATTTTTCAATTAAGTTTGCTGGCTGTCAGAGCAAATGAGTACAACTATTTTTAACTGAAATATGCATTATGATAGAGGTTAGGGTTGGGTGAGAGGGAACAGAGCTCACACGTATAAAAGATGGGAAAAGGTAGGGATAGTGTTAAGGGTCAGAATCAGTTTCATATGTAGGGCTGCAGCAAGCCATCTCCTCATATACATGGTTTTGCTTTCCAGTTGTTCAGAGGAGGTTCTGACAAAACCTGGGAGCTGTCATCCTGTTCCTTCCTGGTGCTGCACACACTGCTTCCATTGTGATTGCCCAGTGTGTAACTATCTTAGTAAACTTCCTCTCTCTCCCCTCATGTTACTCTTGTACCAGGACAGGGAGGCAGGAAACCTTGTTGTTATGCTGGTTAATTTTTATCTGTGTGATAAGGACAAAGATGTTGGTGTATAGGAATTGGCTGAATTGGTTATATTCAAGTATAAAAGTTACAACTTGTAGATAAAGACACAGTGAAAAGCTCAAATCCAAAGAATATACAAATCTCTATCTGCAGTTAGACATTCTAAACCACACATTTGATTTTATCAGTCACATTAACCTCAAAAAGCACAGCAGTGTCCCAATTTAAGAAGACACATAAAATACCAGGACAAGCTAAAAATAATAGAGCAGACTATATTTATATACCTTGAACTGAAACCTTTAAGGTACCCTTAAAGCCTTCTGGGGTGTTTGAACCAAGCTCACTGTGCGGTTGAATTTGGTGTAAAGAATCCACCTTAGGTCCCATCCAAGGAAGATTATATTTTAAAGTATTAAAAAGGACTTTGTTTTAACATGGGTTCAACTACATCATGATTTTCTAGGTTTAAAGACAGTTTTGATTCAGAATATTGAATTAAATGTAAATGTTCACAGTGGTATTTTAGGTTGCAAGACTATCAAATGCAGAAAGCCCTGTTTGGGAAGTTATTTGATTATACCAGTTTTTACATTATTTATTTCATGTTTTTGAAAGGCTAGGAAGGACTAAAGAGTGTCAGATATTTGGTTGTTAAATCCTGATCTGATCTCTTGATTTCTCCAGCTTTGGGCCGTTGTCCTTTTGCTCATTAATAGCACAATTATTTTGGCTTTTCAGTGCCTCAAACACCCCGAACTCTTCCTCTCAGGCGTTTATACCTTCTGTTGCACCTTCCTAGAACCATCATCTCTGCATTCTCTGACTAGCCAACTCCTACTTAACCTTTTCGGTCTCAGCTTAAATGAGCTCGATGAGGAAGCAGGTGTCTTCATCTTTTGCTCACTGCCATATGCTTGGCACATACTAGGTGTTTGTTAAATATTTGTTGAATGAATCAATGACTAGTGTGCACAGAAAAATACCTAAGAGTAGAATGCATGGTACTGACATTAAAATGCAAAAATTACTGTGGGAATCTCACTCCAGTGCTCTCATTCCTGTCAGTCTAAACCAAGTTTTCTCTAGTGTCCCCTCCTATATCCTTTTCTTCTGGTCTTGTATAGCACTTACTGTGATTTGTCATTATATATTTTACTTTTTTGGATTTCTGTCTTCTATTAGACTGTAAACTTCACAGACATAATGTCAGTTTTTTTTCTTCTTGACAAATAGTTGACATAAATGATTATTACTTTAATGAATGAATAAATTCTTTGTAGGGTTAGATTTGATTTTAAAAGGCTCTTTCAGAGCTAAAATCTTGTGATTAATACAGTGTTTTGTAGGTAAATCTAGTTTTAGGATCATTCAGCTGTCAGAAATAAATCTTCCATGTCAAACTTTTGGCCATTCTAATTTCATTGAGTTTGTGTTTTCTTTTTTCTCTTAGAGTAAAAGTATTTATCCAGGGTTTAACATAGCACTCTGCCCATAGTGGGTGGCTAATAAATGAATGAATGCTTTCCTTTTTCCTTTCCTTTTTCCTCTCCTCTCCTCTCATCTGCCCTCCCCTGCCCTCCCCTCCCCTCTCCTGTCCTTTCCTGTCCTTTCCTGGCAGAGTCTTGCTCTGTCGCCCAGGCTGGTTCAAGCAGTTCTGCCTCAGCCTCCCAAGTAGCTGGGATTACAAACGTGCACCACCAAGCCTGGCTAATTGTTGTATTTTCGGTAGAGACAGGGTTTCACCATGTTGGCCAGGCTGGTCTCGAACTCCTGACCTCAAGTAATCCACCCACCTCGGCCTCCCAAAGTGCTAGGATTACAGGTGTGAGCCACCACACCTGGTCAATTTTACAGTTTCTTTCTGCTTTACCTCAAATCATGGCATTTTAAAAGAGAGCTGTGCTTCTTATAGTAATAGCTAAAATTTATTCAGAAATACTACATGCCATGCTGTGTTCTGTGCATTAAACATGCACAAAAAACATACATGTTATTCCATTCTCACAAATGTTTGTAAGCTCTCTGAGATAGGAAATATCATTATCCCCATTTTCCAGATGCGATAATTGAGGTACTGAGAGATTAAATAACTTGGCAATTGTTGCTCAGCTAAAATAAAAGGCAGAGCAAGATTCTGAACAGTGGGAATCTAACTGCAGTGCCTGTATTCTTAATCAATATGCCGTACACACCCAAATAGAAAAATGGTAGGATCATAACGGAATTTTCTTTTTTGTGTAATTTTTGCATTTTGATATATGTACCATGTCTTCTACTCTCAGATGTTTGCGTACTATTCATTCATTCATTCCACAGATATTTAATGAGAACCAAGTAAGTAAGTAAATTGGTTAGTGTGATAGAAGGTGTTAAGTGTTACAGTGAAGGTGAGGTCAGATGACAGTCTTATATAGAATGTCTATGTGTAGACTGCATTGAAAAGGTGCATTTTATTGAAGACCTGAAGGAAATATGGGAGTTAGCCAAGTGGATACTTGGGAAAAGAAAGTTCCAAGTTGATTGTATAGGTAGAGCAAAGGCTCTTGCTGGGAAAATGGCATTGTGGCTGGAACAGAGTGAATACGGGGTTATGGCTATCTTTCCAGTTCTTCGTGCCTACGAGGTGGTGGTTTAACCAGAGACACAGGCATGGGTTAAAAGTGAGGCCCACTAGAAACAAGCCACAGTTTGCCGATCTATCCTAATCCACATTCCTTAAAAATAGCTCCATGAGAGGAGTGAATCAGCCTTTAAATATCCTCCTGTGGGAAACACATGCCTCATTCTGGTTCTCTCAACAGATGTCTTAACAGAAAGACTGGTGAACTCTCCCTTTTCATTTCTATTTTTGAATATTAGTAACATCAACTCATCCACAAACATAAGGCAGTGGGTATTAAACTTTTTCTCATATTCTTTTTCTGGTCCTCATTATTAGTATTTGGGGAAGAGACTGCTAGTTTTGCCCAATTTTTTCCTCTTTGTATGTAATTTTAGAGCTGTCAGTGGATAGGTTTCTTGTTTGTTTGTTTGTTTGTTTGTTTGTTTTTTGAGACCGAGTTTTGCTCTTGTCACCAGACTGGAGTGCAGTGGCGTGATCTTGGCTCCCTGCAACCTCCACCTCCCAGGTTCAAGTGATTCTCCTGCCTCAGCCTCCCAAGTAGCTGGGATTACAGGAACCCACCACCACAGCCTGCAAATTTTTTAATTTTTTTTTTTAGTAGAGACGGGTTTTATCATGTTGGCCAGGCTGGTCTTGACCTCCTGACCTCAGGTGATCTGCCTGCCTTGGCCTCCCAAAGTGCTGGGATTACAGGCGTGAGCCACCGTGCCCGGCCTGGATATGGGGTTTTTGCCCAAATATGACCTTCTAAGTGAAGGAGAATAACAGCATGCCCCATATTATGCTTATTGACTGGGTCTTCCATGTGTTTAGCATTCCCACTCCCAGCCTCCTAAGTGTCCTGGTTTGGGCAATAAATTATATGGGAACCCTAAAATGTGTCCTCCTTTGATCACCCTATGTATGTATGTATGTGTGTACCTATGTATGTATGTGGCTTGGTCTTGCTGTGTCATCTGGTCTGGTCTCAAACTCCTAGGCTCAAGCAATCCTCCCACCTTGGCCTCACAAAGTCTAGGATTACAGGTGTGTGCCACCACACCCAGCCCGATCAAACAATTTAAAATGGACTCATCCTCCTGCCATCACTGTACCCCCATCCCTGTTCTGTCTTTTCTATTTGCTCTTAACCACTATCTAACATACCTGACGGTTTATTTATTTACTTCTTTGGTTTAGCTGCTGTCCCTCAGTGAAATGTACACCCCATGAGACAAGGGAATCCTATCTGTCCTGCTCATTGCTGCATTCCCAGTGCCTAAGACGTAGTAGACTTTTTTTTTTTTTTTTTTTTTTGAGTTGGAGTTTCGTTCTTGTTGCCCAGGCTGGAGTGCAATGGCGTGATCTCGGCTCACCGCAACCTCTGCCTCCCGGGTTCAAGCGATTCTCCTGCCTCAGCCTCCCGAGTAGCTGGGATTACAGGCATGCACCACTATGCCCGGCTAATTTTGTGTTTTTAGTAGAGATAAGACCTCCATATTGGTCAGGCTGGTCTCAAACTTCCAACCTCATGTGATCCACTCGCCTCGGCCTCTCAGAGTGCTGGAATTATAGATGTGAGCCACCACTCCTGGCTGGTAGACTCTTACTTTAAACGGATAAATGAATTAAATCTTGTCTTCTGGGAGCAACAGAGGTTTCAGTCGTTAGAAGCAAATGAGAGAGTGATGGAGATTTTTGTGGAAATTAAAAAAACACTTGTTCTACGAAGAAGGGAACAACAGACACTGGGATTTACTTGAGGGTGGAGGGAGGAAGGAGAGAAGCAAAAAAAAAAACTCTTGGGTGCTAGGCTTAATACCTGGATGGTGAAATAATCTGTACAACAAACCCTCGTGATACAAGTTTACCTTTATAACAAACCTTCATGTGTACCCCTGAACCTAAAATAAAAGATTAAAAAAAAAAAACCCAAAACTTGGTTCTTTAAGGGTTAGTGATGCTGATTTTTGTAAAGTGTTCACAAATCTTTGATTTCAGATTCATCTATAATTGTTTAAACTGCAAGGAATTTATTGTAAATTCAATGGTTTTCTGTATTTTTTTTAACAGTTTTCAGTTAGAGAAAAATCTAACTTTAAAACAGTTATCCCTGAATATTTTAATTTTGCATTTGAACATTATTTGCATACATTTTTATAATGTCATTGATTCGTAGCTCACATAATTTTAGAGTTGGATTTAGGTGTATATTAACTTCTTTACCTAGAAAAGTAAACTAAAATACATTTGTATTTTTATTTTATATTATACCTTTCTTAAAAACTGTATAAAATGAGTCATTTTAAGTGTTTTATAGAAGTTTGACGTTGAACCCAATGATTAGTAAATTTTTTCTTTGACTAAAACAGTAATGAAATCTTTGGTTCATTTGGTGATACCTTTGGTTGATTTTCCACGTTCTTATTCTCATAGATTTTGGTTATTTCTTTGTTATTGATTACAGTGTTCAACTGAATTTGTTGGCTTGTGGATAGGAAGTCTCAGCAGTTTATAAGTTGAATTAATATATTTTCCTTTTTTAAATATTGGGGCAGTGTTGAATCTATGGATTGATTTGGGAGAATTGACTTATGAACAATATTGAACAATACAGTAATGAACATTGTATATCCAGTTATTTAAGTCTTGTTTAATTTTTCTAAGCAATGTGTGATAGATCTTAATGTGGTGGTCTGGGTGTTTTTTGATGATATTGTAAATAATAATTTTTGGCTTTTAAGTTTAATTTTCTGGCTGGACTCAGTGGCTCACACCTGTAATCCCAGCACTTTGGGAGGCTGAGCTGGGCAGATTGCGTAAGGCCAGGAGTTCGAGACCAGCCTGGCCAACATGGTGAAACCCTGTCTTTACTAAAAATACAAAAATTAGCTGGGTGTAGTGGCGTGTACTTGTAGACCCAGCTACTCAGGAGGCTGAGGCACAAGAATCACTTGAACCTGGGAGGTTGAGGTTGCAATGAGCAAAGATTGCACCATTGCACTCCAGCCTGGGCAACAGAGTGAGACTCTGTCAAAAAAAAAAAAAAAAAAGTTTAATTTTACAATTCTTGGCCTAGTATATAGAAATAGATTGTCCTATTAGTTTATCTTTTGGCCTTATTATAAATTCGCTTATTAGTTCTGGTGATCTGAGTATAGAAAATCAAAATAAATCTGTTAATGTGTTACTGGCAAATAAAAATAGTTTTCTTTTCTGACCTTTATATCTTCATCTATGTCTTTGCCTTGACCAGGACCTCTATTATAGTGTTGAGAAATGGTGAGAGGAGACAGATTTCCCCTTTTTTCCCCCTTAGGGAGAACATGTTCAGTGTTAAGTTTGTTAACTCTAGTTTTGTCTGTTTTGTTTTTGTGGATATCCTTTTTCTTTTTTCTTTTTTTTGAGACAGAGTCTTGCTCTGTCGCCCAGGCTGGAGTGCAGTGGCACGATCTCGGCTCACTGCAACCTCCGCCTCCCAGGTTCAAGCTATTCTCCTGCCTCAGCCTCCCGAGTAACTGGGACTACCAAGCTCGTCTAATTTTTGTATTTTTGGTATAGACAAAGTTTCACCATACTGGCCAGGCTGGTCTCGAACTCCTGATGTTGTGATCCGCCCGCCTCGGCCTCCCAAAGTGTTGGGGTTACAGGCATGAGCCACTGTGCCCAGCTGATATCCTTTTTCAAATTGAAAAAGGTTCCTTTCAATTCTTAGGTTTCTGAGAGGTTTTTTTTCTTTTTTTTATTATTATGAGAGGGTGTTGATTTTTGTCGAATGCTTTTTCTGCATCTATTCAGTTGCTCATATGAGTTTTTCTGTTTTAATTTTTATAATGTGATGAATTATAGTGTTTAAAATTTGTATTTATCTTTATTTTTTGAGAAATGAGGTCTTGCTGTTAATACGTTGCCCAGGCTGATCTCAAGCTCCTGGGCTCAAGAAGTCCTGCTGCCTCAGCCTCCTGAGTACCTGACAGGCACGAGCCACTGTACTCAAGTATGAATTTTTTTTTAATGTTAAAACAACCTGCATTGCTGAGATAAACCCCACTTTATCATGACATATTATCCTGATTTTTTTGTTTTTTTGTTTTTTTTTTCTTTTATAGAGACAGAGTGTTACTCTGTTGTCCAGGCTAGAATGCAGTGTCATAATCATAGCTCACTGTATCCTTGAAGTCCTGGGCTCAAGCAGTCCTCCTGCCTCAGCCTCCTGAGTAGCTGGGACTACAGGTGCGTGCCACCATACCTGGCTAATTTTAAAATTTTGGTTATTTCTTTGTAGAGCCAAGGTCTCGTTTTGTTGCCTAGGCTGTTCTTGAACTTCTTGCCTCAGAAGATCCTCCTGCCTCAGGCTCCCAAAGTGCTTGTATTATAGGCATGAGTCACCGCGCCTGGCCTATTCTATTTTGATATAGCTAAATTTGATAATACTTTGTGCAGATTATTTGTATCTATGTTTATGAGGGATATCTGTTTGTAATTTTTTTCCTTGTAATCGTTTTATCAGGTTTTCTTATCAAGGTACTGGTGTTCTAATAAAATAAGTTGGAAAATGTTCCCTTTTTACGTTTATGTATATGATTAATTATGTAAAGTTTAAGAAAAACATTATAGTGATAGCAATAGTAGCCCTTTCGGTGGGGTAGTATTAATTAGAAAGGGACATGAAGATAAAACATTGATGGAAATGTTCTGTGTCTTGGTCTAGGGTGGTAGTCATAAGGATGGAGATAAATGTACACACATATGTATGTATGTGTATTTTAAAAGTCATTGAGCTGTTCACTTTAGGATTTGTGTATTTTATAAATTATACTATTAAAATCAGACTATCAATGTGTCTCCCACTTAACATTGCATTTCTGAAAATCAAGCATTTTTCTATTTTGCAAAGGGAAAATTATATACATCAGCAGAAAACATTAAACCAGTTTCTTAAAAAAACAGTGAAAAGACTAGATGTGAACAAAATCTAAAATGTAAGATTGAAAAGATTTAAAACATGGTTTCCTGATTACCAGACAATATGGTTAACAGTTGTATGTGGAAAATGTGCCGGCTCTTCACTAAATATTACAATGTATGATAAAACAATATACCATGAAATAAAATTGCCAGAAAAAAAAGGCAGACAAAAACCTACAATAAAAAAGAAAGTGCTGGGTGCTGTGGCTCACGCCTGTAATCCCAGTGCTTTGGGAGGCTGAGGTGGGTGGATTGCTTGAGCTCAGGAGTTTGAGACCAGCCTGAGCAATATGGCAAGACTCCGGCTTTACAAAAAATACAAAAAAAAAAAAAAAATTTAGCTGGGCATAGTGGTGCGACACTTGTAGTTCCAGCTACTTGGAAGCCTGAGGTGGGAGAATTGCTTGAGTCAAGGAGGTTGAGGCTGCGGTGAGCCGTGATTACCCCACTGCACTCCAGCCTGGGCGACAGAGCAAGACCCTGTGTCAAACAAACCTATAATTATGAAGTGGGATTTGAGGCCTTTAGAAAGTTGGGGAAGGAGGTAAAGAGCTTGAAGCAGTCTGTGTAATTGGTCAGGGAATGGGGCAGATGGTTTTGGAGAGAATGGGGCAATTCAGGCCAAGAAGTTACTGAGATGTCCAGTCACTTCATGTGACTATAGAGCTGGGAAGATTTCATGATGTTCTTTCAGTGATTGATGATTTAGAGTAGGAAAATGGGAAATTAGAGCTTTGTTTACATCCCCATTCGCTGTATTCTTAATTTCTTTGTTTGGGGTTATAGGAAGCATTAGGGTATCTGTAGAAGAAAGACTTCTATAGCAGTCACTTTCAAGGGTTGGAGTCCCTTAATATTCTGATTTTTGGCCTCCTTTTCAAACTGTGATTATGAGACCCTACAGATTAAGTCCTACAAATTTTACTTGGATTGTAACTTGAGACTTTTCCATACATACTTTTGTTTAAAATTATGTACGAAGTTTTGAAGATACAAATTTATATTGGCCAAAAACTGTTATATTGAGAGATGTGTGTAGTCTTTCATATTAAAAAAAAAGGCAAGGGAAAAATCCAGAACCTTGTTAACCAGGGAGGGAGATGTTCTGTGGGTGATGCTAGAGTGTTGTATTTCCTTCAAGGTCTGTTTTGTTACCTCCCCCACTCTTTTATTTTTCTAAGAAACAAAATACTGTTAGAATATCATATATGTTAATACTGCTTTTTGACTGTGAAAATCTTACTGTTTTGTAAAATTGGCAGAATCAATGAGATGGTAACAGCCCCTGACTATTGTATATTCTTATTTTAACTTTTATGTAACTTCATAATGGAGTTGTATACTCATGATAGATTTTCAGTTTAGAAAAAAACCCATATTTTTTTTAATAGGACAAGCTTTAGGAGAAATTTTTAAAGGAAGATTTGTGTCTAATTTGGTTATTGGATTATGAATACATTTCAAATATACCAGATGTTACCATAGTAAGGTTAGTTATCTTTTGTTTCCTTTTTTGACAAGCATTCATAAAGATATGAGGGGTAACAGGAAAGATGTTGATTAGGACTAAGTAATGATCCATGGGAAGGTCTCAGTGGATTTCTGTTTAAAGAATATTCCTACTTTGAACTCCCCTTTTCTTGGCCTTAGAAAATTCAGTTCATCCTTCTTTAACAACTGTTATTGTCTGTTGAATGCTAACTTTGTTTCATGTATCTTGGTAAACACTTTATATTTATTATTTCAACTCCCACTTTACAGGTATGGAACCTGTGGTGACTTAAGAGTTGTATAATTGTGAGAGCTAAGCACAGTCCTTGTTATTAAATGACAGGTACTGCTCCTCTTGAAGATCTTGTTCAGATGTCACCATCTATAAAGCTTTTCATGATATGTGCTAGTTCTGTAAAATTTCTAACCTTCTCCAGTTGTAGGCTCAAATATTAGATTGGGCTTGCTTTAAAATTTTATTTTGGGGATTTAGGTGAAGTTTTAGCTGTCCTGTAATCTATAGGGTCTTACTCATGGAAAGTACGTAATGGCTCAAGGTAGAGATAATTTAGTCTTGAAATTCTGAGGGATATACTTAACCACTTAAAGTCTTCAAAGCCATAAGAGTTGAAATGCTGTTGTAATAAATTATTATCCTTACTGTGGGTTGTCTGCGTATAGTTTCACCCCTCCCCTTCCCTTCCCCTTCCCCTTCCCTTCCAACAGAGTCTCGCTGTGTTGCCCAGGCTGGAGTGCAGTGGCCCAATCTCGACTCACTGCAACCTCTGCCTCCTGCCTCAGCCTCCCAAGTAGCTGGGATTACAGGCACATGCCACCAAACCCAGATAATTTTTGTATTTTTAGTAGAGACAGGGTTTCACCATGTTGGCCAGGCTGGTCTCAAACTCCTGACATCCCAGAGTGCTGGGATTACAGGCGTGAGCCACTGTGCCCGGCCCAGTTTCATGTATTTTATTATGGAAAAATTCTGGTAAAACATGGTATATTGAATGCATTCTTATACTCAAAATTGAGAATTAAGTGAAATTTGGCATGTTTTCTCTCTCCTTGGCTTCTGGAATCCTGGCAAGAGACTGAAGTGTTCTTTTCCGTGGAAACTGGTCTTAGCAAAGGGCTCGATTTGGACATCAGGAGAATTGGCCCCTTCTGAGGGGCTGTCATATGGTTTGGCTGTGTCCCCCCCCAAATCTTATCTTGAATTCCCACAGGCACAGTGGATTTAGCATCATTCTTAAGGGCCTTAGGATTTGCAGAATGGGAAATGAGTGTTGGCTTCAACTTAAAATCACCAGCTGCATTAGCCCCTAATGAGAGACAGCCTGTCCTCTGAAGCTTTGAAGCTAAGCATTGACTTCACCTCTAGCTGTCAAAGTCCTAGATGGCATCTTCTAATAAAAGACTCTTTCTTCTTCATTGTGTCATTTAGTGTAGCCACATTAATCAGTGATGTTAGCTAGATCTTTTGGACAACTTGGTGCAGCTTCTCCACCAGCACTTGCTGCTTCATCTTGTACTTTTATGCTGTGGAGATGGCTTTTTTCCTTCAACCTTATGAACCAACCTCTGCTAGCTTCAGGCTTTCCTTCTGTAGCTACCTTACCTCAATTTATAGAACTGAAGATGAGCTTGCTCTGGATTAGTCTTTGGCTTAAGGGAATGTTGTGACTGGTTTGATCTATCCAGACCACCAAAACCTTCTCAGTTTCAGCAATAAGGCTGTTCTGCTTTCTTATCATTTGTGTGTTCAGTGGAGTAGCATTTGTATTTCCTTCAGTGACTTTTCCTTTGCATTCACAACTTGGCTTTTTGGCACAAGAAGCCTAGCTTTTGGCTTGTTTCAGCTTTTGACATGCTTTCTTCACTAGGCTTAATCATTTCTAGCGTTTGATTTAAAGTGAGAGGAATGGGACTGTTCGTTTCACTTGAACGCTTAGAGGCCATTGTAGGGTTATTAATTGGCCTAATTTCAGTATTATTGTGTCTCTGAATAGGGAGGCCTTAGGAGAGGTGGGAGAGATGAGGCAGCAGCGGGTTGGTGGAGCAGTTAGGACACACACGTATCAACTAAGCTCGCTCTCTTAACGTGGGTGCCATTTGTGGCACCCCAAGACAGTTACAATAGAAATATCAAATATCATGAATCAGCATCACAGAAATAATAATAATGAAAAAGTTGGAAATAATTGTGAGCATTACCAAAATGTAGCACATTTGGTAAAGTGGGCATATGCTGTTGGGAAAATGATGCCCATAGACTCGCTCGATGCAGGGTTGCCACAAACCCTTTGTTTTTTGTTGTTGTTGTTTTTGTTTTAAAAAAAAGGCAGTTGGATGAATTATCAATTTCTATGATTGCTGGGGAAGGCAAATTATACAGGGCTAGGGAAGAAGGTACAAGTTGAGTATCCCTGATCTGAAAATCTGAAATTCGATATGCTCCCAAATACTCAGCTTTTTTGAGCGCCGATATGATGTTCAACGGAAACTTGTTGGAGCATTGCAGATGTTGTATTTTCTTATTTGGGATGTTCAACCAGTGAGTATAATGCAAATATTCCAAAATCTGAAAAAGTATGAAATCTGAAACTCTTCTGGTCCTAAACATTTAGGTTAGGGATACTCACTCATAGTAGAGAAGAAGGCAGAAAGGACTAGAGTGGTTATTCAACAGTTTAGTAGGTTGAACCAGCACAAGATAAAGCAAGCATGTGTTGGAATGTCTAATATAAATTTTTTCGCTAGGACCAGTTGGAATATCCGATTGCGTCCTCTTCATTTGGTAAATCAGATTGAGCATCTGTCTTCACAGTACTGAAAATAGTGGAAACAGTGAGATCTGCTTGTTGTGTCTTCACTGGTATTCTTAGTATAGGCTTCAATCTTAATAACTGTGAGTTTCTTAAGACATTGTGTCAGGTAACTCATTTCATTGATTTACTTGTTATTGGTATGTAAATATTGTACTTATTTTTGAGGTATACGTGATACCTGTATACAATATGTGATGATCAAATCAGGGTAATTAGGATATCATCTCCAACACTTTTCTTTCCTTTGTGTTGGGAACATTACAATTCTCATTTTAAAATATGCAATAAATTATTAACTGTGATTTTCTTGCTGTACTATCAAATACTAGAACTTATTCCTTCTAACTATATTTTTGTACCCCTTAACCTACTTCTATTTATGCCCTGTACCCTTTCCCTTCCCAGCCTCTGGTAACCACCACTCTACTCTATACTTCCATGGGATTCACTTTTTTTAGCTCCTAACTGTGAATGAGAACATGCCATATTTGTCTTTCTGTGCCTGGCTTATTTCACTTAAGGTAATGACCTCTGGTTCCATTCATGTTGCTGCAGCTGACAAGATTTCATTCTTCTGTTGCTGAATAATATTCCATTGTGTATATATACCACATTGTCCATGTGGATTCCATATCTTGGCTGTTGTGAATAGGGCTGTAATAAGAATGGGGATGCAGATATCACTTCAATATACTGATTTCCTTTCTTTTGAATATGTATTCAGTATTGGGATTGCTGGATCATATATTCTATTTTTGTTTTTTTATAATGGCTATACTACTTTACATTCCTACCAACAGAGTGTGGAAGCATTCCTCTTTCTCTGCATCCTTGCCAGCACTTGTTATTTTTTGTCTTTTTTATAATAGGTATTACAACTGAGGTGAGATGGTATCTCATTGTGGTTTTAATTTGTATTTTCCTGATGATAGTAGTGTTGAGCATTTTTTCCATATACCTATTGGCCTTTTGTATGTCTTCTATTGAGAAATGTCTTTCAGATCTTGTGCCCATTTTTAAAACAGGATTATTTATCCTTTTGAGGTTTTTTTTTTTAGAGACAGGATCTGGCATGTTGTGTCTTCATTCTCATTGGTTTCAAATAACTTACTTATTTCTGCCTTCATTTCTTATTTACCCAGTAGTCATTCAGGAGGAGCAAGTTGTTCAGTTTCCATGTAGTTGTGCAGTTTTGAGTTTTCTTAATCCTGAGTTCCAATTTGATTGCACTGTGGTCTGAGAGACTGTTATGATTTCCATTCTTTTGCATTTGCTGAGGAGTATTTTACTTTCAATTATGTTGTCAACTTTAGAATAAGTGTGATGTGCTGAGAAGAATGTATATTCTGTTGATCTGGGGTGGAGAGTTCTGTAGATGTCTATTAGGTCCGCTTGGTCCAGAGCTGAGTTCAAGTCCTGAATATCCGTGTTTATCTTCTGTCTTGTTGATCTGTCTAATATTGACAGTGGGGTGTTAAAGTCTCCCGCTATTATTGTGTGGAAGTCTAAGTCTCTTTGTAGGTCTCTAAGAACTTTATGAATCTGGGTGCTCCTGTATTGGGTGCATATATATATTTAAGATAGTTAGCTCTTCTTGTTGCATTGATCTCTTTACCATTATATAATGCCCTTCTTTGTCTTTTTTGATCTTTGTTGGTTTAAAGTCTGTTTTATCAGAGACTAGGATTGCAACCTCTGCTTTTTTTTTTGCTTTCCATGTGCTTGGTAAATATTCCTCCATCCCTTTATTTTGAGCCTGTGTGTGTCTTTGCACATGACATGGGTCTCCCAAATACAGCACTCCGATGAGTCTTGACTCTTTATCCAGTTTGCCAGTCTGTGTCTTTTAATTGGGATATTTAGCACACTTACATTTAAAGTTAATCTGGGACACAGCTAAAGCAGTGTTTAGAGGGAAATTTATAGCACTAAATGTCCATAAGAGAAAGCAGGAAAGATCTAAAATCGACACCCTAGCATGACAATTAAAAGAACTAGAGAAGGAAGAGCAAACACATTCAAATGCTAGCAGAAGACAAGAAATAACTAAGATTAGAGCAGAACTGAAGGAGATAGAGATACAAAAAAACTTTCAAAAATCAATGAATCCAGGAGCTGGTTTTTTGAAAAGATTAACAAAATAGACCGCTAGCCAGACGAATAAAGAAGAAAAGAGAGAAGAATCAAAGAGACACAATAAAAAATGATAAAGGGGATATCACCACTGATCCCACAGAAATACAAACTACCATTAGAAAATACTAGAAACACCTCTATGCAAATAAACTAGAAAATCTAGAAGAAATGGATACATTCCTGGACACATACACCCTCCCAAGACTAAATCAGGAAGAAGTCAAATCCCTGAATGGACCAATAACAAGTTCTGAAATTGAGGCAGTAATTAATAGCCTACCAACCAAAAAAAAGCCCAGGACCAGACAGATTCACAGCTGAATTCTACCAGAGGTACAAAGAAGAGCTGGTACAATTCCTTTTGAAACTATTCCAAGCAATAGAAAAAGAGGGACTCTTCCCTAACTCATTTTATGAGGTCAGCATCATCTTGATACCAAAATTTGGCAGACACACAAGAAAAAAAGAAAATTTCAGGCCGATATGCCTGATGAACATCGATGCGAAAATCCTCAATAAAATGCTGGCAAACCCAATCCAGCAGCACATGAAAAAGCATATCCACCACTATCAAGTCGGCTTCATCCCTCGGATGCAAGGCTTGTTCAACAAACGCAAATCAATAAACATAATCCATCACATAAACAGAACCAATGACAAAAACCATGATTATCAATAGATGCAGAAAAGGCCTTCAATAAAATTCAACACCCCTTCATGTTAAAAACTCTCAATAAAGTACGTATTGATGGAACGTATCTCAAAATAATAAGAGCTATTTATGACAAACCCACAGCTAATACCATACTGAATGGGCAAAAGCTGGATGCATTCCCTTTGAAAACTGGCACAAGACAAGGATGCCGTCTCTCACCACTCCTATTCAACATAGTATTGGAAGTTCTGGCCAGGGCAGTCAGGCTAGAGAAAGAAAGAAAGAAAGGATATTCAAATAGGAAGAGAGGAAGTCAAAATTGTCTCTGTTTGTGGATGACATGATTGTATATTTAGAAAACCCCATCATCTTAGCCCAAAATCTCCTTAAGCTGATAAGCAACTTCAGCAAAATCTCAGGGTTCAAAATCAATGTGCAAAAATTACAAGCATTCCTATACACCAATAATAGAGAGCCAAATCATGAGTGAACTCCCATTCACAATTGCTATAAAGAGAATAAAATACCTAGGAATACATCTTACAAGGGATGTGAAGGACCTCTTCAAGGAGAACTACAAACCACTGCTCATGGAAATAAGAGAGGACACAAACAAATGGAAAAACATTCCATGCTCATGGGTAGGAAGAATCAATATTGTGAAAATGGCCATACTGCCCAAAGTAATTTATAGATTCGATGCTGTCCCCATGAAGCTCCCATTGACTTTCTTCACAGAATTAGAAAAAACTACTTTAAATTTCATACGGAACCAAAAAAGAGCCCGCATAGCCAACTCAATCCTAAGCAAAAAGAACAAAGCTAGAGGCATCATGCTACCTGACTTCAACCTATCCTACAAGGCTACAGTATCCCAAACAGCATGGCAGTGGTACCAAAACAGATATTATGGTACTGGTACCAAAACAGATAGACCAGTGGAACAGAACAGAGGCCTCAGAAATAACGCCATACATCTACAACCATCTGATCTTTGACAAACCTGACAAAAACAAGCAATGGGGGAAAGGATTCCCTATTTAATAAATGGTGCTGGGAAAACTGGCTAGCCATATGTAGAAAACTGAAACTGGACCCCTTCCTTACACCTTATACAAAAATTAACTCAAGATGGATTAAAGACTTAAACGTAAGACCTAAAACCATAAAAACCCTGGAAGAAAACCTAGGCAATACCATTCAGGACATAGGCATGGGCAAAGACTTCATGACTAAAACAACAGAAGCAATGGCAACAAAAGCCAAATTGACAAATGGCATCTAATTAAACTAAAGAGCTTCTGCATGGCAAAAAAAAAAAAAAAAAAAAAAAAAAAAAAAAAAACAACTCTCATCAGAGTGAACAGGCAACCTACAGAATGGGAGAAAATTTTTGTAATCTGTCTATCTGACTAAGGGCTAATATCCAGAATCTTCAAAGAACTTAAATTTACAAGAAAAAAACAACCCCACCAAAAAGTGGGCGAAGGATATGAACAGACACTTCTCAAGAAGACATTTATGTGGCCAATAAACATATGAAAAAAAGCTCATCATCACTGGTCATTAGAGACATGCAAAGCAAAACCACAGTGAAATACCATCTCACACCAGTTAGAATGGCAATCATTAAAAATTCAGGAAACAACAGAAGCTGGAGAGGATGTGGAGAAATAGGAACGCTTTTACACTGTTGGTGGGAGTGTAAATTAGTTCAACCATTGTGGAAGACAGTGTGGCAATTCCTCAAGGATCTAGAACCAGAAATACCATTTGACCCAGCAATCCCATTATTGGGTATATACCCAAAGGATTATAAATCATTCTATAAAGACACATGCACATGTATGTTTATTGCAACACTGTTCACAGTAGCAAAGACTTGGAACCAACCCAGATGTCCATCAGTGATAGACTGGATAAAGAAAATATGGTGGCTGGGCACGGTGGCTCACGCCTGTAATCCCAGTACTTTTGGAGGCCGAGGCGTGTGGATCGCCTGATGTCAGGAGTTTGAGACCAGCCCTGGCCAACATGGCAAAACCCCATCTTTACTAAAAATACAAAAATTAGCTGGGCGTGGTGGCGTGCGCCTGTAATCCCAGCTACCCAGGAGGCTGAGGCAGGAGAATCACTGGAACCCGGGGGTCAGAGGCTGCAGTGAGCCAAGATTGTGCCGCTGCACTCCAGACTGGGTGACAGAGCAAGACTCCATCTCCAAAAAAAAAAAAAAATGTGGCACATATACACCATGGAATACTCTGTAGCCATAAAAAAGGATGAGTTGATGTCCTTTGCAGGGACGTGGATGAAGCTGGAAACCATCATTCTTGGCAAACTAACACAGGAACAGAAAACCAAACACTGCATGTTCTCACTCATAAGTGGGAGTTGAACAATGACAACACATGGACACAGGGAGGGGAACATCACACACCGGGGCCTGTCGCAGGATTGTTGGGGGTAGGGGAGGGATAGCGTTATGAGAAATATTCCTAATGTAGATGACGGGTTGATGGGTGCAGCAAACCACCATGGCATGTGTATACCTACATAACAAACCTGCACGTTCTGCACATATATCCCAGAACTTAAAAGTATTTAAAAAAAAAAAAAAAAAGACAGGATCTTGCTTTCTTGCCCAAGCTGGAGTTCATTGAGCATGATTTTAGCTCATTGTACCTCCAACTCCTTCTATTGAGTTTTCTAAGCTCTTTATAGATTCTGGTTATTAATCCGTTGTCAGATGGGTAGGTGCAAATACTTTCTCCCATTCTTTGTGTTGTCTTTTTACTTTGTTAATTGTGTCTTTTGCTCTGCAGAGGCTTTTTATCTTGATGTAATCCCATTTGTCTTATTTTTGCTTTAGTTGCCTGTATTTTTGAGGTCTTAAGTTGAAAAATCCTTGTCGAGATCAGTGTCCAGAAGTGTTTCCCCAGTATTTTCTTACAGTAATTCCATAGTTTCAGGTCTTAGAGTTGAGTCTTTAATTCCATGTGGATTTGCTATTTTGTGTATGGTGAGAGAGAGAGAGAGAGAGATGTAATTTCATTCTCCTGCATACAGTTATCCAGTTTTCTCGGCACCAGGTATTAAAGGAACTATCATTTCCCCACTGCATGATCTTGGAGGTTGGAGGCTTTGTCAAAAATGAATTGGTTGTAAATGTATGGATTTATATTTGAGATCTCCATTCTGTTTCATTGCCCTGTGTGTTTTTATGCCTGTACCATGCTGATTTGGTTACTATAGCTTATTGTAATTTTTGAAGTCAGGTAGTGTAATGTCTCCAGCTTTGTTCTTTTTGCTCAGGATTGCTTTGGCTATTCAGGGTCTTTTGTGGTTCCATATAAATTTTAGGATTTTTTTTTTCCTATTTCTGCGAAGAATGTCATTGGTATTTTGATAGGGATTCCATTGAATCTGTAAATTGCTTTGGGTATTGTTGTCATTTTAACAATATTAATTTTTCCAATCCTTTAACATGAAATATTTTTCAACTTGTGTATGTGTGTCCTCTTCAATTTCTTCCTTTTTTTTCTCTCTTTTTGAGACAGTCTCACTTTGTCACCCAGGCTGGAATGCAGTGGCACGATCTCGGCTCACTGCATCCCCCACCTCCCGGGTTCAAGCTGTTCTGATGGCTCAGCTTCTCGAGTAGCTGGGATTACAGGCATGTGATACCATGCCTGGCAAATTTTTGTAATTTTAGTAGAGATGGGGTTTCGCCATGTTGGTGAGGCTGGTCATGAACTCCTGGCCTCTAGTGATACGCCTGCCTTGACCTCCCAAAGTGCTGGGATTACAGGCATGAGCCACCACACCCAGCCCCTCTTCAATTTCTTTCACCAATGTTTTATAGTTTTCCTTATGTTGATCATTTACTTCTTTGGTTAAATTGACTCCTAGGTATTTGATATTTTTTGTAGCTGTTGTAAATGTGATTGCTTTCTTGATTTATTTTATACATTGTTCGTTGTTGGTGTATATAAATGCTACTTCTTTTCATATGTTGGTTTTTGCATCCTGCTACTTTACTGAATTTATCAGTTCTTAAAGCTTTTTGGTGAAGTCTTTGGGTTATAAGATCATGTCATCTGTCAACGAAACTAATTTGACATCTTCCTTGTCGATTCGGGTGCCTTTTATTTCTCTTGTCTAATTGCTCTGGCCAGGACTTTCAGTACTATGTTGAATAAAAGTGGTGAGAGTGGGCATCCTTGTATTGTTTCAGATCGCAGAGGAAAGGCCTTCACATTTTCCCTCAGCTCGATGTTAGTTTGTGGATTTGTCATATATGGCCTTTTATTATTTTGAGATATATTCCTTCTGTACCCTATTTTTTGGGAATTTTTATCATGAAGAGATGTTGAATTTTATCAAATGCTTTTTCTTCATCTATTGAGATGAGACCATATGGTTTTTTCTTCTTTGTTCTGTTAATGTGATATATCACATTTATTGATTTGCATATGTTGAACTCTCCTTGCATCTCTGGGATGAATCCTACTTAATCATGGTAATTGATCTTTTGAATGTGTTGTTTAATTCAGTTTGCTAGTATTTTGTTGAGGATATTTGTGTTTACGTTCCTCAGTGATATTGGCCTGTAGTTTTCTTTTTTTGTTGCATTGTTGTCTGGTTTTGTTGTAAAGGTAATACTGCCCTTGTAAAATGATTTTGGAAATATTCTCCCCTCTTCAATATTTTTGAGTAGAAGAGTTTGCAGTAGAATTGGTATTACTTCTTAAAATGTTTTTTGTAAAATTCATCAATTGGCTTATTGAGGTTTTCTTGTTTCTTCATGATTCAATCTTGATAGGTTGTATGTGTCCAAGAATTTATCAATTTATTCCAGCTTTTCAAATTTGTTAGCAAATGTTGTTCACAATAGTCTCTGTAAGAGTCTTTGTATTTCTGTAGTAATCAGTATAGTGGCTGAGTTCCAAGAAAACCGAGGGAATCTTGGTCAACTCTTTTTGGTTTATTTTTCTTTTGGTAATTGCCTTTTATTTCCTAGCCTAGAAAGTCCCTTAGCCAGAGTCAGAAGCCCACCCAGATTCAAGGAGAGGGAATACAGATTCCACTTATTAACAGAAAGTGTATCAAAGTTACATTGGAAAAAGGGCATATTAAACATTAAGTAATTTCATGTTAGCTGCTTTGTCTAGTAAAATCAGGAAATTTAGGTTAGACTTTTTATGGGAAAATAAACTCAAGCGTTATAGAAAATACCAAAATGATGGAGAAGATAACTTTTATACCAGTTTAGTTTAAGGAGTCACTTTAACTAGAAATATTACCCAGATTCTTAAAGCTCTTCAAGTTAGGTCATAATTTCTTTTGATTTAGCTGTCTCAATTTGCATTCCTTTGCTTATTCTCTCATGTTCTAACAGTGAGCTACTCTTCTTTCAACACCCTCCCTCACCACTCTCCCTCCCCTTTACAGCTTCAGCAAATGTCTCAAGTTTTATTAAAGGGTCAGTGTACTTTAAGCATAATGAGGTAGTTATCTTGGTGGGATCTTAACATGTACAGTAATTATAAATGAGGGAATTCTGGAGTAAAGAGTAGGGTGTTTATTATGTTCGTTGCATTTTTTTCCCTTTTTTGTATGTGCTGCATTATGTAGCATTTACATCAGGTTGTGGGTTGAACCTTGGAGCTTAACTCCAGAGGTTAGTAACACTTTTTTCTTCACATCTGGACTTGGAACTGCCCTATTTCTTCAAGAGGAGAAGAAACAGTTAGGCACTGAGAACCCTTGATATGTTTCCTATGTTAATTAAAGGGAGACCTAAAGTTGTAGACAGCTGAGCAGCAATTATTGACATTCCATCTTCTCTCCCATTCCAGTCCACATTTGCTCTCTTGCCTACAGTGATTTAAACTGGGCAGCCTGGCTGAGCCAGGACTCAGTAAAGTGTAGTCAGCAGACTAATGTTGGTGCAGATGAATGTTGGTGCTGGAACTGTTTAACAGCCTAGGACAAGATAAGGAAATTTGGTGTAAGCATCTAGACACCTTACAGCAATTTGATAGTAATTTTATGTCGATTGATTCTAATGATGGAAATTTTGTGCTTGGCTTAGGTATGTCTTTTTTTAAAAAAACTTCTTTTTTCTAGAAATTCCTTTTCATTGTATTTTACAAAAGTATTGGTCTGTGATAGGTTGGAAATTTAAACTGGTTCTTCATCACAGATGATTTGAAAAGTACTGGCCTAAGCCACGTAAAAACAGTTTTTGGTTTTAAAATCTTTTCATTTCTGCCTTGATAATTTATTGAAAAAGATATTATGTAGTGCGCAAAAGTGGCAGATCTCTGTGAATAATTAATCTTGAAAAGTTTTTAAAAATGTAATTGGCCGCAGAAACAGAAGGGCTACAATAACAAAGCCCTGTTAAAAGATTACCTTTCCATGGTGAGGGGGTAAAAGACTTTTTTCATTTAGAGACACACAAAGAATTGGCAGCCCCAGCTGTTCAACTTTAGCCATGGATCAGAAGCAAATACAGAACCACACAAACAACACAGGGAAGTCTGTTAATTGGTAGAAACAGAATAGTCATTGTAGCAGAAAGCAACTCTTGGGACTTGTCATTCTATAGTTGAGGCCATTCTTTGAACTGACCAAACCGTGATGAGTGCCCAAAGAGGTGACCCAGATGCCAGGATCTCAGAACCCTCAAGACCAACAAAAACATGAAGACACGTGAATGCCACCAACAGGGTACTTGGGAGGTTAACAGCATCAGACACAGACCTTCCCGGAGAGAGCTGAAGAAGGCCTGATGGCAAATATATTGCATATTTGAGAATTTATAGCACAGATCAGATTTTGACAAGCAGATAAAACATTAAAGTGTAAAACAAAATAACATTCCTTTTTTTTTTCTTTTGGTAAGTTCTGAAAGGATAGGAGCAAAATCACATTCTATAATGGAAAACTGCTTCATTCTGGTAACATTGTAACAAAAGTTTATCTTTAAAAAAATGTTTTGGCCTATTTTTTGAAGACCTATTTATGAAGGCCTGTTTATGGAGAATCTCACCATTGATTTTTGGGCCACATAGGTATATTTGGATTGTGTGGTATTTTTGGTTTAGCTTCTCCCCCGACATACTCCGTATTTATTCCAAGTAGTGTTTTTTCATTGCTAGCATATCTTTTCTTCTGATGACTTGTGAGGTGTAATCTTTTCTTCCAGGAAGCAGTTGATACTATGAATTTAGTTGTCTTTATCTTCTAATTTGGGCTTCAAAAGAGTTAGCTAAAATGATCAGAAGTATAGTTGTTGTTTTACTATCCAGCAGTCTTGTTACATTTATTTATTTATTCCAGCAGTTTATTTGTAGATTCTTTTAGATTTTCTTCATAATCTATGCATAATTATAGTTTTACTTACATAGTTTATGAATAATGATAGTTTTGTTTGTTCTTTCCCAATGTTTATGTTTTACCCACCCCCCCCCCCCGTTTTTTTGGGGGGAAGGGGGGGCGTCTATGGTACTTGGCAGTGACTTCCAGAACAATGCTGTACGCAAGTGGTAATGGTGGGCATCCATGTCTTATTTCCAGTTTGGGGAGGGGAAGTTTTTTTCCCACTAGTATTTACATTTCATGTAGATACTCTTTGTCAGATATATGAAATCTCATCCTATTTCTAGTTTGCTGCGAGTTTTTATCATGAATGGTTGGTAAATTTTATCATATGTGTTTTCTGCATGTATCGAGGTAGCTGGCTCTTCTTTCTGAAAATGTGGTGAATTACACTGATTGCTTTTTGAATGAATACCTTTCTTCTATTCCTAGAATAAACTTTTGGTCATGATACATTATTCCTTTAAAATATTGCTGGATTATACTTGTTAAGATTTTTGCATCTGTGTTTATAAGAAAGGTAGACTTTTATCGTTTCTCATCCTGTTCTGTCAGGTTTTGATATCACTGTTCTGCAGGTGTCATAAAACAAGTTGGGAAATGATCTGTATCTGTTTTCTGGAAGAATTTGTGTAAGATTAATATTTCTTAATTTGTTGAAAGAAATAAAATGTTCCTTTGTGGGGAGAATTTTAGATGGACTATTTTAAATAGAACAGTCTAGTTTCATTTTACATTGTTTCATTTTGCTGTGTTGTGTTTTGCAAGGAATTGTGCTTATCTAAATTTTCAAATTCATTGGCATAGTTATTAATAATCCCTTATTGTATTACTCATTATCTCTTACCTCTTATTATATTCTCTTCTTCATTTTTGATGTTGCTAGTTTTTCTTGACTCATTTTATCTTTGATTAGTCTTAGAGAGGTGTATCAATTTTGTTTTTTAAAAGAGTAACTTTTAATTTTGTTCTGCTTTTAAGTTGTCCTTTTAAATATGCATTCTTTTTTAATTAAATTTTTATTGGTACATAGTAGGTATATATATATTTATGGGGTACATGAGACGTTTTGATATAGGCATACAGTGCATAATAATCACATCAGGCTAAATGGGGTATCCATCACCTCAAACATTTATCTTTTTTTGGTGTTACAAACATTCTAATTATACTCTTAGTTCTTTTTAAATGTACATTTTTATTGACCATAATGCCTAGTTGTGCTACCAAATACTAGCTCTTACGCATTCTATTTTTCTGTGCATTAACCATCCCCCCTTCACAGATGTGTATTCTTAGAGATACTCAACCTTCGCTTCTAATACATGAATTTAAATACGTAATTTTTTTTTTTTTTTAAAGGAGACAGGGTTGTGCTCTGTTGCTCAGGCTGGAGTGCAGTGGTGCAGTCATAACTTGCTGCAGCCTTGAGCTCTGGGGCTTAAGCAGTCCTCCTGCCTCAGCCTCCCAAGGAGCTGGGACTACAGGCACACACCACCATGCCCAGCTGATTTTTTTAAATTATTTTGTAGGGGTCTCACAAGCCCAGGCAGGTCTTGAACTCCTGGCCTCAAGCTGTCCTCCCATCTCAGCCTCCAAAAGTGCTGGGATTACAGGCGTGATTCACTGTGCCCTGCCAAATGTATAGATTTTACTCTAAGTATAGCTCTGTCTACATTCACAGTTTTGATATTTCTTTTCACTGTACCATTTAATTCAAAATACTTTGAGTTTCTTTTTGACTTAAAGGGTTAGTTGAAATACATTGCTTAATTTCCTGACAATGGAACATTTTCTAGTTATTTTGTAATTGTTGTCTAGCCTAATGCTAGACACAGAATATACTCTGAATAATTTTAGTCCCTTGATATTTATTGAATCTTTCTCTTTCACTCAGTGTATGGGCAACTTCAGAAAATATTTCTTGTGTGCTTGCAAAGATTATGTATTATCCTATTAGGTATAGTGTCAGTTTCTATGTCAATTAGATCAGATTTGTTAATCGTGCTCTTCAGATCTTCTATAGCGTACCAAAAGTTATAAGGGTGTATTCATGTATACTCAGAAGTGCCACCCCACACCACATCCTCCATTCCTGTACTTTCCATCTTGGTCACACCTCTCCCATGTGTAACCAGTCTCAATGGACTCCCATTTCTACTTTGTGGGGTTATTTTGCACATATGAGCAGATACATTTATATTTTCCTATTTTCCCCCTTTTATTCAAAAGGTATACTGTGGCCGTGATTTGCACTTTGGGTTTTTAACTTAATAAATCCTGGAATTCATACTTAGTCAATTATAGGGCTCTTCTTCTTTCCTTTTGTTTTTCCCCCAGCAGATTCATAGTACTCCATTATAGGAATGTACCATAGTTTACTCTATTAGTCTCCCATGAATGGGCATTTAGGTGTTTCCTAATACTTTGTAAGGCTGCAGTGAATAACCTTATGCATATGTATTTTCATGTTGTTGTTAAGTATATCTCTTCACTTGGGACGATTGTAACAAAATACATAAACTGGGTGGCTTATAAACAACAGAAACTTATTTCTCACTGGTCTAGAGGCTGGAAGTCCTAGATCAGAGTGATAGCATGGTGGAGTTCTGGTGAGGGCCCTTTTTTTCCAGTTTTCAGACTGTGGACTTAGATCCTCAGGCATATCTCTGGAGAGCAGAGAGAGGAAGCATGCTCTTGGACTTTCACAAGGGCACTAATCCCATTCATGAGGGCCTCACCATTATGACCTTATCTAGTTCAGATTCCCTCCAAAAGACCCTACCTTGTAATAGCATCACATTGGGGGGAGTATGGTATCAACTTATGAATTTTGGGAGCACACAGACATTTAGTTGGTAACAGTATATCTTTGGCATAAATTCCTAGAAGTGGAATTGCTGGATCAGAAGACACATGTAGTTTTGTTATTGTCAAATTCCCCTTTATACATACTATAGAAAATTCACATTCCCATCAGCAGTGTATGAGAGTTCTGTTTCCCCACATCCTTACCAAATGACAGGGTACTGCTATGACCTTTTTAAAAAAATTATTTGACAGTTGTTTATATATTTATATTTTCACAGAGGTAAAATTCCCATAACATAAAATTCACCATTTTAACAACTTCAAAGTGTGCAATTGAGTGTTTTTTAGTATATTCAACCATCACCATGATCTAAATTCAGACCATTTCTCTCATCCCCAAAAGAAACTCCTTATCTATTAGCAGTCCTTCCCAACTCTGCCCTACCCCCAGCCACTGGCAGCCAGTAATCTACTTTCTTCTGTATAGATTTGCATATTCCTTCATATAAGTGGAATCACAATTTGTGGTCTTTCACGTCTGGTTTCCTTGTAGTATAATGTTCTCAAGGTTCCTCCATGTTGCGGCATGTATCAGTGCTTCGTTTCTTTTTATGCTGAACAATATTTCATTGTTGGGCATACCACATTTTGTTAATCTGTTTATCCATTGATGGATGTGGATATTTGGGTTATTATCACTTTTCGGTATTGTGGATAATGCTGCTGTGACCATTCACATGTGAGGGTGTTTCATTTTGTTTTATGTCAGGGTCTCTTTCTGTCGCCCAAGCTGGAGTACAATGGCATGATCACAGCTACTGCAGCCTCGACCTCCTGGACTCAAGCAATCCTCGGCCTCCCAAGTAGCTGGGAGTACAGGCACATGCCACCATGCCCAGTTAATTTTTATAGAGATGGGGTTTCGCCATGTTGCCCAGGCTGGTCTTGAACTCCTGACCTCAAGCAGTCCTCCTGCCTCAGTCTCCCAAAGTGCTGGGATTACAGGCATGAGCCACTATGCCCAGCCATGAGTTTTTATTTGGACATACATTTTCAGTTCTTTTGGGCATATGTCTACCTAGAAATGGAATGGTTGGTTCATGTGGTAACTCCATGTTTAACCTTTTGAGGAACTGCCAAACTATTTTCATAGTAGTTGCACCATTTTATACTCTTCCAGCAATGTAGGAAGGTTTCAGTTTCTTCACATCCTTGCCTACACTTGGTATATCTTTTTAATTAATTGTCTGGATTGTCTCTTGCATTCTTTTCTATCATTTCCCCCCTCATTTTAAAAGAATTTCTGTATATATATAGGGTATTAGCTTTTTACTGTGATACATGGTACATATGTTTTTCTTTTGTGTTTTTGGCATCTTTTGACTTGGTTTATAATTTTTTTCCTTTTACTGTGCTGTTATACCATTTTTTTTTTTAACTAATTGGAGAATGATTTGGATGAAAAAGGTATTATTTATGCTTTGTTTGATACCAACAGAGGGTTGGCTCTTTTCTTTGCTGGACAGATAGTGGGGAGTTGACAGGGTCTGGCTCTGTCGCCCTGGCTGGAAAGCAGTGGCACGATCTCGGCTCACTGTAGCCTTCCCCTCTTGGGCTCAAGTGATCCTCCCCCCTCAGCCTCCCAAGTAGCTGGGACCACAAGCATGCGCCACGACTCCTGGCTCTTTATTGTAATTTTTTTGTAGAGATGGGTTTTGCCAAGTTGGCTAGGCTGGTCTTGAACCTTTGGGCTCAAGCAATCTGCCTGCCTCAGCCTCCCAAAGTGTTGGGATTATAGGCATGAGCATCTATGCCTGGCTGGATCTGTGGTTTTGTGTGTGTGTGTGTTTGTTCGTTTGTTTGTTTTGAGACAGTCTCACTCTGTGGTCCAGGCTGAAGTGCAGCAATGCAGTCACAGCTCACTATAGCCTCAACCTCCTGGGCTCAAGCTATCCTCCCACCTTAGCCTCCTGAGTAGCTGGGACTACAGGAACACGCTACCACGCCCAAGCTAATTTTTGTATTTTTTAGTAGAGACAAGGTCTTGTCATGTTGCCCAGACTGGTCTCAAACTCCTGGACTCAAGCAGTCTTCCCGCCTCAGCCTTCCAAAGTGCTGGGATTACAGGCATGAGCAGCCATACCTGGCCTGCCACGATGGATCTGAGCAGGAATTGTACTCCAGGTTTACAAAGCTCCCTTTGCTTCTGCACCCAGCTGTTCTCACTGCAAGCCTGGGGATGTCCTAACACTATTCTGGTTTATTCCTGAAGTCTTATTCCTGTTTCCTAAACCCTTTCACTGTTTTGAGAGGCTCCTTCTCAGCTTGGGTTCAGGATTCCGTAACTGTCTTCAGGAGACAACCTGCAGAGTGTTTGACACAGTCTCCACCCTTCCTTCTCACCAGAATCCAAGATTTGATCCCTTGCTGCCGAAAGCTCTGCTGGTTTCTCTCCCATTCGTAGCCTTTTCTTGTCTCTTCAGGCTCTGAAGGGCTCAGAATTGGCAAATGCCCTGTGGGAAAAAGCAGCCAGCTGTTAAGTATCATTTCCTGTCTTCATCTGTGTCACTCATTGTCTTGGTTGCCTCAGAATATCTTTGTCTCTGAGCCCTTCAAACATTGTTTGAGTTAAAAAGATTTTTAATCTGGATTTTCATGTTTCTCGATGGGTGTTTAGGCTTGTGCAGGCTATTTCTTCAAACTCAAATAGAAGTCCTTTATCGCACTTAAAAATTTTAATTGTGCATGCTTTTTTCGTTTTGTTTTCAGTTGCTGTCTGTCTGATTCTCCTGTTAACAATGAATTGGTTAAGCCAGGGACCTTATTTTAATTATAGTGTTTTTAATCACCAATGCCTAGTATATATAATGAATACTCATTGAATTTGTATTATATGAAGAAAGAACTTTTCTCTTAGGTAAAAGTTTTCAAAAGCAGGGAGCAAATTAACAAATTTGGCTTTGCTATGAGATTTTCCAACAAATTTAAAGGCTATGATTAAAAAAGGGGTGGGGGTGGGGGTATTACATTGTTTGTAGATACTTTTTGACACAGCTGAAATTGGAGTCCTGGCCTTTTAATAATTTTTTTTTAACAAATATTTATTCTGTAAATCAGGTCCTACTCTGGGTATGGGGAGAGACAGCTATTATTTTAGTGGATTAGGTCTCTATTCTCCTCAGACTCCTTCCGCATATAACATATCAAGAGAGAGTATAGGACATTTGATATAAACAACATATCACATTGTAATTGGTAGATTTCAAGTATTATACACAAAAAATTATTTTGTTCTTTTAACAGAATATGACAGATACCTAGCATCTAGCAAAATAATGGCAGCTGCTTACCTTGACCCCAACTTGAATCACACACCAAATTCGAGTACTAAGACTCACCTGGGTACTGGTATGGAACGTTCTCCTGGTGCAATGGAGCGAGTATTAAAGGTCTTTCATTATTTTGAAAGCAATAGTGAGCCAACCACCTGGGCCAGTATTATCAGGCATGGAGATGCTACTGATGTCAGGGTAAGTACGTTTTTCCATGAGACATCTTTAATGTTTATTTAGGTTAAAATGTAATGGCATGTATGAAAAAAGATAGTGTAATAATTTTTATTTAACTTATCGGGGACTTTTCATATTACAGAAATGCTATTTTTAATTATAAGATTTATTAGTTAATATGTGACTGACCAGCGTTCTAATTGTTGTAAAGTTTCTTAGAAAAATAATGACTGAATCATATTTTAGTCATAAAATACCATTGACTTATTTTTCCCTTCTAGGTTTTTTTTTTTTTTAACTCTTGGATGAGTACTAGGCAACAATGCAACTAAAATAGCCTCTAACAGTCATGAAATAAACTACTTTTCTAGAAAGTGTAATTTGGAAGGTATTTGCATGACTTCAGATAGGATAATTTCCTTTAAAACTCTTGAACATATGCTGTGTGTCAGGCACTGTGCTAGGTTCTGAAGATGTAAAAGGTCCCTGTGAAGTCCTTGATCTTACAGCTTAGAGCCTGTAGAGGGAGAGACATCATGAATGTGATTATAGTACAGTGTAGAAGTGCTTCACGGGAGGTTGTTGTGGAAGCTTGGAGGAATAATACCTTTTAAACGTAGAAGTTAGTACTGGAAAGGATTTCCTTTGGGTCTGGGAAGGTGAGGAAAGATAGTGATACAGAATTGTGGGAGAAGAGCATGCTAGGCAAAGGTAACTACATCTTTCTGAAGGTGGGGAATGAAAAGGTAGCACTGTGATTTCAGAAAGCTGAGTTCAGTATTTAAATGTTCAGTATTTGCTTTGATGAAGTGTTAAATACCTCCTCTTTCTTACCCTCTCCACCTAGTCTATATTCATCTTTAAGGAGAAGTTTCCAGTGACAAGGAAGTTTAGATACGTCTTTTTTCTTTTCTTTTCTTTCTTTTTTTTTTTTACAATAAGTAAATTAATTAATTTGCTACTCTCTAACTTACATGCCCTTATTATTTTTAACCAAAGCAAAGGGATTGGTAGAATTTAGATTTAAGGCCAACAGGTCGGGCATGGTGGTCCATGCCTGTAATCCCAGCACTTTGGGAGGCCAAGGTGGGCAGGTCACTTGAGGTCAGGAGTTTGAGAGCAGCCTGGCCAACATGGCGAAACCCCATCTCTACAAAAAATACAAAATTAGCCAGGTGTGGTGTCACATGCCTATAGTCCCAGCTACTCAGGAGGCTGAGACAGGAGAAACACTTGAACCCAGGAGGCAGAGGTTGCAGTGAGCTGAGATCGTGCCACTGCACTCTAGCCTGGGCAACAAAGTGAGACTGTCTCAAAAGAAAAAAAAGAAAAAAAAGATTTAAGGCTAAAGTCTTGTATATAAATTTTACATAATTTTTTGTTACCTCTAAATTTTAATATTAGCAAACTATTCAAATGGATTAATTATTAAAAATATGATAGCCTCTTTTTTTTTACAAACTCTTTATGAAGCTGGTTAGCTTTTTTGCGTTTTCTGTTTTTTTTCTACTTCTGTGTTTTACTTTTAACTTTATAAAACACTGTCATTTGGTAGAAAGGCCTGCAATGAGCATCCTGCCATAAGGTTTATCAGATAATTCATACTGGAAAAAAACCTTGTAGATGTAACTTTATGTAAGGCTTTTAGTGTATGTTCTAGTCTTTGTAGATTTCAGATACAGTGAATGAGGAAACTCTCCAATAAAACCATTGTATCAGCCCTAATGAACTCTAGGGCATTCATACAGGAGGGAAACCTTTCAAAGATTATGAATTTGACAAGACATTTAGCAAAAATGTTCAAGACTTACATCAGAAGACTCACCTAGGAAAGATTTTAACAGATGTGCCATGGTTTTAGTATCAAACTTTCTGCATGTAAGGGGATTACTACCATAGAGTCAGTGTCACTGCAGGCATGTTAGCCTTTAGCCAATGTTAAAAACTTCCTAGTCATACATTCATATTGTGAAGAAAAATTTACATCAGATACAAATGTATAAGTTATCAGAACTCATTTAGCAAACTTGTGAAGATCAATCTGATCAAATCTATGTGGCCACAAACAACGTGTTTTATTTCACAGTAATTGGCAAATTATCAGTCAGTGATTTTCAGATTGAGGCAGAAAAATCACAGTTGGCATTGAATTCACCATAGCCCTTTCCTGGGATAGCATGAGGTTCTCATGATACTGAGTCACTGTAATGGAAGATTGGATATTATTCATAACCAACTTCCATTGAATGCTTTAATGCTATAACATTTGAAAATGCAATATCATAATTGTAAATTAATGAGTGGATTTGTACATCTGAACAAAGGGACTGAACAACATAAGAGGTATCAGACAAAGGAACATTATGGATACAGAGTATTGTCAGGAAAGAGAAAAATGGAAGAAACATGACAGCATTTGAAGGCCTGATGACCTTAGAACAGGAAGTGGGGATTGTAGGATTTAGATTTAAGGATTAGATTAGTAAAGAATCCAAGTATAATTACTTGTCAGAAAGAAACTGACCATTGAATAGCATCAAAGGGGATGCCACACAACTATTTTCTGAAATGATACGGCTTATTGTTATTCAGGTACTGAATAACTCGATTCAGTCTTAAACTCATTATAGCTACGTTGCCCATTATCGTAGCCATGTGCAGTTGTTGAGCACTTGAATGTGGCTAGTCTGAATTGACATGTGCTATAGTATAAAAATATATACCACATTTCAAAGAGTAAGAAAACAGAATAAAATATATCAATGTGTTATGATTACATGTTAAATGATAATACTTTTGATATAGTAGGTTAACTGAACTATATTACTGAAATTGAATTTACCTGTTTGTTTTTATTTTATTTTTTTACTGTGACTACTAGAAATTTTAAAATTACTTATGTGGCTTGCATTATATTTCTGCTGGACAGTGGTGTTCTGTAGAAAGCAAATTCTCAGAAAGACTGCTTGGTTCAGAAAAAACAAAACTTTTTGAGGAGTTTAAAGATTTGTTTTCACCAAGAATATCTGGATTTTTGTAACATTTCATTATAGAGCCTTTATCATGCTTCAGTTAATAAGTATTAGTGCTTTTACAATTATGTGTGCTAATTGTATGTTAATTAATGTTTGATTGTTGAAAAGATTTGCAAGATTTCACAGTTTATAGGCAAAATCCATTACAGCAACAGTAGTAAAATGATACTCATTGAAGTGATCTGGAGATCTTGGGTACAGGCTTCTTGGCCTTGGACATGATTTTTCTGTAGATGTGAAACCATTACTGGCTTATGTGTGAAGCACCTCAGTATGAGGAAGTGGTGGGGATCTGTGAGAGGGTCACACAAGCACTCTCCATCTACGTAGCCAGCCTCAACCTGTGGACCTCCCCAGGTACTGCCAAAATCAGGTACACCTTGTCAGTCCAGTTATTATTACAAAATCGCACTGACAAGCTGGTATATTCTGCCCCCCAAACAGCTCAGGGTCCCATGATCACAAACATCACTTATCTTGGCCATAGCTTTGGCCAAGTGTCAGTACCGTGCTTCAGGCAGCTCTAGAGATAAGTGTGGGGTCAATCTAGAACAGCCAAGAGAAACCCAGGCTGTACAATGTTGAATAAGACCAGTCATCTAGAAACATGGCAGTGATAATTCAGAAAAATAATGACATAAAATTCCAAATTCTACCAGAGAAATTCCCTACTTAGGAGAAAGAATGACGTTTACACCAGACTTTTCATCAGCAATGCTGGATGCAAGAAGACATTGGAACAGTATCTTCAAAGGGCTCAGGGAAAATAACATGTACTTTAGAAGTCTATATCAGATAAATTATTAATCAAGATAATGTGAAATGAAGGTATCTGCAGAGAAGTAGTGACATAGAAAGCTAATAGCATGGGCTCTCTTTGAAAAAACAATTAGATGATATAATGCAGCGTGGAAAAAAGTTGAGCCCATAAGAAAATACTGTAGCAGGATGCAAGAGACAGTGGTCCATTGTCATACTTGCTGCCTTGTATGCTGTCTTGTACCTCTCTTAATGTCCCCGTAGTCTCTTGAATCTACCACCATGATTTAATCCAACCTTCTGCCTATTCTCCACCTGTCGCCATCCTGTGATTGGTTACATTCTAGATTTGCAACCTTAGTGCTACCCAGCTGTCATGCTCTATCCCCCCATCTTGTTCTCTCCTAGACAACCATTTCATACCTCGTCCACTTTCTTCAACCTGCAGTACTTGGAAAAGTCCACACATTTCTATATCTTCCCTTTCCCCAACATTTGTACCTCACTTCTCTGTCTTTACACTTCTTGCTACAAAATAACCATCCAGTGCTCCAGTCAAAGGGTTACCTCATCTTTTAGTTACTCAGATCCATTTGCAATCGTCTTTTATTCCTCTTTTGCTCTCAAGCCATATCGAATACATTAGCTAATCCTGTCCACATTATCTTCAAAAATATATCCAGAACCTACCCATTTCATATTGCCTCCACTGCTACCCCTTTCTTTGAGCTCTTCTTCAGTAGCTGCCTTAAAATGTCTCTTCCATACATTATGGCATGGTATCCTAACTGACATCTTGTTTCCCTACTTGCTCTCCTTAGTCTGTTGACAACCCAGCAGCCAGAATGATCCTGGAGAGATGAAAGCCAGAGCACTTCACTCCTCCACTCAGAACCCGGTTTCATTTAGTCAACATGCACGTCCTTTGAGAGTCTCACCCATCTCCCCCATCCTGTCCCATCATGCCCTGTCACCTCTGTCCTAGTCACTCACTTTTTCTTTCTGCTTCCTGTTTCTCTAACATACTAATCACCGAATCAGTGATTTGCTTAAATCCCCCCAAGAGCTCCCCATTTCTCCCAGACTAAAAGCCAGATTCCTTTTGTGGCCTACAAGGACCTACGGGATGTGGCTCCTTGCTTGTTCTCACCCTGCCCTTACTAACTCTGCCTGCCAGGGCATGCCAGTCTAAGAATGCTCCCTTATGCCTCACCATTGCTGTTTTTCTGTCACTATTTTATTTTCTTCAGATCATTATTATTGACATCGTCTTGTACTTGATTTGTTTGCTCATTTATTAGCTGTTTTCTTCCCCAACTTCTTAAGTTCTGTGACATCAGGGATCTTTGTACTTCATGGTATTATTGCCAATGTCTTTAACAGTGTCTAGCAGGCAAACAGCCAAGTGCTCAGTAGGTATAGGTACTTTTGTTGAATGACTATATGGCATCCAAGGTGAAATGGAATATTTCTGAGAGAAATATGTTAGGAACATTGACCACAGAAGTAGAAAGCCTTAATTGACAAATAACCACAAAGATATTGATTTGATAGCCAAAGATTATACCTATTCAAAGCCATACCCCACTTTACTGATATCTCTGTACCTAGCTTATTTTTTAAAAAGACATTACAAGGACTAGAACAAATAATTTCATGCCCATACACCAGGCAAGTACTGGGCAAATACTGTATGATGCTGCTTAAGATTACACCACCATTGAGTACTTGGACAGTATTCTTATCCCATTCAAAACCCCTTAAAATTTTTCTGACTGGTACATTGAACTTTTCTAAATAAATAGCATATCCTCAGGTTTCAGTACTAGTCATGAGTCAGTAGGGAATGGTTGGTAAATCTGAATCTGTAATAGTAAATGGAAAAAAATCAGTTCATGTAGTTTGTTAAAATATAGGTGTGTTGGGTTGGATTAATACTAATTACTGTTACCAAGCTGGTAGTGGGAAGACTGGTAATGGGAAGTAACGTTGTGTTCAATTTAAAATCATCCTTCTGATAGGAATGGGAAAATGTACAGTGATTTGGGATTCTGCAAGAACAAACTATGCTATAAACAACTGGTATCTGTAGGGGAAGGGAATTCTTCAGGGAGTTTTCCCTGAGTTTGGCCATAGGTAGGTGCCTGGAGGACTTTTCAGAGCAGTCCAACGGTCTTCAGTGTTTATTGTTAGGTGTCATCACTGGACACTTTGTGTGTGTTAGAAGTGTAAGCTGTTCTCTCTGACAGAGGAGCAGGTGAATGTATGTTTAAAAACATTTAAAAACAATTGATTATTAATAACAATCAATTGAACATTGATTGTTACGGATTCAAATAGTTTTGATTCTAGAAAGGACTATGGAGGTCTTAGAAAATTAAACTCTTCCTTTACAGGATGGAAAGTATCATCTAGGAAGAAAGCTAGAAAGGAAAGCTTTAAGAAAAAGCATAAAAGCCATGTTAAAGAGGAGAACCTAAGCTAACAGAGCACGAGGAAGAAAAAATTTTGAATTCAAAATCCTGAGAGATAGTGATTGAGGTAGTGATTTCCCATAGGTAGAATGTTGGCTCCTAAAGATGCCTACATCCTAATCCCCAGAACCTGTGCAGATGTCCCCTTACGTGGCCAGAGGGACTTGTAGGCGTGATGAAGGCTACAGACCTTAAGGTGGGGAGATCATGAGTCCTTCACTGCAGCAGGCCTTTTCTTAACCGTGGTCAGTGGGAGGTGAATATGAAAGAAGGATCAGATGCAACGTTGAGGGAAGAAGACGACCATGAGCCAAGGAGTGCAGTGCCCTGTAGAAGCTGGAAAAGACAAGCTAAGAGCCTCCAGAAAACAGCACATCCCTGCTGACGTCTTTATTTTAGGCCAGTGAGACCCATTTCATACTTGTGATCTACAAAACTAAAAGATAATGCACTTGTTGTGTTTTAAGCTCCCAAGTTTGTGGTGATTTATTACAGAGGTAATAGGGAACTAATACAGTGACTGTGGACCACCAAGATAAAAAAGTACATTCTTTGTCTTGGAAGACTTTTAGAAGGACTCCTAGTTTATGACTGGACCAAGAGGAGGAAACGTACTAGGTGTTGGAGAACAGGATTTGAATTTCTGGATCTTTCTTTTTGATAACCCAATGATGAAAGCCTCCAAGAAGAATGGTAGGAATCCCTTGGTTTTCTAAAGCTGAAGAGTATCTGAAAGAGAAACACAATGAGAAAAAGAAACACTATACTATAGAAGAATCAGTAATGATGATTATATTTGGTAATTCTTAGGAAGCAGTAAGGAGATAAACAGTGTCAACAATGTGTGTTGCTTCAGATATCTCTTCTAGTAATAAATCTGAAAATTAAGTGTGAGACTATAGCTAAAAATATAAAATATCCCTTTTTGTCCCCTCCTCCCCACAAACCACTTAATACTCATTTGCACATGTTCATTGTCATGTCTTTCTCCTGTGAGACTCTTTAAGACTTCTGAGGGTCAGAATTGCATCTTAACCGTTATTGTGTCACTAGCATCATGCATGTAGTAGGCACTTCAGATGTTCATGAATAAATGAATGAACAGTTTATGAAAGAATGAACATGGAGGAAAGAGTCACATGACCTATTTCGAACAGTGGTGAAGGTCATTTGTTTGAAAGTACTGTCTAAAAGGTAAGTGGCTAAATGGAACCAAGCAAAATAATAAAAACTTTCAGAAATGAACAAAAGTATAGCCTCATCTCACTAGTGAGTAATCAGGGAAATTAAACCATCATAACAACAGTAAAATACCTGTGGAAGTTTTTTTGGTCATTAAATTGATCATCATAAGATTAATTTTATTCATTAATGTGAGATAAATGATACTCTGTAACATTATGCATCAAGTATAATTGGTATAGTTTTGTTGATGGCCAGGAAGTTTGGTTGTGCTTATCAAAATGTTTCAGTTAAAGGAAATTTTGTCTGTTTCTATGCAGTGGTCATAAATACCTTTGATGACAGCTAGAAGGATGTTCATAGCAGTATTTTTATTTACACCTTCCTTTCTCCCTCAGAACAAGGAAATCTTTATTCATCAGTAGTAAAATGACCTTGCACATTTAATGTTATGTTCCTGATAAGATACAGGCATGATGTGAACACTGGCTTTTATTTTAACCTTGAAAAGAATTCTTTTACCATGAATGTCTACTATGAGAATTTAATCAGAAAAGTTGTGTATTTCTGACACTTGGGTTATGAGAGACAGGTTTCAGAGTAGCCAATTATTGTTTTGTATTTCATAGGACCAGATAGATGTGTCTTCAAAGTCACGATGAGAAATTTAAATTTAATTCTGGTACCTTTAGTGGCATATTAAAAACCCATGTCCTATTATCCTTTTAGAGACAGTCATTTTTATTCTAAATGTACGTGTGTGTGATATGAAAATGGGGCACTTCCATATGGCAGCACTGTAGGGTTGGTTGAGTTTACATTCCTCACTAAATACGTAGTTCTCAGAATTATTTGTTGAGTTATCCAGACCAGATATTTAGTTCTCAAAATTACTTAAGTTACTGAGTATATGCATTTAGCACCACATATTTAAGCACTTTGTATATTTATAATGTTTGCCACTATCCAGAGAAATTTATAAGGGTGCTAGAGAATGAGCAGTAGGACAGAGTACGATATGGATGCGTAATGAGAAAGCAAAAAATGAAACAGAAGGTAATATCTGTGTGTTTATTGCTTTTCACTGTTTCATGGAGAGTGAAAGTTGAAAGCTGGTTTGCTCATGAGGTACTACTGTATGCAAAGGCTGTGTCACTCAGATCCACACTTTGAAGTCACTCTGAGTCTCTTCAGGCAGCATGATCAAGTGAATGGAATAAGATTCTCTCTCTTACGTGAAACTCCAAGACAGAAACCTGCCTTTCCCTAACAGATACCACAGTTCTGGGCTAAGCCTCTTTGAGACTGGTTTGCTGCAGGTCTCCTATATGTGTGCTGTGAGTTCAGCAGAGATGAAGTGACTTTTTCATGGGGTCACTACAGAAGGCAACTGGAGAAGCTGGGCTTTTTCTTAGGATGTGAATGGTGACAATTATGAGAAATGATTTGTGTTCCTTACTGCCTTATATTCAACATCAGGTTATGGAAGGTTAGTAGACCAAGTGACCTGAGGCAGATGGCTAGAGACCACTGTAGACACTGATCGCAGCTCTAACAAGAGAGAGCCGCCTCTTGAATTGGTAGTAGCAGTGAGCTGTGGAGCAAGGAGACTTACTGACCTGTGGTTTACCAAGGATAACTGGTGTTGGTGCGTACTGGGTGTTGATCTGGCAGAGCTGGACAGGGAACCAGGAGCTTTTGTGGGAATTTCACAGAGGTGCTAGCTTCCATCCTTTATAGTTCATGGATTTGTGTGTTGGCAAGAAGCTGCAGAAGTCACTTCTGAGAGAATTGTTAAAAGGTGCTCCTTCCTTTAGGCAAGTTCCCCACCCCAGAGCACAAGGTTTAAAGACTAGAACGTGGACTCTTTTCACCCTCAGCTGGATATCCTTGTGTAGGTAGGGTACTGTCATTTACAGTGGCCCTGTCAGGAATTCTGGGCTTGGATCAAAAAGCCAGGAAGGACATTTTATGCCTCTGTCAGTTCCACATAGGAGTCTGTAGGCTGCAAACATCCTTCCTGTCCTGATGAGAATTCATCATCTTTATGAACCTGTCTTTGACTCTTCCAGCCTGGTCCTCTGTTGATGCTTTCTCTCTTGATACCATGTTTACTCCTTTCCTTTGTCCCTCTCTCTGCCACTTCCTGTGCTTGGTAAACAACTTTGTACCTGGGATTGAGTTGTCTGAAAGAGAGATTGACTCTACCACTTCATTCACTCAGTGCCCTGGGAGGTCTGCCACATGCCAGGTACCAGTATGGGGAGCACAGCACAGCAGCACACATCCTCAGTGTGCATATACTGGGTTTTGGACAGTTTTTGTATATGGTACATGTTACGATTTATCTTTGCTTATGGAGAAGGCTGGGGATAATATCCTTTATCATGATCAGCAGCATTGTGCTGTAATAAAGCAATACTTGATGAGTGCAGGAACTTTTTTGTATGTCTTAACAAGTTGTATTATAGCTTCAATTAATTGCTAATTTTAAAAAGCAGTGATTATTTTCTTTCATAGACATTTTTCATTTTAATATCAGCATCATTTAAAAAAAAACTTGTCTTATCACCTAAAAGATTGAGAAGGTCACAGTTGGTTGTAATTTGCATACCCTCGTGTAAAGGACAGCAAATGGTTCTGTCATGTTCCCAAATGAGTCTTCCATACATGCTGCCCACTTAACAACATATTCTCTCATGGCCCTCATACCTAGGTAGGTACAGGGCAAGAGTCAGTTCTAACACTTAACCTGTCCATTGCTCCAGGAGAAATTTCACCATCTCTAGGGAACATTCCCTGATGACCTCATTCAAAGGTGACCTTCTCTGAACTCAAGGGAACACATGTTAGAGGCATTAGATTTGGGAGTATTTAAGATTGCTTCATAATAATTTTTAAAGAGCAAGTAATAATAAACTGATTAGGCCCGAATTCAAAGAACTTTTCATGTATTTCCAGTGTCACCAGAAACGTAGCCTTAACTGTGTGTTCCTGAATGTATGTTTTTTTAAAAAAATGATTATGAATGTTGCAGCCTGGTCTTGAACAGTATGATCTCCCTGTTTTTGAAAGTATAACCCCTCCTTGGGTCTGGACCTTAGAAAGTAGTAACTGAAAGATAGCTGGTGTGCTTTGACAGGTTGGGGGGTGATGACAGTGGAATTGCAGAAATGTGTTTTTAAGTTTACATGCCTTGTTAATAAAGAAAGGAGAGAATCTCTTTATGTTTTCTTTTCTAAAACTTCTCCTTGTTCTTGAAAATACTATTTCAGAAACAAAGATTCCTAAGTAATTTATTTAACTTGATATTCTCATACCAAAGATTTCTGATAATTGACTAAAAGAAATGAACATTGCATTACTTTTTAGCATATAGTTTTTTTTTTGTTTTGTTTTTGTTTTGTTTTGGTTTTTTTTTTTTTTTTTTTTTTTTTCAGTTTATAACAGTCATTCTTGTGGGGGGTATGTTTTAGGGCATCATTCAGAAGATAGTGGACAGTCACAAAGTAAAGCATGTGGCCTGCTATGGATTCCGCCTCAGTCACCTGCGGTCAGAGGAGGTTCACTGGCTTCACGTGGATATGGGCGTCTCCAGTGTGAGGGAGAAGTATGAGCTTGCTCACCCACCAGAGGAGTGGAAGTAAGATACAAACCTGCTTTGGTGTGATGCACACTTGATTTCTTTTGCTTTTTAAAAACATGCACAAGATAACAAATGTATATGTTTAATTTTCACACTGCTTGTCATTACAACTCTGGTATAAATAAAATTCGTTAGTAATTATTAACGAATGATCTCTTCTAGACCTCTAGTCTAGCTTTTGGGTATTATTAATTATACTTTGAGCCATCTGATTTCCGTTTTCTGTGATGGTCTTTTGCTAGCTAATTTCTCATCAGTGCTACTTTGTTTCAACCTTTGCTCCCAATAAAACTCAAATCATATATATATGTGTGTGTGTATGTATATATATATAATGTTTTCATCCCTTGTCATCCTTTTATGTAGCAGGAGTTGCTGTCACTCCTAAATACCTTATTAATGGGCTACATAGCTTGTTTTATTATGCCCTGTAATCTAGAGCGCACCTACAAAGAGTGAGTGTATATTTGATATTCACATGCAACGTTAAAATTAGGACGTAATCTCTTAATGACTCCTGTTGAAATGTTAAGGAAAATAAAATTATTTCAGGGCAAATTAAAAGAATTCCCTATAATTGTTCTTTTTCTGGTCTCCCCTACTAATTTTTTTTTTTTTTTTTTACTACTAAGCAACTCAAGATGTTACTAGGAAATTGTACATCTAAAATACATTTGTGAGAGGTATAACTTGTAAAAATGGGCTTCTTTCACTAGGGTTCTAATTTTTATAGGCAATGCTACAGAAATAAAGATAATTGTAGGCTGAAGAGTGCATTCAAAGGGTCAGTAACTTTGAAGGATCTAGATTGATTAGGGTAGACATTTTAAAAGACAAACATGTTAAGGTGAATAATTTTTTTTTTTTCTTTTTTGAGACAGAGTCTCGCCCTGTCACCCAGGCTGCAGTACGGTGGCATGAACATGGCTCACTGCAGCCTCTTGGGCTCAAGCGATTCTCCCACTTCAGCTTCTTGAGTAGCTGGGACTGTAGGCACAGACCGCCACGCCCAGCTAATTTTTGTATTGTTTACAGAGCTGGGGTTTCAGCATGTTGCCCAGACAGATCTCAAACTCCTGGGCTCAAACAGTCTGCCCACCTTGGCCTCCCAAAGTGTTGGGATTACAGGTGTGAGCCACCATGCCCAGCCTGAATAAATCTTATGTTGAATAAAACCCTACGCCAGTTACAGAGTTCATCAAAGAAATATAGCTGTATTTTCAAATTTGTCAGGTAGCTGGTACCAAGCTAACAAAATACTCCTTGAGAATATAGTTTCATTGGTTCACATCAATGGCTAGAGAAGATTTGACTTCCAACTATTTAGTCAATTAAGCAAGTGAGCATTCCAAAACAAAGGATATGTAAAAGTTAGATAAAAATACCTGCAGGGTTTTTGTGTTGTTTTGTTTTTTGAGATGGTCATCTTGCTGTGTTGCTTGGGCTGGTCTTGAACTCCCCTACTCAGGTGATCCTCCTGTGTCAAGGTACTTTTATTTAACACAAGTCTATTATCTTGGTTTATATGGACATGTCAGATGCAGACTTTGTTATAATGAAATCCTTAGTGCTCAATAAAATGGTCATTGAATCTAAATCTCTTAGTAGATTGTTGTTGTTCTTTTAAGCCAATTTATTTACTTTGTTTCAAGTAAAATTGAATAGGCACTGCTTTACTGACTGGGTCTTGAATCCTCAAAAGGAAGAAAAATTTAGGTGGGGTTATATAGAATTTCTCACAGATTGACCCTACTAGATGAAAGGGTGATCGGGATACTACTGCTCATAATAATACTAATGATGATGATGATGATGACATTGATGCCTTGTCGTCATAAGTGGCTGAGCCAGGGACTCTGCCATCTGTATGCTGCTTACACCAGATAACTTAAATATACATTTCATTTAACTGTCCCCAAACCCTAGGAGTTAGAGACTATCGTTCTTATTTTACACATGAAAACAAAATTGATAAACTTGTAGTTACATAGTTTGTGACACAGCTTTGATTCGAACTTAGCTGTCTGGCTTCATAGTACAGGTTTTAAAAATTAGATTGCCTATCTCAATATGGGAATAATGTTGTCTTAAATACTCTGAAAATGTAGCTAGGCTTTTAAGATTAGTGAAAGTTGGCTAGGTGTGGTGGCCCACATCTGCAATCCCAGCACTTTGAGAGGCTGAGGCAGGCAAATCACTTGAGTTCAGGAGTTCGAGACCAGGCTGGCCAACATGAGTGAAACCCTGTCTCTACTAAAAATACAAAAATTAGCCAGGCGTGGTGGCGGGTGCCTGTACTCCCAGCTACATTGGAGGCTGAGGCAGGAGAATTGCTTGAACCTGGGAGGCGGAGGTTGCAGTGAGCCGAGATCATGCCATTGCACTGCAGCCTGGGTGACAGAGTAAGACTCTGTCTCAAAAAAAAAAAAAAAAAAAAAAAAAGGATTAGTGAAAGTTACATGCATAGTAGGTAGAGATGATGACAGAAGAAAATGTGACAGATAAACTGATGAGGTATTTTCAAGAGTTATGAGGGTTAATACTGATGGTTCTGTATATTTAAAAGGGGAGGAATTTAAGTGTCAGTAAGGAAAAGGAGACTATCAAAAATAACCAAGAGAATTTGGATAGTCCAAATAGAAGTTGTAGAAATCACAGGATTGATAAAATAGCAGATTAGACATAGCTGAAAAATTAGTAAACAAGAGAAAAAATTTTCCAGAACATACCACGGAGAGATGAAAAGATGGAAAATGTGAATGCAAGTCTATGTAACATGAAGAATGATGTCAACCCATTTCTAACAGAAACTCAAGAAGAATAGAATAAAAAAGAATGGAGAAGAGGAGGAGATAATCCCAAGAGATAATGGTTGAGAATATTTTATAATCAATGAATGACATGAGCCTTCAAATACAGGATTAACAAAATCCCAAATAGAGTCAATAAAACTAAACTGATGCATTGGCAGATTGTATTAATAGTAAAATATTGTTGTACCAGAGAACAAGACAGGATGACACCCAGAGAAAAATTCAGACTTTTCAACAACAATAATAGATGCCAAGAAAATAGTGGGATAATATGTTCAAAGTAGTGAGGAAAGTAGCTGGCAACCTGTTTTTGTTTGCCCAGTTAAATTGCCATTCAAGAACAGGGTGAGATAAAGACATTTTCCTTAGAGGATTTGCCACCAAAGGAACCTCTTACAAAAACACCTTAGGAAAAACGAAAATCATCTCTGAAGGGGAGGGTCTCGGATGCAAGATGGAAAAAATTGGGTAGATCTAAATATGCATTGGCCCCATGAAACAAGATAGTAACTGATTTTTAATTTGAAGAACGCACACATAAAACATAAGCAGAAAGGGAACAAAGTATATCAGACAAATAGTAACCAAGGGGAAAAGGATTATACCCTGTTAATATCGTATGAAAAAAATTTTAAACATCTTTTAAAGCATCATTAGGGATATAGAAGGCAATTACAATACAAGCTATTATCACCAAGAATTTAATAAATATTCCTTACTTAGCTTTCTGGATACCAAACTGCTTTGGTTTTCCTTCATTGACCATTCATAGCCTTTCTGAACTGTTTGGCCTTTAAATGTTAGGGTGCTCCAGTAACCTGTTTTCTTCTCTTTCTAGTCTCCCTACACCTGCCTTGGGCATTAAATCATACATTTGATTGGATGGAGGCAGGGAAACTGAGAAACAAATTAGTGGAATAACCCAGGCAAAAATCCTAAAAGATGGTGCAGTAGGGGAATAATAATAGAAGTTGTGAGAAACAGTTGTACAGGATTGTATTTTTAAGGAGGGAGCTGATGGGATTTGCTGATGTATCTCTTAGAATGTAAGCCATCCAATTATATTTATAAATCATTTGGGCTCAGAAACTTCCAGTAGCTTCTCATCACACTCAGAGCAAACTCTGGAGTTTCTGATGACCTCACAGTCCTTATCTCCTTCTGCTCTTCCTCTTCCTCCTCCACTCTGGTGACATCAGTCCTTTTGATTTCAGTTTTCCTTCCATTAAATTCTTTAATATATTTTAGAGTTCTTTCCATAAATACTCAAGTTGGGATCTGATGTGATGGTTTCTTCTCTATTGCCAGACTTTTTAATTGTTGAATAATATGGCCCTTCATCTTAATTAACGCTTTCTTTGTCTCACCTCCCTTTTTTCCTTTATCGTTTACAACTTTTCACTTTCTCAACTCTAGCTCCCTGGCTTTCTTATTGGGGCCTTTGAACTTGGTGTGACTCTGCTGAGTATGTTCTGCCTTTTCTAGGCATGGCTTGGACCTCCTCATTCCAGGAATGTGCTTGAATGTTACTGCTTTCCTGTGGTCTCCTACTGGCTACCTAAAGAGCCCACTGCCTACCTGAAGCTCCTTGTGATTTTTCATCAGCTCATATACTCTGTTAATTTTTTACAGACCTCTGAAGACTGATATTATATATGTGTTGTTTATCTTTCTCAGGGACTTTGTTTTCTTCACTCCTCTATTCCTGGTTCTAGTCATGCCTGGTATACAATAGGCACCCAATAAGCAATATTTGAATGAAAACTGACTAAATAATATATTGATAATGCATGTGTAAAAGAAGCCCAGAAGCAAAGTAATTTGATGGTTTAGAAACTTGTTTTCAGCTAGGAACCAAACAATATTAGCTTAAGTTAATAACAGTATTACCATATTAACACATGTTGTTTACTGTGTGTCAGACATTTGATGTAGTTCATCAAAATTAATTTCTATTATGATAGTCTTATCATGTAGGTACTCTCTTTTTGCCATTTTGCTTGTGAGAAAGCCATACTTTGGAAAGGCTTAATAACTTTTCCTGGAGATCATATGGCTTAAATGGGTGGTATACTAGAAATTGAATCCAAACACTCAGCTGTTTCTTCTCTACTCCTGTATTAGATATGTAAATACAAGAAGCTGAACATGACAAATTTTTTTCTGTCACCTGCAGACATCTAAGTTCATAGGTGGGTATGTGAGGGCAGCTGCAGTTCTGGCTTTAATTCTGAGAAGTAAGATCTCTAGTCAAATGAAAGTGCTAGGACTCAGCAATATAATTGGGTATAAATTTTGATTTCCATGACGTTTTTGGACATAGCTTGTTCTTTTGTGCTATCTGCTATAGAGTCTATTCATACTGTTGAATAAACCTGAAATACAGACTTGTTCACTTGGTCTTCACTCTTCAAACAGCTTGGTAAGCTAGCTTGCAGCACACGTATTTGGTCATAACTGTCTCAGGCAGGATGACCTTAGAGAGCTCTTTGTCATGACATGTCACTGGGAGAAAGGAAGAGCTGGATTGATAAATGGCTATCCATGTAGGAAGAAGAGCAACAACAACATTGGATACTACCTCAATACACAAATCTATGAGATGTACAAGTAGTGAAACATCACATGCAAAACTGTAAAAAAATAAGTTTAGTGGGAAGTATAGTTGAATGTATCTCTGGCCCTGGGATAGGAAGATTTTCTTAAGAGCTCCAAAACGTTCACTATAAAAAGAAAGGCTGGCAAATTCTACTGTACTAAGATTAGGACATTCCGCAAAAGATATATTTTGAAAGTACAAGAACAAGTTGCAAAGTGGGAGAAGATATTTGTAACACATGCAGTCAACAAAGGGTGGTGGTAAGAGTTCTGATCAATATAAAAATTGCTGACTGGGCACTGTGGCTCATGCCTGTAATCCCAGCACTTTTGGAGGCCAAGGTGGGCGAATCACCTGAGGTCAAGAGTTCGAGACCAGCCTGACTAACGTGGTGAAACCCCCGCCTCTACTAAAAATACAAAAATTACCAGGCGTCATGGCGGACGTCTGTAATCCCAGCTACTGGGGAAGCTGAAGCAGGAGAATCGCTTGAACCTGGGAGGTAGAGGTTGCAGTGAGCCGAGATCGTGCCACTCCACTCCAGCCTAGGCGACAGAGCGAGACTCCGTCTCAAAAACAGAAAAAAAAAAAATTGCAGACACTTCAGTAATAGATACACAAGAGACATGAAGATGTTATCATAAAAGAGAAAATAAGTTTGGCCAATTAACATAGAAGGCACTGTCAACTTCATTATTGATCAGGGAAATGCAAATCGATACCTTAGTGAAACTCTACCTCCAGTTGGCAAAAAGTCAGCTGTCTGACACTCTCTGTAGCTGGAGAGGCTGTGGACCTGACAGTCTTTTACCTGCACTGCTAGGGAGAATGTTTTAATAAATTGGTGAAACCACCTGGGAAACCAGCTTGGCATTCTCTTGAATGTCAAGTGATTACATGCCCTACCATCCTGCAGTTCCCTTTCAAGTTCTCTCTTTCAGAGACTCTAGCTCTAGTTTCTATACTAGGCTATAACTGCAATAATGTTCATGGCATAAGCAGTGACAAGTCACTTGGGGATTATTCACACAGTAGAATGTCACACAAGTTGAAATGAATGAACTACAGGTACAAGTAACAATATGAATGAAACTTAGCTGTATAACATCATGTGACAAAGTAAGTCCTAGCACAACTTTGTGAGTACGCTAAATACTACTGAATTTCACACCTTAAAATGGTTAATATTTTATGTTAATTTTACCTCAATTAAAAAAGTCCTGGAATATGACATACAGCATGACACTTTTTATAAAGTAAAAAGTGAAAAAACCTAACGAGATTGTTGGGAACACATGTTAAGACCATATGGAACATGTAAATAAGGGAATGGTAAATTCCTTCAGAAGTCACTGGAAGGCCCAGAGCCGTGGCAGGGGTAGCCACCAGCTCTTCCCAATCCCCACAGGCTCCAGGGGAACTTCTGTTGACCATTAGGGTCTGAGGCTGAGTTTGAAAATCACTCCTGAAGTGTGCATGTGCACCCCAGCCTGTCCCCAGCGCTTCCCCAGTCAGTCCAGGGGCAGGTGGGAGCTTACCTGTTTCTAGGATGCTGGGAGAGCCCAGTTAAGTAGGTAGTATTTGTTAGGAGCTTGAGTCAGGCAAAAATGTTTAATCAATTTTGTATTTATTCACTTATGGTCAACATATTGATTGTATAATGTAGGCTATAAAGTATACATAAAAGTAGAAAATTTAAAAGCATGCAGCGGGCCAGGCGTGGTGGCTCACACCTGTAATCCCAGCACTTTGGGAGGCTGAGGCAGGTGGATCACTTGAGACTGTGAGTTCAAGACCAGCCTGGCCAACATGGTGAAACCCCGTCGCTACCAAAAGTACAAAAATTAGCCAGGCATGGTGGTGCACACGTGTAATCCCAGCTACTTGAGGGGCTGAGGCTGGAGAATCGCTTGAACCTGGGAGGTGGAGGTTGCAGTGAGCTGAGATAGTGTCACTGAGTAGCTGGGACTACATCCTTACGCCACAACACCTGGCTAATTTTTTGTATTTTAGTAGAGACAGGGTTTCACCATGTTGGCCAGGATGGTCTTGATCTCCTGACCTCATGATCTGCCCACCTTGGCCTCCCAAAGTGCTGGGATTATAGGTGTGAGCCACTGTGCCTGGCCTAGTATGGTTTATTTTTTTAAAGAAAATCTTGGTTAAATAGTTGTTTTGAGACAAGGTCTTGCCTTGTTAAACAGGCTGGAGTGCAGTGGTATGATCATAGCTCGCTGTAGCCTTAAACTCCTGGGTTCAAGTAGTCCTCCTTTCTTAGCCTCCCAGTTACCTAGGACTAGAGGTGTTTGCCATCACACTCAACTAATTTTTAAAATAATTTGTTTGTACAGACAAGGTCTCATTGTGTACTGGGATCATAGGCGCATGCCATCACGGTTGGCTGATTTTATTTTATTTTAGTAGAGACAAGGTCTTGATATGTTACCCAGGCTGATCTCAAGCTCCTGGGCTGAAGCAGTCCTCCTGCCTTTGTCTCCTAAAGTACTGAGATTACAGGCATGAGCCACCATGCCCCACTTCTGATTCAAAGGTCTTATTTCAGGTTTTATTTTGTTATTGCTTTTAATGGTTGTCATAGCTAAAAGTATTCTTGACAAAGATATGCATAATTAAATAGAAGGGGTACCAGTATCTTTGTGTGCTTAATGATGATACTGATTTTTCATTGCCAGTCACCAATTATGTAAACATTTGTTGAAATTTGGTCAATAAATTTCCATATTCCATGATCATTCCTTTCAGTATAATTGATTTTGAAATATATTTTCATATTTTAACATCAGATTTTTTTATTTAGTGGAGAAATTTTGAAATGTTAGAAAATTTTGTTTTCAGATTTTTTATGAGCAGTGCATCCACTCCTTTTTGGTGACAAAGTTATAAATTGATGGAAATAGTTTAGACTTCAAAATGGTCTGTCCATAACATGACAGCATGCTTTTCTTTGTTGTTTTTAATTTTAATCAGGATTAACATTTTGGCCAAATAATTCTTTGTTGTAGGGAGCTTTTGTATATGTTGTATGGCTTCTACCCACTAAATGATAGGAGCCCACCACCCCACCCTCTTCAGTTGTAACAGGCAAAAATGTGTCCAGTTACTGCCAGTTGTCCCCTAGGGGAAACAGGAAGGGGGCAGAATCTCCCAAGGTTCAGAACTACTGCTCTAAAATATAACCAAAAGTTGTTAAAAATCTCCAAAAATTATTCTTAATTTCATAAACTATCCCATTAGTATTCAAATTTTAACTTGTTTATTAAATATCATGACAAAATTTTTAAAGATAAATTATTTGAATTAGGATCCAAATTAGGTGTGCCCTTTGTCTTTTAAGTCTTTGTAATCTATAACATCTTTATATCCAGTTTCTCCCCTTTGCTTGCAGTTTGTTAAGGAAGCTGTGTTGCTTGTCCTACAGGTTTCCCCTCATCTGGATTTTGTCCGTGACATCTGTGTCCATTGTCTTTGATGCCTTCTGATGTCTTCTCTGCAAAGCCTTTGTGTCATCTTTACTAAGTTAATTCTTACTCTATAATATATTGCTATTATGTGGGTTATATTTTATTATTTCTGTTTACCACTTATTTCTAAATTGAGCACTTAGCTCACTTGTTTTCATTCATTCATGTTTACTGATAAATGTATTTTACTATAAATGGTCATTTTAGTTGTGTCTATGTCTCACAACTTTGTTAGATAGTGTTTTATTATCAATCAGTGTTTTGATATTTGTTTCAAGATTTTTGGAAGAAACCAAGGGGTGATTAAGTGTATTGTTTAGGTTTCTGCCATATGTGCTTATAAAAGAAAAGATTATTGGTTATTGATTTTATTTTGTTGCATTATAGGAAGCATAACAATTTTATGGTGTTGACTTTTTTTAACTATGTTGAGATGATTCTTTGTGCCTTAGTACTTAGTTGATGTTTTCATTCCTTTTGAAAAGAAGGTATGTTCTGTTATTATAAAGAGGGCGGGTGTGTTTGTGTACATTTTTTCAAGCTTATCGTCATGTTATTTGAAGATTATATTGTTCATACTTTGCTTGAAAAGTGACATTTAATGTATTTAATTGTATATATTATACACATATATGTTTTGCTACATGCTCATCTCAAAGAAAGTATTCAACTGTAATTGTCGATTTACTTTTTTTTTTTAGTAATTCTGTCTTGTGATTCTTTATGATTTTAAGGCTATGTTGTTAAGTACATATAAGTTCATGATTATAATATCTTCATCTATTCTTTCTGTTACCAGTACCTAGTGCCCCTCTTTCTTTGTTTATGTGTTTCCTATCAGCAACATATTTATTGTCTTTGTGTATGAATTGATGAATTGTAGCCCATTAAATTAGAGGTGTGCCCATTCCCAATTTCATTCTCTATTCTTTGCTTCCGGAGGTAACTGATATCCTGACTTTTGTCATAATCATTTTTTTGCTTAAAAAAAAAAGGTTTTACTACTTATGTATTGTCCAAGTCTGACATCGTGATCATTCATTATCTGAATCAGAAAAAAGTGGCTTTATGATGCTGTTAAGGGAAAGCTGTGCTGATCAGTCACAGTCTCCCTGAGCAGAACACACTACTGATTCTATACAAGGTTTTTGGAAGTATGAAGTTGAGAAGCTGGCCAACTTTCAGAGGTGGAAATGGGTTGGCATCAATTTTAGATGTATGGTTACCCAAGTTAGACTGTTCATCTTTAGAAGCATGTTCTTTAGAGTTAGTTCCTGTTTGGCTAAATTAAAGAAGAAGCTGCCAGTCAGTTAGTTGACTTGCAGATGCGTGTTCATTGAGGCAAGATATCAGGCGCTTTAAAATTAGTTTCAAGTGGGTCTGTGGCTGTACAACTCATATTTATTGACCAAGCTGATTTAAAACTGGTTTTGTGTGTGTATGGGTTGGGGGGGCGGGGGCGGGTGTTTGTCACCACAGCTACAAAAGGGTCAGTCTTGTATATGTGGGAATTTAAAAATTCTCAATATAATATCAAAAGTTGCAAAATAGTACACAGAAATCCTGTGTACCCTTCAGCCAGTTTCCCTAAATATTAAAATCTTAAATAATATAGCTAGTAAAACCAGGAGATTAACATTGATACAGTCCTAGTAACAAATCTATATGACTTATTCACATTTCCCAATTATTCCACTTACCGTTCCTTTTCTGGTTGAGGATCAATTCAGAATACCACATTACGGTCATGTCTCCTTAAGTCTTCTCTAATCTGAGACAGTTCCTTAATCTGTGTCATTATGACCTTTACATTTTTGAAGAATACTCACTGGTTATTTGTATTGTGTTCTTCAATTTGAGTTTGGTATTGTTTTTATGATTAAGGTTTTGCGTTTTTGGCAAAACGGCTGCAGTCAAGATGTCATACCTTTCTCATTGCATTGTATCAGGAAGTCCATAATGATGGCACAACTTAATTTACAGGTGGTTCTAACTTGGATCATTTGGTTAAGGTAATGGAAGCCAGGTTTCTCCACTACAAGGTTACTGTTTCCCCTTTATAATTAAGAAATATCTTCTGGGAAGATACATAGATACTGCAACATTCTGTTTCTCACTTTCACCCACTGATCTTAGCATTCATTGATGATTCTGTCTTGCAGTGATTATTACTGTAATTTTTGCTAAATGATAAATTTCTATTTCCATTCTTCCCTTTTTTAAAAAAATTGGAAGTCTATTGTAAGAACAGACTGTTCACACCACATTTTTTTTATGAGGGCATCTGTGTTGTGTGAAGTTAATGCTTTGTTTACTTCACTAAACACGGACTAGCTAGCTAACCCTTCTCAGTATCAGGACTATCATATTCTTAATCTAGCTCAGCTTTTCAAAAACATACCCTCTCCCTCCTTATCCTCAGTTGGTTACTTTTGGGTGTCTTAGTGCTCATATTTGGTGGTAAGACTGAGGAAGCTGGATGACAATGGCATGAATAGGAATATATTGCCTAAGAGTAGGAACGAAAGAATGATTTTATTTGGGGCATAGTATTTAGCTGCTGTTGGGAATCCATGGAGAGGCGTATAGCAGGGAAGTGGAAATATGTATCAGGATGCAACTAGACTCTTAAAATGGCAAACAGACATGTAAAGAAACTGACGAGTTTCGTGTAAGAGCAGAGTGGGGATGTCAGCTCTAGTGGGGCACGAGAACATGGTGTCAGGCATTGCAGTTTAAGGACTGAGGAAAGTTTCAGTAGAGTTTTGTGTGAAATATGCTAGACTGTAGTGTGTTGAAGCAGGGAACAAAGTTCTTTTTAACTTTCGTTTTAGGTTCAAGGGTACATGGGCAGATTTGTTACATAGGTAAACTACGTGTCACAGGGGTTTGGTTTACAGATTATTTCATCAACCAGGTATTTTTCTGATCCTCTCCCTCCTCCCATCCACCACTCTTGTTAGTCCCCAGTGTCTTAATTCCTGCTTTATGTGGATGTGTTCTCATTGTTTAGCTCCCACCAAAATTCTTAACATGATCTAAAGGCCTTGTCTAACTTCACATAAGCAGGCTTGAGTTAAGTTCTTTTCTGTTTTTAAGACATAGGTGCCTTTTCTTCGTATCATTGTGCCTTTAAATATTCATGCATGTTCTTGCTGGAGAGGAATCCCATGCCTACCTCTAAATAGCTGTGGGATCTAGGGAAGATTATGTAATTCCCTAAAATTCTCTTGCCAATCTGTGAACATAAGGTGAATATTAACCTGGCTATTATTTCTCACCCAGAATCTTGCTGTCTCCTCCTAGTCTCCCTCCTTCTTCCTTTGGTCCCCATTGTCTCTTCTGCATGGTGTATACCCTAATCATGAAAAATGAAAACCCTGTGATGTCATTTCTCTGTGCACAGCATGCCATTGACTTGCTTTCTCATTGAGAAAGAACCCGACTATCATGACTTGGTAAGGGTCTGTGTGAAGCTTCATTTCTACTCACTGCCCTCATGCAGCCTGCCCCAGCTACACTTGCCTTCCCAAGCATCCTCCAGCTGCAGGGCCTTTTCATAGTCTGTTCCACCTGACTAGAACACTTTTTCTCTGCATATAACTGTATAACTCCCTTCCTCATCTCCTTTATTTAGATCTTTGTTCAGATATCATCATATCAGAGTGTCCATCATTGACTACCCTTTATAAAAATAATACTTAATCATTTGTTATTCCCCTTTGATTTGTTTTTATGACATTGACTGCCATCTCACATATATTTGTGTATTTGCTGTCTGACTTCTGCCACAAAAATGCAAACTTTTTGGGAGTTAGCACTTTGCCTGTTATTCACTGTTGAATTTCCAACCACTCCAACTGTACCTGAGACATGATCTGTGCTGGAATAAACAGTTATCGAGTTATCACTAACAATAAACCTTAGAAACCATTTATTATGATATGCCAGTGACTGTTCTGGGTGTTTTGTGTTTACTGACTCATTTATTTCTTGTAACATCCTTATAAGGAAATTGAGGCACAGAGAAGTGATAGCTGACAGTGAATAAGTGGCATGGCCCAAATTCAGGCATAGGTGATCTTTATCTAGAGCCCATGTTCCTTATGCTTCTCTAAAAAGAAATCATCTGTGTAAAATGCTCGTCACAATTCCTGTCATACACTAAATGGACAGAAAATGTTAGTTGATGATCACCAGCAGCATCAGAATGCTGGATGTTAAGAGAATGGATGTGGAGCCAGGCTGCCCATTGTTTCATGTTGAACCTTTTTCCTTATCTTTAATATGGGAGCTTCCCCCAACCAAAAAAATAAATAAATAAAATGGGAGTCCCATTAATACCAAAAGCCTCCTTGGACCTGTTTGAATCGTTGACTGGAACTGATAACTTTTTGCTGAGCATTTTTTTTTAGTCTGCAGAATGCGAATAATTATACCTTTCTCCTCTGATTATTAAATTGATTAAGAGAAATAGTGCCCAGGCCAGATGTGGTGGCTCACACGCCTGTAATCTCAGCACTTCGGGAGGCCAAGGCAGGCGGATTTGTTGAACTGACTCAGGAGTTCGAGACCAGACTGGGCAACATGGCAAAACCCCAGCCCTACTAAAAATACAAAAGTTAGCCAGCCATGGTGGCAGGTGTCTGTAGCCCCAGCTACTTGAGAGGCTGAGGTGGGAGGATCGCTTGAGCCCGGGGAGGCGGAGGTTGCAGTGAGCCGAGATTGTGCCACTGCACTGCAGCCTGGGCAACAAAGCCAGACCCTGTCTCAAAAAAAGAGAGAGAAATAGTTCACATAAAGTAGTTACGTGCCTGGTAAATCCTAAGTTGAAAATAAATGAAATCTGTTATACTTACATAATAACCCAATGTAGAATATCTACAGTAAGTTATTGAACTCTGTCTGAGAGTAAAAGTGAAATGAAACCGAATTGTTTGGCAATTTTGTATTTTAATAAGATGGACATTTATAAGTCTTAGCAGAACTTGCGTATGTGTACCAAACTTTGCTTCCTCAAAAGATTGCATTGAAATTTTATTGAGTGGTTAAAAAAAAATACCATTAAGCCACAGAATGGAAGAGGATATTCACTATGTCTAACAAAGGCCTCAAATCTAGAATATATAAAGAACACCTACAAATCAATAGGTGGTGAAGGAGAAAAGCTAGACCATTTAGTCGGAAAACAAGGACAAAAACTTGAACATGGCCAGGGGTGGAGGCTCACGCCTATAATCCCAGCACTTTGGGAGGCCAAGGTGGAAGGATCCCTTGAGACCAGGAGTTCAAGACCAGCCTGGGCAGCATAGTGAGACCCTCTCTCTACAAAAAATAAAAAACTCAACAAGCACTTCACAAAAGAGGATAGTCAAAATGACCAAAAAGCATGTGAAAGTATTCACTTTCATTACTTACCAAAGAAATGCCAATTAAAATCACCATGCACTATCACAGTATGCCAATCAGAGTGAGTAAAACAAAAAAGTTAGAAAATGCCAAGTGGAGGCAAAGATATAGAGGAACTGGAACACCCCCATGCTGTTGGTGGGAGTTTGACTTGTTACAACCTCTTTGGCATGCTGTTTGATAATATCTACTAAAGCTAATGGATGTATTTGTTATCCAGTGCTCCTAGGTATATATGCAACCGAAATGTGTACATACGTTTACCAGAAGACATTTATAAAAGTGTTCATATGGGTAGAGCCACACATACACATAAAGAGAGAATGAGAAAGATAAAGAGCATTCTGGTGATGTTGGTTTGTTTTATCCATTCTTAAAGCTTAGCTTTCTGAACAAGTAAGAGTACATACTGTGCAGTTCCACTGATAAAAATTTAGACGTGGGAAGTCGTGGAAGATGTTAGAAGTCAGGGCAGTTCTTCCCCTGAGCAGTGGTGGAGAATGACCCATGGGTTGGAAGGACTTCTGGGCCTCTTACTATGCTCTGTTTCCTTGAATCACTGAGCTGTAGCACATTTATGATATGTGCTCTTTTTTTGTGCTAAAATGTTTAAAAATTACATTTAAAGATTAATTGATGATAGCTTTTATTTGAAATCATCTTTCAGAGTAATTAGGAATGCTATACTCACAATATTATAATTGTAGACTGTAAATTGAGAAAATGACTGATTTCTAATTGTTCTGTTTTGTGAATTATTTTTAGATATGAATTGAGAATTCGTTATTTGCCAAAAGGATTTCTAAACCAGTTTACTGAAGATAAGCCAACTTTGAATTTCTTCTATCAACAGGTATTAGAGACTGCTTTCATATACTTTTTTGTTTGTTTCTTTGAATCCTATTTATTGCATATTTTTATTTTCAAATTTGATTAAAGCTCACGTTTGGAGGAATAGAAATTTGTTGCTGAATGGCAATAAGAATCTTTTAACCAATAAGAAATTATTAATTTTTTTGTTCTTTGTGAGCTTTTGTATACTTGAGCAAATCTTAAAAGATAACTTCTATTATATGGAGACAGTAGGTCTACAATCATTTCTTGAGCTTTAATTTAAATACAATTATTATGCCTGAATAGCAATGAATTTGTCATAGGTAGAGATTGTTGCAGAGCCAACTATACCCATATAAAATTGATCTGCTTTGCTTTTTACCCCGTAAGGCATTAGATAGACAATAAATACATGTAAGGTAAAATGCCAAAAATGCTAATAAACATCAGAAAGACATTTGTACATATAATTTTGTCATTAAATGTACTTGGTAATTTTTTTTGCTTTAATAAAAATATTTATTAACTAACTATTCTGGACCGGGAATGCAGAAATAAATCGCATAATCCACACCTTTAAATTCTTCTGTCTAGTGGAGGATTCCTGTCATCAGTTGCTTTGTGTTTGAGCCTTTGCTGTTAGTAAGCACAAATGACGTGACTGTGCATAGAAGAGTCTGCTGACCCAGTATAGATTTGGTATTGAGATGGCTCCACTGAAAAGCATCATTTGAGGAGTCTTCAACTTTGTAGAAAAGGAAGAGTTGTGTTTTCTAGACAAGAACACGGAGGGGAGAGAGAAAATGTGGTGCAGTCTTAGCTAAAATAGTTCATAACATTTTGGTGAGAGAGGGACCACAAACATTATGTAAACAGGGGTTTAGGTTTTCTCCTGCAGATATTGGGAGCCATTTAAAAACGTTAGTTAGCAAATGCCGTAACCAGAATTTTTTTTTTTGAGACCACTCTGATTAGATGGCAGTATCAGGGATAGATTGAATTTTTAAAAGGTTGCAAGCATGTTTAGAGGCTCTTCAATCATTCTGGCAAGAAATTAAATAAAAGTGAAAGTATATTATAATAAGCAAATTTAGTGGATGGATTTGATAGGACCCAGAGATTGAACTAAAACAGAATATGAAAATAAGGAAGAAAAAGGCTTATTATGTAAGTCTAGGCACTTACTGCCATGAAAGAGCAATGGTGGATTAGATTCAAAAGAAGGAGGTAAGAAGGTAAGTTGTTCTATATTTTTCTATGTGAGATAATGATAGATGTTACCATTTAAAAGATTCAAGCTGAGAGAGTAGGAAGCTAAGGAAGTTTCCAGCTGTTGGCGGGGGTGTGTCTGTTTTCATCTTGTCTGTGAAGAAGTAGTCACATAGGAGATAGGTTGGGGCCTGCTGCTTTACCTAACACCTTTTTGGCACCAGCGACTGGTTTTGAGGAGGACAGTTTTTCTACAGACCAGGGCCACAGGGTGTGGCAGGGTGGGGTGTGGGGGAATGATTTCGGGATGAAACTGTTTGACCTCAGATCATCAGGCCTTAGGTTCTCATAAGGAATGCGCAACCTAGATCCCTCACACGTGCACCTCACAACAGGGTTTGCGCTCCTATGAAAATCTTATGCCACTGCTTATCTGACAGGAGGCAGAGCTCAGGCGGTAATGCTCGCTTGCCCACAGCTCACCTCCTGCTGTGTGGCCTGGTTCCTAATAGGCTACTAACTGGTACTGATCCATGGCCCAGGGTTTGGGGAACCTTGAGGTAAGGGATTGGTGACAAGTTTTGAGGGTTTACGATAATACAGAGTTGAATATGAAAGGGAGTTAAGTTGGTAAAATGGAAAGATTAAGAAGGCGTTTTTAGATTCCAGCTGAGCTTATTGGAAGCCTACTCATTGCAAAAATAATTTTCATCTTACAGACTGGTTCTCATGTATTATTACATCTCATCCTTTAGGAATCTGTTGAACTTCATATTTTGGCGAAGGAGATAACAAGAGAGTTTAAATAACTCATGTTTATTTAGCATTTTTCTCTTGGTATGTGATCTGTGTCACTACTTGTATTACTTCTTTGAAAAAAAATTCTACCCACCGAGGAAATACATGGGTACTTTAGTAACATTGATTTCCAGAATGCATAATACAGGCTTAAGTGACTCCTTTTTATAATTTCTAGGCTAACCTAAAAGTCTGCAACTTTTTTGTTCCTAGTTCACACTGTTACTAGGTTGTCCTACTTTTTCTTTGTTGGAAGACTTTCCTATATGATAAAGTGAGTACTGCACATACCAATGTATCCCAGATTTTCTTTTACTAATAGGATATATTTTATGGTAGTCTATAGAATTCAGTTCAGCGGTCTTTATAAAACCCAAGAGAAAGCTAAATGTAATGAACCTATTAAAAATTCAGTCTATCCCTGATACTGCCATCCAGTCAGAGTGGTCTAAAAAAAATTCTGATCAAGGCATTCACTAAGTATAGTTAAGTGTTAATGAAATTTCGCTTAAAGGAATATGCAGTGAATACAGTCGTGTGCTTGTTCTGTATATAATAGCTCTGTGATTTTAGGTACCTCTGAGTCTCTTTGTGCTTAATTGTTTCATATACTAAAATATAGATATGGAATAACTATTGTATAGGACTGTTAAGTTCATTATATGAGATAAAATTGTCTGCCATATAATTGCCCAGTGATATTTTGAATTTCAGTCTGTAGACAGTAACAGACTTAGAGGATTCAGCATTTGCCATTTGCATATCACCATACAAGTGTGAGCTGCACATTATGGGATGGTACATAGCTTGCCTTTTCCTTCCTATGTGCACTCTGTAGAGCCTTTCAGCTCCTCCACCCCACTCTTTGCTGTCATTCATTTCTACAGTTTCTCTTCTTGTCTTTTTAATTTTTAAAAATCTGTTAAATTATATGGTACATTTTAATATTTTTAAAAATTTTATTTTATTTTTATAGAGACAGGGTCTTGCTCTGTTGCCCAGTCTGGAGTGTAGTGGCATGATTATACCTCACTGCAGCCTTGAACTTCTGGGCTCAAGCAATCGCCCTGCCTCAGCCTCCTGAGTAGTTGGGACTACAGGTGCGTGCCATGATGCCTCGCTAATTTTTAAAAAGTCTTTTGTAGAGATGGGGGTCTTGCTATGTTACCCACCCAAGCTGGTCTCAAATTCCTGTCCTGAAGCAGTCCTTCCGCCCTGGCCTCCCAAAGTGCTGGGAGTATAGGCATGAGCCACCATGCTTGGCATGGCACACTTTTAGAAAGTTCAAAAAATAATTCTAAAACATTACTTAAATTATCTCTATTCTAATAATCACTTTCATTTTGTGTATCCTTTTGTAATAGTTTATCAAGTACATACATTTTAAAAGAAAGTATAGTCATGGTCACATTCCTTTCCCATTGGTGATTGGCAATGTCGTTGTTTTTCCGTGCTAGTATTTCAGGCTCAAGTAATGGTAATTGGAGGAAGTTAAAGGTGGTACCAAAGTCATAAAAAGGGAAGGGAGGAAGAAAGAAAATACTATGATTGTCTGGGTGCGGTGGCTAACGCCTGTGATCCCAGCACTTTGGGAGGCCGAGGCGGGTGGATCACCTGAGGTCAGGAGTTCGAGACCAGCCTTGGCCAACATGGCAAAACTCCGTCTCTACTAAAAATAAAAAGATTAGCAGAGCATGGTGGTACACACCTGTATCCCAGCTACTGAGGAGCTGGGGCAGGAGAATAGCTTGAATCCAGGAGGCAAAGGTTGCAGTGAGCCAAGATCATGCCACTGCACTCCAGCCTGGGCGACAGAGCAAGGCCCTGTCTCAACAAAAACAAAATACTATGATTTGTCAAAATGCATGAATTGGCCAGTATACCAAAAGCCTTGAGTATGTTCACGTCCTCCAGTTTGTTGGGTGACCCTGTTGACTGCCATCTTTACCGTAAGTAAAAAACAGTTGAAACGTTGGCAGTTCCCTATGATTGGACCTAATAATTCTACTTTTATGAATTTATTCAAAAGAAATAAGATTTACACATGTATGCATACATGTACAAGGGTGCTTATAAGCATATTACAGTAACAAGAAAGAAATTAGAGGCGTTGCAGATGTCTTTCAACAGGTTAGTTGTACTGAGTTTCAAATTTATGTATCCCTCATTAACAGGGAGGTACAACTGTTCATGGATGTGGAAGGTATTAACAGCATTAAATGCTGTTGTTTAAAACAGGCCATGTATAAAACCTGTATAATTTTCGTTTATGTGGGAAAAAAATGCATATTTTTAAATTTTAGCCTGATCTGGCAAGAAAGTTTTGAATATACTATGAGTTTTTATTGCTGGTTTGGTAAGTAATTATATATTTGACTTCTCCTGGTAAAGTCTCAATGCAGAATCTGCCCTGCTACATGCTTCGCAATTCCAGAACTGTTATAAGTGATCCATATATTGTCCTGCACAGGCAGCACCCAACTTGGGAAAGGGTTTAATTCCAAAGTTGCAAAATCAGTTTGGAATCCAGAGGTTTCTGCTATTTAAACACACATGTCGGGGGTGGGCGGGAGGGGGGGCACAGATAAATCAGTAATTGTCCTCATCAGCTTTCTATAGCCAGCGTATATTTATCTGAGAATGCAGCTGAAACGTTACGTAAGTATTGTGTGTGAGAACCTTCACTGAAGTGTGAGATAAATTAGTCACTTTATAATGGCCTCAGAATTTGATGATACGCATTCTCTAACCTTTAAAGTCTTTAATATTTGATGCAAACATTTAAGATGGATACATATATACATAACATACTTCCACTGAATTCTAGGCTAAATCAGTGATTTTTATGGGGCTCAGAATTTGATGACATTGATAATTTTTAATTCTGTAGATTCTATAATATCTGATATATGTTTATTCTTTTATAAGGTGTGATAATTGATGATAAAATGAATACCCATGACCCTACTGCTCAGATGAAAAGAACATCCTGATACTTCCCTGTCCCATGTTCCTGTGGCCCACCTCACTGTACACACTGCCCTTTCACTCCACTCAGTGTACCATTATCCTGAATTTTGTATTTATCATTCCCATGCTTGCTTTTGTTTGCCAGTTGTCATGCTTTACAACATGTTTTTATTCTTCAGTTCTACCCTTAAGGTAAAAGCTGACCTTAAGTTCTCCCATAGACTTCTCTATTCCTGTCATTAGCTTGAGTATTTTCTGTTTTGTTTTGTTTCCCAGCTCACGTAAGCATTCAAGAAGATTTTAAAAAAATAATTTGTTCAGCGGTTTTAGTTGCTTTCAGCTAGGTGGTTGGTCAGGACATTCAGTATACCTTGTTGGTATAAATGGAAAAGTGATCATCCGTGGATTTAATAATTTATCTCTTTTGGCTCATTTTGAAAATAATTTTGCATTGTAGTCAAGAGACTGTGGCTCATTTGATACTAATTGTTTAAGTTCCGTATGGACTTGTTTCATCACCTTGCACATATTTAGATATTGTTAAGGTTCCAGTTTTGCTTGAGTGGAATGTGTCTTCTGTAATTGTTTGGCACAGGCTCAATAAATAGCCATTATTTCAAGATTTTTAATTGTGTTATTTAGATCCATTTTTCTAATGTTCTTTTTTTCTCCTGCTTGAAAAATAGTATTGCTGGGTACACAAATCAGGGTAGGCATTTTCTGTCAGTATTTTGATGGTTATTTCCTACTGTCTTTAATTGTTTATTTGCTGTTGAGAACTCAGCTCTCATTTTTTCTTTCTGTGTAGGTGACCTGTCTTTTCTGTCTGGATGGCTTGAAGATCCTTTTTTCTCTTTGGTTTTTACAGCTTCATTACAAACGAGTCGTGGATTTTCTTTTTTTCTTTCTTTCTTTCTTTTTTTTTTTCTGCCCTTGCTTGATCTGTGTCATGCTACATGTACCTCTAGGGGGTCATGTCGTTTTCATCATTTCTGGAAATCTCTTAGTTGTTGTCTATTCTGATATGACCTTTTCTTAGTTTTTTGTTATTTCTTCTGGGATTTTGGGTTAGATCTATGTTAGAACTCCTCAGTCTCTCCATATGTGTTAGCTTGTTTTTCATGTTTTTAATTTCTTGTCTTTCTAAAGGATACATAATTCAGGTCAGTCTAGTCTGGCAGATTACCAGCTCTCCTCAACCGTGACCAGTTTTATGTTTGGTGCATTTGTTGATTTTTTTGCTTATGATTTAAAAAAAGTTTTTTAAATTGCCAGGCCACTTTGTATGGCCCTTATTATTTGCTAATCTATCTGCCTTTTATTAATATTTCTTTTACCATTTCATATGTAATGAATGTCTCTATTCTGAATGTGAATTATAGCATCTGAAGTCCTTGGGCTCTTCACGTTTGTTGTTGGTGGCTTTCACAGTGACTTTTTTCCTTGTGTGTGAGTTCTGAACTCTTGTTTTGTTGAACTTCACATGTGGAAATCTTGAGGGCCTACCTAGTTTGGGGATTCTTTCCTCTAAAGGTTTGTATTTGTTTGCTTGGAAACAAGTTACTACCAAATGGAGACCCTTTGAGTAGATTTTGAAGACACCGCCTTACTACATGAATCTCAAGATAAGCTCTCTCACTTGGCGGAAGTAAGGAGAAGTGGTCAGTCCTCAGCCAGCTGAGAGCATACATGTCCTCTGTTCCTGTATCTTACAGCCCATGGCTTCTACTAGGATCTTAGCTTGTATTTGTTCTTATTTCGTCCCTCTGCCCCATTTTCCTTTACCTTCTTGTGACCCCAGTAATGTAAGAATAATTGTTATAATGCATCCAGAATCTGGTCCTGGTTTATATAGCAGGTCCCTTTAGCAATACTGTTGGAATCCTAAGTCATTGAATTGTTATGATGCTTAATTGCCTTTCCACACTTGGATTTGATACAAAGGCCCCTTGTAGAAGGGAGCTTGGAGATTCGAGGAGCTGATAAAAAGCCAGTGTGACTGGAGGGCAGGGTGAGAGATGAGACAGTAAGGGATGGCTTGAGATGCCCTTTTCAGTCATCTGACCTTGATTGTGAAGACACTGAGAAGCCAGAGAAAGTTAAGTGCAAAGGGATGACAGAGTTCAGATCCAGGTTGCAAAAAATGTCATTCTCACTGTTCTGCTAATAGTATATAAGAAGGTAAAGGCCACTATGTGGAGACTTAAACTGGCGTCAACAAGCTTCATGGCTGAGTGTGATCACTCTGATCAATGGCTTAACTTTAACTGTGGGGAAATTATTTCTCTGTGCCTCAAAATTTTATTTTTTCTACGACATTGTATTATGAAACTTCAGATGTACTGCAGTGTTGAAAGAATTTTATAATGAACACCAGCATACCCACCACTTAGATTCTACCATTAACGTTTGTTATGCTTCCTTTATCACATAACTGTTTTTATCTCTCCATCCCTTTAGCCATTAATCCATCTTAAATTTTCATACATTTCAAAGTAAGTTTCAAGTGTCAGCACACTTCAACATAAGTATCGTTAACCTAGAATTCAGTATTCAATTATGGTTTTTGTTTTGATTTATACACAGTTAAATATATAAATATTAAGTATACATTTATTGAGTTTTCACAGATACATACACCAGAATAATCTGAATGCCTCTGGAATGTAGAATATGACCATCACCCCAGGAAGTTTCCCACTGACCCTTCCCAGTCAATCCTTGCCCCCAGTCATTGCCCCAAGCAACCATTGCTCCTGTGTTTTTCCCACCGTAGTTTAGTTTTGCATGTTTTAGAATTTCTTATAAACAGATTATGTAGTGCGTATTTTTATGTGAAGTTTCTTTTCTCATGTTTTTGAGATTTCAGTAGTTTTCTTGTTGAGTAGTATTCTGTTATATAAATATATCGTAGTGTATTTATCCATTTTTCTGTTGATGAACATCTGGACTGTTTTGTTTTGTTTTGTTTTGTTTTGTTTTGTTTTTTACTATTATTGAGATGACTGGGAACATTCTTTGGCAAGCATTTTTGTGAACATGGGCTGGGACTTTCATGTTAAATGAAATTTGTATCTACCCTTTGATCCTTTACAGTTGTGTGATTTTATATTTCCTCCAGTAATGTATGAGAGTTCTGGTTGCTCTGCATTCTATCCAACATTTGATGTTGTCATTGTTTTGTTTTAGCCTTTTGACTAGGTGGGTATGTGGTTGAATCGTGGTGGTTTTTATGTTCACTTCTCTGGGTACCAACTAATAATCATTGTTTATGTTGTTTATTCTTCCATGTGCATATTGAATGTTAGTAGGTCTCCTTTTTTGAAAATCTGCTTAAACCTTTTTGTACAATATGTATTGTAAAATCGTACGCTTTTTCTTCCCAATTTTTTTTAAATTGTGGTAGAACACACACTTACCATCATAAAATTTACCATCTTAACCATTTTTAAGTGTGCAGTTCAGCAGTGCTACATACATTCATAATATTGCACAACCATCCCCACCATCCTTCTCTGTAACTCTTTTCATTTTATAAAACTGAAAGTCTATAGACAATATTTCCCCATTTGTCCTCCTTGCAGCCCCTGGCAACCACCATTCTACTTTCTGTCTCTATGATTTTAAAATGTAGGACTTTTCATGTACCTTGTATACTAGTCCTTTGTCATGTTATGTTTTGCTAGTATTTTCTCTGAGTCTGTGGCTTGTCTGTTCATTTTCTTAACTGATCTTAGGTTTTCTTTTTTTGTTTTTTTTGAGACAGAGTCTTGCTCTGTTGTCCAGGCTGGAGTGTGGTGGCGTGATCTTGGCTCACTGCAACCTCCGCCTCCTGGGTTCAGGCGATTCTCCTGCCTCAGCCTCCTGAGTAGCTGGGACTACAGTCGCCCGCCACCATACCTGGCTAATTTTTTGTATTTTTAGTAGAGATGGGGTTTCAGCATGTTGGCCAGGATGGTCTCAATCTCCTGACCTCGTGATCCACCCGCCTCGGCCTCCCAAAGTGCTGGGATTACTGACGTGAGCCACCACACGTGGCGACCCCCCCCTTTTTTTTTAAGTCTAGAAAATGGGCAGAGGGGATTGTTGTGAGTCTTCAGTGAAACAGCATATCAAAGCTCTTAGAAATGTCTGGCACATAGTGAACACACTCCTTAGTGTTCTCTTTTAATTTCTATGTAAATGAATCAGTATTTTTAATGGGGCCAGATGCAGTGGCTCATGCCTGGAATCTCAGCCCTTTGGGAAGCTGAGGCTGAAGGACCACTTGTGCTTGAGTTTGGGCTGCAGTGAGAAATGGTTGTGCCACTGTACTCCAGCCTGGGTGACAGAGCAAGACCCAGTTTCTAAAAATACATATATTTTATACATACATATATATATTTGGTTTAGCCAGTGCAGAAATAAAATAATTATGTTTAAATTATTTCTACCACCACCCCATCCCATGAAAAGAAGAGAGGGAGGGAAATAGATTACAATAAACTCCCCTAATTTTATTATTTCTCATTCTGAAAATTCATCCAAGTCCATTTTGGGTGGGGTCATGAGGAAAACACTGATGAGTGTTTGAGCGTTATATTACTAGTTAGACATAATTATTAAGGATGCACATAGCTTCATTAAAAGATGGCCTAAATGTAACTACCAATGTGAAAATTTCAATGACTTACTAAATATTTTGACCTATTTGTGAATATTCTGAAATATATTAATTAGCACATTCTAAAAATAAATTAGAATCTTGTTATAACAGTATTCACTGTTATAACAGTATATAGAGCAGGAATTTATAAAAATGAGTTTGACAATAAAGCTAATGACTCATGAGGAAGCAGGAACAGTTTGTTTTACCCCGGAATCAAATTTTTTTCTTTACCGTGTAACGTTTATTTTTTCTCTCACAACTTTCATTTGTTAAAGTTATAAGTATTTCATTGGCAACTTTTTGCAAATGATGGTGGCTGTTAGTTTGAAGGCCAGTGTCCATGTTTAGTCAAGAAGTCATATTAATCTGCATTGAGGATGCTGAACTTGTATAGAAATCTTTTAGCACTGTTGAAATGTTCAGCTCTTCAGATGCCTGAGCCTGATACGAGTTTGTCATTGTTTACTCCTACAGATGTTTTAAGACTTAGAATGAGTATGTCCACCCATTAACTTTTAAATGACATTAAATAATCAGTGGTTTCCTTGACAAAAGGAGTTGCAATAGGAAGTTGAAGAAAATACTGAGTCTAAAACTGTAACTTAACTCTATGGTATAGAATCTAAACTTAACTATAGGAACATGTGAGGTGCCAGGGCATACTTATTTCTTATTGGTCACCTTCCTTTTATTTTTATTCCAGTTTTCTTTTGTAGTTTTACAAGTTTTCAGATAATTGTGTCATTAGAAATTGACTTCCTTCTCTATATTTTCTTGGCCTTAAAGCTGTCGTTAAGATACATTTTGAAATTGCAGGTCTAAGAGGTAAAACTTAGTTTAAGCCTGGCATTCTCAGTATAGGAATTATCAGCTGCCCTTTTCCAGACAGAAGCTAAAATGTAATGTAGTCTAACTCTCTTATTAGAAGGTTTATTTTCTGTGGTTTGAAGATTTAATTGTGTACATTTCTTCTCCCTTTTTCACTCTTGTATATTTTTGATAATTGAAGGAGAAGCACTCATGGTTAATAAAGGGTGTGACACTCATGCACACGTGTGTTTACTGTGGCACTATTCACAACAGCAGAGACTTGGAACCAACCCAAATGTCCATCAGTGATAGACTGGATTAAGAAAATGTGGCACATATACACCATGGAATACTATGCAGCCATAAAAAAGGATGAGTTCATGTCCTTTGTAGGGACATGGATGAAGCTGGAAACCATCATTCTCAGCAAACTATCACAAGGACAGAAAACCAAACACCACATGTTCTCCCTCGTAGGTGGGAATTGAACAATGAGAACACTTGGACACAGGGCAGGGAACATCACACACTGGGGCCTGTCGTGGGGTGGGGGGAGGGGGGAGGGATAGCATTAGGATATATACGTAATGTAAATGACAAGTTAATGGGTGCAGCACACCAACATGGCAGATGTATACATATGTAACAAACCTGCATATTGTGCACATGTACCCTAAAACTTAAAGTATTAAAAAAAAAAAAGAGTGTGACATCATATGCAAAGGTTTGCCAAGCAGAGACTCTGGCCTGAGCTTGAGTGTTTAAGGTGTGTGTTGGAGGTCAGTCTCATAGGCATACAACGCCTACGTGACTGACCTCATTTATTCACTTTCCAGACCCTAGAGAGAAAACAGGTGTTTACCATCAAAACAGTGTGTGCATAAATTATCTGGTTCAAATTGGTGGCCAGTTTTTTCACCAGTTGGTGGTCAAATTGTGGCCGTCTTCAGGTATGCAGAAGCACTCTTATCAGACAGAACATTTCAGGGGTTTAGTTTCTAAGAGACTAAGGGCCAGCCCTAAAAATATGCCTTTCGTGGGAATGAACAGGATTTGAGCATCCCAGACCTGCCGCTGAGTTAACATTTTCCTGTATAACTTGCCTTTTCTTTCCTGGAATTAGGTTACTTCTGCTCAGTCTTCAGCTCTTAATTTAAATGGTGCTTTCCACGTAAAGCCTTCCATTTACCTGTGCATAGTACCCGTACATTTCCCATACAACATATACACATTTTAAAATACAAAATTTGTTTTATTGAGGTATAATTTACATACAATAAAATAATTTAAGTATGCAGTTTAGTGAGTTTTGACAATTGTATACAGTCCAGTAATTACCACTTCAGTCATGATATAATACAATATAGGAATAAGGAAATTGATACTGGCAGAATACTGTTAACTAGACTGCAAACCTAATTTAGATTTCACTAATGTTTACACACATTCAAGTGTGTGTGTGTGTGTAATTCTGTGCAGTTTTATCACAGGTGCAAATGTATGTAATCATCATAATCAAGATACAGAACTATCCTATGGACACAAAGAAAATCCCTGTTGCTTTATTAGTCACATGCTGTCCCATCCCTAACTCTAGCAAGCACTGATCTGTTGTTTATACGTTATATTTAACTGTCGTTAATCTGTTGTACCTACCAACAGGGTGTGCATTCAGTGAGAGCAAATAAGAAGTCTGTCTTCTTCACCGTTGTATCCACCACACAGTAGGGCATGGGTTTTAGGTGCTCAGTTTATTATCTTCGGGAATTTAATATTGAGAATTGACTTTTAATCCTAATGCCCTGATATTCAAAACTTTTAGATGAGATTTATTAGAAGATGTCATGAAAAAAATCCAAGAAATAAAGCAAATTTTTGAAGTTTGAGAAATCAGATTGTGTGTGTGCACACACATGTATGTGTGCATGTGCTCCCACCCAAGTACACACACGGGCACACACACACTCAACATCAAATGTTCTTTTAAAAGATTGCTATGCAGTTAGATTCATTTACTACCTTTTTTTTTTTTTTTTTGAGATAAAGTCTCTCTCTGTCACCCACGCTGGAAAGCAGTGGCATGATCTCGGCTCACTGCAACCTCTGCCTCCCGGGTTCAAGCGATTCTCCTTCTTCAGCCTCCCGTGTAGCTGGGACTACAGGTGCACACCACCATGTCTGCCTAATTTTTGTATTTATAGTAGAGAGATGTTTTTGCCATGTTGACCAGCCTGGTCTTGAACTCCTGAGCTCAAGCGATCCACCTGCCTTGGCCTCCCAAAGTACTGGGATTACAGGTGTGAGCCACCATGCCTGGCCCCTTCATTTACTTTTAATAAAATTTGGGGTTACTTAACCATTATAAATGGACAACAAAAAGAGATAATGGAAACATTTGTTGTCATATAGCTTTATGGTCTATCCTCAATAGAACATCCAAAGTAATTATTTTTAAATGAAAATTTACCATTACCTTTGTGTAAGTTCCATGTTTGTTTTATTCACTATAATATCCTGGCGCATGATAGTCATTTTATAAACATTTGATAAATCAATGAATGTGTAACTGTTAAATACTATGTTAAATGACATTGAACTGTTTAAAAGTATATAACTCATTAAGGTAGCGTAATTGTTCATTTGTATATTTTTATAGCTTAGGTATGAAAGAGGAAAAATTAAGTTAGTATTAATTTGGAGCTGCCATTGAGTTCCTTCTGTATACAAAATACTTCACAGTATCTGACAAAAACTCAGTCAGCTAGGCTCTAAGAGTAAAATTACTTGCTTTTGGTCACCCAGCTAGTAAGTAAACCTAGTCAGTTTTTTCTTTGTCTGCCCTCTGCCCCATCCTCTTTCTTTGCTACCAAGGTCATTTGAGTCCAACTGATAAATTTGTGTAGCTGTTAGAATATTCAAAAGAGACCACAATAAAACACAAAATCTCATGTGGTAGCCAAATCATTGAGTTGACATATGCAATACATTATGGAGTAATTTAGCATCAATATTTTCTGTTACAAAATGTGAACAGTTTTTATATTAAAACCTGTGCTTCATTCATTCTATTGCAGAGTATGATGAAGGAACTCCTTGATACAAATACAATACTTGCACAAAGAAAGAAGTCCAAATCCATCCTAGTTTTTTTTTCTTTTTCTTTTTTGAGATGGAGTCTCGCTCTGTCGCCCAGGCTGGAGTGCAGTGACACGATCACGGCTCACTGCAAGCTCCGCCTCCCGCGTTCACGCCATTCTCTTGCCTCAGCCTCCCAAGTAGCTGGGACTACAGGTGCCTGCCACCACGCCCGGATAATTTTTTTTTTTTTTTTTTTAGTAGAGATGGGGTTTCACTATGTTAGCCAGGGTGGTCTCGATATCCTGACCTCGTGATCTACCCGCCTTGGCCTCCCAGAGTGCTGGGATTACAGACATAAGCCACCGCGCCTGGCCCGTCGTAGTTTTTTTTTGAGACGAAGTCTCACTGTTGGCCCCCAGGCTGGAGTGCAATGGCACGATCTTGGCTCTCTGCAACCTCCGCCTCCTGGGTTCAAGCAATTCTCCCGCCTTAGCCTCCCGAGTACCTGGGATTATAGGTGCCTGCCACCATGCCCAGCTAATTTTTGTATTTTTAGTAGAGACGGGGTTTCACCATGTTGGCCAGGCTGGTCTCGAACTCCTGACCTCAGGTGATCCACCCACCTCGGCCTCCCAAAGTGCTGGGATTACAGGCGTGAGCCACTGTGCCTAGCCAACAAATTAATTTTTAAAAACCAACTTTCAGAAGTCTTTTTTTTTGGAAGGATCTTGCAAATTTCCTGGACCTGGGTATAATCCACAATAGAAAAAGAGAGTACAACACAGTGCCAGTGTTCCAATACCTCAGGAGATGCATATGAATCTATTGTGGTTGATACTGGGGATGCAAGGGTAAATGAGAGGTGGTTCCTATTTGTTAATCTTCATTCTAGTAGAGAATGACTGCACTGTGAAAGAGTTGACAAGTAGTAGGTACAAACTAAAGCTGGAGTTTTCGGGGTTGATACATCTGGATTTTGAATCCTGACTTTAATACGTGTTCAACACGAAGTTAAGTTTTCTGATCTTTATATATAATAGGACTAATAAACTCTACCTTGAAGAATTATTGTAAAGATCAGAAATATACGTAAAATGCTTAGCGTAGTAACTGGTCCCTGGTGGATACTCCTTAAGTAGGATTATTATCTACTGCTATCATTTTGATCAATCTTTTAGGCTTTTTCTGAGGCTATAAAATGGGGATGATAATAGTACCCACCTCACAGTGATGTTCTGATGATTAAATGAGATATTACATGTAAATCTGCTT